>NC_000003.12:141584361-141887392 GCF_000001405.40 Homo sapiens
AAAAAGGAATCGTTCCTTGAACTGCTGATTTCCCTTTCCCATGAAGAGACAGCCAAATACTAAAAAGCCCTTGACCAGTCAGGGTAGCATATTTATGAAGTTAAATGTTTTTCACTAGCTGACTTGGTAAAGATGGATACTATAAATTTTCTTGATGGGAAGTTTATAAATGGCGATTAGATTTCGATTATCCCAGATAATCTGTTTACTCTTCAGTCATGACTGTGAAATACCATCTCTCAGAGCTAAAGTCAGTTATATATGATAGAAGTTGGCAAACTCTTTTCTGTAAAGGGACAGTGAGAAAATATTTTAGGCTTTGCTGATCACATAAGGTCTCTGCCACTTAGTCTTTGTTTTCACAACCCTTTCACAATCCTAAATGTAACCCTAATTGTTACATTTAGAAATGTAATAGTTACAGGTTGAGTATCCTTTATCAAAATGGTTGAGACCAGAAGTGTTTTGGATTTTGGATTTTTTTCAAATTTTGAAATACTTTTATTCATTCTCTCTCTCTCCATATATATTTTTTTTAACTGATTGAGCATCCCTAATCTGAAAATCCAAAATTCAAAATCCAGAATGCACCAGCAAGCATTTCCTTTGAATATCCTGTTGGCACTCAAAAAGTTTTGGGTTTTGGAACATTTGGGATTTTTCAGATTAAGGATGTTCAACCTGTATTCTTATGGGCCTTACAAAAACAGGCTACAGGTCAAACGTGGCCCTCTGAGCCATACTTTGGTGATTCTTAACCTATAATAAAGGTTCACAATCTTATATGTAAAATCATTGGGACCAAAAGTATTTCAGAATTCAGTTTTTCAGAGTTTCAAAAGGTAATCAGTATATACTATATTTAACACCCCCCAGTGGAGCCTAGGGTAGCACCCCACAATCAAATACATTAATTCTTATAGCACAGTATATGAATACTTACAGTAAGTAATATAAGTACAGAGTGTAAATAGCCTTACACCAGTTCAGGTTAAGTTATACCCCTAAATGAGTACTTCAAATCAAAGACAAGATTTAAAAACTTTGTATTCAGAATGTTATGTATTTCAGAATTGCAGTTAAGGAATTATGGATTGAATTATTCCTACAAGGAAATATGTTCTGGGTTTTAAGTAACTTAAGAACAAAGTTTTAGGCTGGGCACGGTGGCTCACACCTGTAATTCCAGCACTTTGGTAGGCTGAGTCAGGCAGATCACTTGAGGCCAGGAGTTCAAGACCAGCCTGGCCAACATAGCGTAACCCTGTCTCTACTAAAAATAAAAAAAAATAGCTGCCCATGGTGGCACATGCCTGTAATCCCAGCTACTTGGGAAGCTGAGGCATGAGAATCACTTGAACCCAGGAAGGAGAGGTTGCAGTGAGCTGAGATTGCACCACTGCACTCCAGCCTGGGCAACAGAGTGAGCCTCTGTCTCCACATAAATAAATAAATAAATAAATAATACTTTTATAATACTTGTCATTTGTAAATTAGGGATTTCCTCTCTAATTAAATATGTGTTTTGTTTTATAAATTACTATTATGTGTATTCATTAATAATGAAGAACTTCCCATTATAATTAATGACATGTAAGATAAACTGAATTTTTTATAATGTACCTTATCACACAGTGTAATATTTGCCCATTTCCCCATTTAGTTCTTGGATGAAATTTCATCTACTGAAACTAAAGAGTCCAGTGGTACGAGTGAGCCTGTGCACCTGAAAGAAGGGTAATTTAATCAAATTAGACGTGAAAGTCATATATCAGTATAGATATTAAGTAAGTACAAAGAGCGTGGGTCTAAGAGTGAGGAGATCTGGCTTTGTGTGCTGTGTTAGAACTGCCAAAATTAGCAGTCAGGTAAGTCGCCTTTACTGTCCTACAAACTTTATGGCAAAAAAGCATGATTTCCTGTGCATACAGTCCTAGAGTTGTTTTGCAATTATAGTGAGATGATGGGTATTTAGAGTACTTTTAAAAAGTAACAGCACTATTAGTCTTAATGTAAAGTGTTTATTATAAGTTAAGGGGGGGAACCACTCATTTGACCCTTTTTTGTTCTGTATAGTACAATTAAAAATATTAAATTAATTAAAGACCTTATTCCTTTAGTGTGGCCAAAATAAATGCAACAGTCATGGATAGCAAAAACATTTTTATATATTTAATATAATCTTACACTACTATTCATGTCATTTAAAGTTAAAGGATACTTCTTTGTTTTGGATTAACTTTTAATTTTTATAGCTAAATGTTTACATCTGTTATGTTGGCAGTGAGATGTATAAAAGAGCTCAAGGAAGAACTCGGATTGGAAAAAAGAATTTTAAGAAACGATGGTTCTGCTTAACAAGCAGAGAGCTCACCTACCACAAACAGCCAGGTAGTTGTGTTTATGCTTTATTGTGGGGTTTTTCCTGGTTCTCAGTGAAGGTTTCTTTGCCGCTTATTGTGACTCTAGTGAATCCTTTCAGTAATATTACTGTAGTTTATGGTTTCTCACACTGATACATACGTACTAAGAATGAAAAAATATTTGACAGTAACCCCATGTATATTATGTTTTTCTCACATTAAATTTCTTGAGTTTCTGAAAATGGTGTTCCTTCAGTGTGCTCTGTTTTCTAAAAATCCATAGTAATCCATACTGTTATTTATCAAAGAACAACAGCTAAACCTCTTAGAACATGGGAGTTTCTTTAACTCTCAGAGGCAAAATTAGCAAGATTCCATATCGAATAAATGAGACTATTTCTGTCCTTTGCTGGGAAATATCAGCCAAAAATTCCCACAGTTATACCATAGATTGTGATCCCTATACAGTTGTCAAATTCATCCTAGGCTCTTAGCTAAGCTAACCCCAAGGTGGATGACTTAATAATTTGCCTTGTGAGAAGACTCTGTTGCCTTTACAAGTGGGCTATTTGTGTAAATGAAGCCATCTTCCTACAGTGTGATTTGAGAGCTGCAGAGAGGCAAAGCTTATCCTTCAGTAGACTGACACAGTCCTTTAAATAAACTACTTTTGAGTTTATTCCGTTGGGTTAATTTTCCACAGAAGGCCAGGTGTGGTGGCTCATGCCTGTAATCCTAGCACTTTGGGAGGCCAAGGTGGGAGGATTACTTGAGGTCAGGAGTTTGAGACCAGCCTGACCAACATGGCAAAACCCCATCTCTACTAAAAGTACAAAAAAATTAGCTGGGCATGGTGGCGCATGCCTGTAGTCCCAGCTACTCTGGAGGCTGAGGCAGGAGAATCGCTTGAACCCAGGAGGCAGAGGCTGCAGTAAGCTGAGATCTTGCCACTGCACTGTAGCCTGGGTGACAGAGCAAGACTCCATCTCAAAAAAAAAAAAAAAAAAAAGGAATTATCCACAGAAGGCCATTAGCTTCTGATATTTTAGCAAGAAGAATTTAGTATCTAGATGACAGATCACATCTATATAGTAGAATCCCTTCTGTCCAAAATGATCAGGATCCAGAGATGTTCACTTAACCAAACCAAAAGGTTGGTTAAAAGTGAGAATCATTTTAAAATAAACAAAAAGATGCATATAGATCTTAATTTATGTATTTGTTTACCAGCATTTTGGTAGAGAACCAAGATTATTTCTTTGACTATGGACCTATAGATCAGATTTCCTGTCTTTCTTGTGTAAATATACCCATAATGCATCAGTTTTCAGGATGATTTCTCCAAAGTAAATCTAGAACTTAGATACTTGAAAAGTAATTCAAGCACAAAATCCTCTTAGATTTTCAGGATAGTTACATTAGTCTTTTACAGCTGTCTTACCTCCACATAAATCAGCCTTATTTGTGGAGGTATGCGTCTCCTTTTTAGAGGCTTTTCAAAGCATTTACCTGATTTTCAAATAAGTAATAAACCTCTTGGTAGTGGGCACTTACTTTGTCTCTTTACATAAAGTAAATTATAATTACAACATAGAAAACTAGCATAAATAAGTTTAGCAACAAACCCAATGGATATAGTAAGCAAAACAGCCTAACCGATGGAAGTAGAAGGGCGCAGGCTTAACAGAGTACCTGAGCAACCACAAGCGTGTAGCACCCCGTGAGCAACATTCAGTATGTTTTACAGAGGAAATGGAGAGTCTGTTAATCTATCAAATCTGTTAGGTAAAGATCTGTTAAGAGAGCTTCTGCTGTAAATTCTGGAATAATACATCAGACATAGGGTGCTTTAAAGAGGATATAACACAGTTAAGTAGAGTGCTTCAGTGGAGACTCTTGAATAGTAGAGTGATAAGAAAAAATTTTTATTTCATAATTCTTCCTTAGGAATGGCTTAACCAGAATGACTACATGTGTCCCAGTATATTAGAAAGATATAAGAAACCAAATGCATTATACTTTTGGGTATATTACTCAGATAATTTGTTACAACATTTACATACTCAAATAACTAAAAGTCAATAGGCTACATACATGCCCTTCCAGATAGCTTTTTATTTTTATTTTTTTTTTTTGAGATGGATTCTCACTCTGTCACCCAGACTGGAGGGCAGTGGCATGATCTTGGCTCACTGCAACCTCTGCCTCCCGGATTCAAGCGATTGTCCTGCCTCAGCCTCCCGAGTAGCTGGGATTACAGGCGCCCGCCACCACACCCAGCGAATTTTTATATTTTTAGTGGAGACAGGGTTTCACCATGTTGGCCAGGCTGGTCTTGAACTCCTGACCTCGTGACCTGCCCCCTCAGCCTCCTAAAGTGCTGAGATTACAGGCATGAGCCAGCGCGCCCGGCCCAGATAGCATTTTTTAAGCTAAGCATATTTTGAATGTTTTAGAAATTATAACTTACTGAATACTATATAAATGTTCTCACCTATGCATAGCACTGGGTGCTAATTATGTTTACATTAATAGTACATTTAAATAAAAGTTAAGGTAAATTAGTCATTCTCTGTGAATAAATGAGTTCTTTTTTCTTCATTTAAAGCATTTTCTAATCTAAACCAATATTCTGAAGTATTTTTCGGTTTATAATCTTCTTTAAGAATTAGATAGCTATGGACCCCTTTGTCTAGAAAACTGTACCTACAAACATAGACAAAAAATTTTGCATTTAACTTCAGGGAGTTCATAGACACAAAATTTTGCATATAATATCAGGGAGTTCATAGACCTAAAGTTCATCTGTGATTCTCAAGTTAAGAACCTCTGTTCTGGCCGGGCGCGGTGGCTCACACCCGTGATCCCAACACTTTGGGAGGCTGAGGCAGGCGGATCATGAGGCCAGGAGATCAAGACCATCCTGGCCAACGCGGTGAAACCCCATGTCTACCAAAAATACAAAAATTAGCCAGGCGTGGTGGTGTGCGTCTGTAGTCCCAGCTACTTGGGAGGCTGAGGCAGGAGAATTGCTTGAACCTGGGAGGCGGAGGCTACAGTGAGCCAAGATCGCGCCACTGCATTCCAGCCTGGGTAACAGAATGAGGCTCTGTCTCCAAAAAAAAAAGAAAAAAAAAAGAATCTCTGTTCTGTCCACTGATTTTAAGAGGACAAAATTCTCTAGAATGATGAGGCTACTAGAGGTATAAAACAGACGCATTAGAAGCTATGTTGTTGTTAAGCATTAAGAAGTTTAAAATTTTGGAATGACATTGGAGGAATGAGATATGAAGTTTCAAGCTTATTTACCAAAGCCTGCAGTTTTAAGCTTCCATGCTTTTTGTTTTAACTATTTTGATGGATTTTTCCAAAATATATTACATGCTTCCCTGCCTTCTAAAAAAGAGTTCATTGAACGTAAGTTAACATCTTCTAGATGACTTGGGGCTACCATTGATAATATTAATTGTTATATGGATTCTGATTTAGTGATATTTTCAGGGCTGCTTAAAGGTGTGTGCAACTGTTTACTCCAGCTAAATGCATTTACTCCGCAGCTAAATGCCTTGGACTGCTGTGCTTTTTGTGTTCCTATGTTCGCTTTATACAGTTTTTCTGTATCCTTTGTGGTAAGGCTGTGGCCTTAAATTTCTTGTGATGTCTGTGAACCATAATATAACACCTTATTCCCATCCCATCACCCACCTCTATTTTTTACAGTAGTGTCCTATAAGTGAGGATGCAAGTGCTATGTTTGTTTAAATTATGCCTAAGATTAAAAGGCTTTGAATGAAAACGTCAGGACTTTCTCCTGTAAATAAAATACCTGGGCTTTGCATTCTCTGTTTGGTTGTTGAGCAAATGTTTTGCTTACTTCCAATTTCCCTGCTGTTTTCTAGGTAGCCAAGACTTGCTAGTTAATTAGTCTTTTGCTACACTTACTATGTGACTTTGGTGTCTGAAAGAATACCTCCCAAATTTCCTGTAACATAGACCTAAATCATTGAGTCTTTCACTCTCTCTTCCTAATATACAGTAGTATTGTGAATCAAGTATTTCTGTCACTTAGTGTCAAATAATATGCATAGTCTTTTCCCAATTTACTGGAAAATGAATTAGTAGAATTTTCTCTGTATTAAGGATTTTTCTTCAATAAGTTTTTAAATTTTTGAGGCCCCTTTAGGCAAGTGCTAACAGGCAATAGTAAGCAACTAATCAGTAGAGTTAAATTAACATGTAGCAAATGAATATTATCAGACACTCAGCCATCAGTCATGATTACCTTGAGAGATTTTTATGGCCCTGTGTACTTACAATTATGATTTTATATTGCTATACTATAATTTAGTCATCTTCTACAAGTAAAAGTTCTCTTAGTTATATGCGGAGATCAAACTAGTTATTGATGTTCTAGCCTCTTTATGTCTCATTCAGCCTCATCTTTTGCAGTATCCATATGTAGTTTCACCAGACTACTTTTTGCAGTGCCTTCTTTACATCTTTTGCATGCTTTTACATTCATGCTTTTGCATATGTACATAAAAATATCTACCTAAAAATTCCTTTATTTTCTCCTTTACCTGTGTAATCTGTTGTCCTTTAAGTCTTAGATCAAGTGTCAGCTCTTTATGGAAGCCATTGTAAGCCTCATATGGCTACCTCAGTGTAGCCATTCCCTTACTGTGTATCTTCAGCTACGTGGCATTACTGTGTGGTCATTACTTTTGTCCATCTCTTCCCCTAGTCTTTAAGATCCTCAGTGGTAAGGACCATATTATTACTAGTGGCATAAAGGCATATAGTAAGTATTCTTCAAAGAACACCATGTCTTCCATATATGCTGTCATCTGAATTACGTTACGAACTACTTGTCTTTCTAAAATTTCTGCCAGGCATACTAATTCATCTTTGAAATTCTGTTCTGTAGAATTTAATTAGATATTGTCTACTTTGGGGAGACCTGTTATACACATATACATACACACAACTTTCATGTGACATTAAATGCCCTAGCTTATATAGCCAGCCCTACCCTAGCTCATATAGCCAGTGGACATTGTAAAAGAAATGTCCATGATATTTTAAACATAAATGTTCAATACACTGAAGTTGACACGGTTTTCACCTACCTGTATTTTCACATACAGGGCTCTGCAGCTTTTTTTTTTTCTGATAGCTAAAGAACAAAATACATCATTGATTCAATCATGCATTTATTCAACAGGTATTTTATTGAGTGCCTACTATGTACCAGACACTGTTCTAGGCTCTGGAGAGAAAAATAGTAAACAAAACATACCAAATCCCTGTCCTTATAGATCTTTACTAAGACAATAAACAGTAAAAAAAAGAAAATTATATTTATGTTGGATTATAATAAATCAGATGAACAAAAAAGAAGCAGGGACAAGGTACAGAAAATGATGGGTTCAGTGAGGTGAGTTAAAATATTAAAAGGTCTAACCAGGGAAGGCTTCACTGAGAAAGTGACATTTGAGCAAAGACCTAAATCTAAAGATGGTCGGGGAGTGAACCATGTGGATATTTGGGATAAAAGTGTCACAGAAATAGCTAACAGCACCCAGAACAAATGCCTTGAAATAGAAGCATGCCTGGAGTGTTAAAGAGATAAGAGAAAGCTCTTGTGGCTGGAAAATTGAAGAAGAGGGTAAGTCATAGGAACTAAGATCAAAAAGATCATAGAAGTGCTAGATTTTATAGGACCTTGTGGGCTTTTACTTTGAGTAAAATGGAAAGACATTGGAGAGGTTTAAGCAGAAGAATAACATTGTTTAACTTATGTCTTAATAGGGTAACTTATGTCTGTGGAGTGTTACATGGAGAATGAATGAAGGGCACAAGGAGAGCAGTTAAGAGACTACTAAAATATTCTAGAGGAGAAAAGAGAATGGCTTGGATCTGTTGGTAGCAGTAGAAATGATAAAAATGGATCACATTCTGAATCTATTTGAAAAATAGTACCCAGAGGAGTTAGATACTGGGAGTGAGAGAAAAAGGCAAGTTAAGGATAATTCCAAGGATTTGGGCATGAAGTTGCCTTTTTAAAAATAGATAAAGAACTCTTTTTGAGGAAAAAAAAGAAGTAAAGAAGGGGAACAGAAAATGATGGAGTCAGTATAAAACTGAACTTGAAAAAAAAAAAGAAGAGTCCTGGTAATGGTAGAAAAAACCAAGAGTCCTGGTAGTGGTAGAGAAGCTTATATTAGACTAACTCTTATAGATAACAATTATAAACCTTTAGCAGAATATATATATAGCAATTCTCTGAAGAATTTGACCCTTGAAAGAAAGGAACCATGCTGGCTAAGATTGATTGATTGAGATGGAGTTTCACTCTTGTTGCCCAGGCTGGAGTGCAGTGGTGCAATCTCAGCTCACTGCAACCTCCACCTCCCAGGTTTAAGTGATTCTTCTGCCTCAGCCTCCCCAGTAGCTGAGATTACAGGCATGCATCGCCATGCCCGGCTAATTTTGTATTTTTAGTAGAGACAGGGTTTCTCCATGTTGGTCAGTCTGGTCTTGAACTCCCAACCTCAGGTGATTCACCCACCTTGGCCTCCCAAAGTGCTGGGATTACAGGCATGAGCCACTGCGCCCGGCCTAAGATTTATTTTTATACAGCTTTTCCCCTTGAAAGCACTCCCAGTCTAGCCAGTTTGAGGTGGTGCTAAAATGCAAGCAGAAAACTAAGCTTTATTGGCTTGAGATACCAAAGGATGGAGTTTAGGGCTACCAGAGAGGCTGGAAATTGAGGCATAAAGAGGAGTTCTTCAGTCTGCATGTGAACTCCTCTGAAATATTTAGTTGACTCTTAAACCGCTAATGCAAGAGGGACCTCCAAAGGGGCTAGTGAAAAGCAATAACTGAAAACTTGAAAAAGATGAGCAGAGACTTCAGTTTCTGTCCGCCTCAAAGGAGACAGAATTTGGAATTTTACTTAGAGAGCTTAGCAAACACTTAAATATTTTCATCAAAATCTCAAAAGAGTGGTGGCGCAGTAGTAAAGACTATATTCTAGGATTAAGAATAAACAAAGTATAGTATAAACAAAGTATAAAACCAACCCTCACGATAATCACCAATGATGTAACTTCAAGGGAAGGTAACTGAATCCATAGTTTCTACAATGTTTTATTCATGAAGGCCAGTATGTAATGGAACATTAACAACTCAAGAAGAAACACAGAATTATAATGCATAATCTGGAGAAAAGGCGATCAGTAGAAGTAGACCCCTAGATGATCTACATGTTGGAATTAGCAGACGTGAACGTTAAAGCCTCTATTATAAATATTTCAAGGACTTAGTGGAAAAGTAGTCATCATGAGTAAAGAAATGGGGAATCTCAGCCAAAAAAGAAAATAAAAAGGGAATCAAATGGAAATTCTAGAATTGAAAAGCACGATACCTGACATCAAAAATCTGATGGGCTTAACAACAGATTGGTTCACTGAACTTGAAGATCGATCAGTAGAAATGAACCAATCTAGAACACAGAAAAGACTTGGGGGAAATGAACAAAACCTCAGTGACCCTTTAGTACAATATCAGGTAGTCTAACATATGCATGGTTGGTGTCCTAGAAGGAGAGTAGAGAAAGAATTGGACAAAAAAAAAAATTTTTTTTTGAAGAAATAATGGCCTAAAATTTCCCAAATTTGGTGAAACAGTATCTTATAGATCTGAGAAGCTCAATGAACTGCAAGCATGATAAACGCAAAGGAAACCGCACTTAGACATAAAATAGTCAAACCAGAGATAAAGAGAAAATCTTGCAAGCAGAGAAACAAAAGACAAGATACATACACAGGGGAACAACAGTACAGTTGACAGCCAACTCCTCATAAAAAGCAACTAAAACTGGAGGACAGTGGAATGACCTGTTTAAAATGCTAAAGGAACAAAAGTCTCAACCTAACATTCTAGAGAAAATTTTCTTTGAAAATGAAAATATATTTTAAATAAATGAAAGCTGAGAGAGACTCCATTGTGAGCAAGCCTGCACTATAAGAAATGCTAAAGGAAATTCTTCAGGCTGAAAGGAAATAATACCAGATGGAAACTTAGATCTACAAGGAGTAAAGAGCACTGGAAATGGTAAATATGTGGGTAAATGTAAGAATGCCTGTTTTTTTTTTCTCCATTTCTTTAAAAAGCAACTGTTCGATGCAAAATGTATAACATTTAATTATAGGGTTTATAACATATCTGGATATGAAATATATGACAGTAACAGCACAAAGGAAGGGGGTGGAGTAAATTATTCCAAGGGTCTTATATTTTATGTGAAGTGATGCAAGAATAATTTTAAGTAGACTGTGATGAGTTAAGGCTGTATATTATAATATCTAGAACAAAAATTTAGGGAAATACTTGACATAACTAATCCATCCCCTCTCCTCCTCCCAAACAATAAATAAATTAAAATGTGAGGAAGGGAAGAACAGAGGAGCAAAAATCAGATGAGACAGACAGAAAACGTATAACAAAATGATAGCTTAAACCCAGCCATATCAATAATTACAGTAAATGTAAATGAACTACAATACATTGAAAGAGACTATCAGACTATATTTTAAAAAGCAAGATCCAATAATATACTTTCTACAATATATCCACGTTAAATATATTATAAAAGCACAGATAGGTTGAAAGTAATTGGGTGGAGAAAGATGATGTAAACAGTAAGCAGTAATCCCAGACCAAGTAGATGTCAAAACAACTTTTACCAAATATGTTTGGGCACATTTTATAATGGCAGAAGGAGCACATAATCCTAAATGTGTACATACCTAATTACAACTTCAATGTAGTTGGAGAAAAAAACAGAATTGAAATAGGACATCTACAATTCTAGTTGAATTTTTTTTTCTTTTTTTCTTTTTTCTTTTTCTTTTTTCTTTTTTTGAGACAGGGTCTTGCTCTGTCTCCCAAGCTGGAGTGCACAGACATAGCTCACTGCAGCCTTGACCTCCTGGGCTCAAGAGATCCTCCTGCCTCTGCCTTCTGTGTACCTGGGACCACAGGTGGACGCCACCACATCTGGCTGATTTTCTGATTTTTTGTAGCTGCAAGGTCTCACTTTGTTGCCCAGGGTGGTCTCAAACTCCTGGACCCAAGTGATCCTCCTGCCTCGGCCTAGAATTAACAGGTATGAGCCACTGCACCTGGCCTGTACTTGAATATTTTAATAGTCTTCTCTCAGCAATTGTTAGAGGAGCTGAGCACAAGAACCAGTTTTCTTACAGAAGTTTGAAATAATACTATCAGTCACCTTGATCTAATTTACATTTATGGGACACTAGGCCAAACAGGTGCAGAATACATATTCTTTTGAAATGTGCATTGGAACATTCAGTAAAATAGGCCGCCATATGCTGGGCCTGGAGTCTCAGTAAATATCAAAAGATTGACTTTTTACAAAGTATGTTCTCTGATCACAACAGAATTAATGACAATATGATACCTGGAAGAGCCCCAAATATTTGGAAATTAAATAAAATACTTCTAAGTAACCTATAGATTGAAGAATTCACAAGGAAACTCAAAAATATTTTTAACTTAAATGATAATGAAAATGCAACAAATATATCAAAGTTTGTGGGATACAGCTAAAACAGTATGTAAAGGGAAATTGATTGTTATTAACAAGTAAAGAAAATCTTTGAGCCTTTATAGGTTAGGCAAAGATTTCTTACATAACTAAATGTATGGTCTATAAAAGAAAATATTTGATAAATTGGATCTCATCAAAATTCAAAAACATTTCAAAAGAGGACCATTAAGAAAATGAAAAGGTAAGCAACAGACTGGAAGAATATATTTGCAAAACGCTTATCTAATATACTTGTATCTAGAATTTTCAAAAACCCAATTTAAAAAGAGGACGATAGATATGAACAAACATTTTATCAAAGAGATTATACAAGTGGATAATAAGCATATGAAAAGATGCTCAACATCATTATTAGGGAAATGCAAATTAAAACCACAATGAGATACCATTTCACACCAACTAGAGTGTCTGTAACAAATAAGACAGACAATACCAAATGTTGTTGAGAATGTGGAGAAACAGAAACCCTCATACATTTCCAGTGGGAATGTAAAATAGGGGCTTTGACAGTCAGCAACTGGGCAGTTCTCAGAAAGTTAAACATAAAACTACTATACATGTAACCTAGCAATTCCACTGTTGGTTACCTACCCCAAAAGAAATGAAAACATATGCCCACACAAAGAATCGGAGTGAATGTTCAGAGCAGCGTTATTCACAATAGCCAAAAACTAGAAGCAACCTAAATGTCTATCAGCTGGTGAATGGGTAAATAAAATATGATATATATATGCAATAGAACACTATTAGCAATACAGGCTGGGCGTGGTGGCTCACATCTGAAATCCCAGCACTTTGGGAGGCCAAGGTAGGAGGATGACTTGAGCTCAGGGGTTTGAGACCAGCCTGGGCAACATGGTGAAACCCTGTCTCTACAAAAAATAATAATAAAGAATACTACTAGCAGTAAAAAAGATTGAGCTACTGACACATGCTGCATCATGGATGAACCTCAAAAAATTACGCTAAGTGAAAGAAGTCAGAGCCAAGAAATTACGTACTGCATGATTCCATTTATACGAAGTGTCCAGAAAAGACAAAGGTATAGGAACAGAAAGTAGGTTAGTGGCTGCTTGGGACAGGTTGGGAACCAGTCCCAAGTAGCCGATTGGGGTATAAACAGGCATGAGGGATTTTATTGGTAGAATGAAGCTGTTCTAAAATTGATTTATGGTCATGGTTATACCACTCAGTAGAGTTACAAACAAACCTTCATTTGTACACTTAAACTGGATGAATTGATATGTCAAATAGGCTCACCTTAATAAAGCTTTTATTTTTAAAAAAAGAAAGGATAAAATCAAATATATTTTCAACTTAAACTAGAAAATGAGAAAATAAACCTAAAGTTAATTGAAGAATGGCAAAAATAAAGATGAGAGTACAATCAGTGAAATAGGAAACAAACTAATAGTGAAGCATAACAAAGCCAAAAGCTTTAATAAAATTGAAAAATGCCTAGAAAGACTGATAAAAGAAAAAAAAATCAAACACAAAATTACCATGATTAGGAATAAGACTACTACAAATTCCAATGACATTAAAAGACTAACCAGAAACTAATATGAGCAACTTTATATCAATAAATTTGACAATTCAGATGAATGGACAAATTTCTTGGAAAACAATTTACTAAAACAGATGCAAGAAAAAAGTAGAATATCTTAAAAACCCTGTATCTCTGCTTGTGATGAAATGTGTCCTAAAAAAGAATGCCAGGCTTAAATAGCTTTACTGGTAAAGTCGGCCAAACACTTAAGGAAGAAATAACGTCAACCTTACCCACAAAGTCTTTTAGAAAACAGAGGGAAAGAATACTTGCCAAGTCATCTTCTGAAGCCTGCATAACTCTAGTACTAAAACTAAAGATTTTTCAAGAAAA
The DNA here is from genome assembly GCF_000001405.40 of Homo sapiens. NCBI lineage: Eukaryota > Metazoa > Chordata > Mammalia > Primates > Hominidae > Homo > Homo sapiens. The sequence continues at coordinate 141,598,244 of NC_000003.12, forward strand.
AATACATATAATGAATTAAATCCAGCAGTATATGAAAAGGACAATCCATAATGAAGTGGGGTTTGTCCCAAGTATATAAAGTTGGTTTAATATCTGAGAACTAATCAACATAATTTATCTTATTAACAGACTAAATGTATTTGACAAAATTTAACACCTCTTTGTGATTAAAGAAAATAAAAACTCTTGAATGAAGTCTAAAAGATAATCTCCTAAATCTGATCAAAAGTGTATGTAAGAAATTTGTAGTTAAATCAAGGATTATCCCCTTTAATAAATTCTGTTCAATACTGAAGATTTTAGCCAATGCAGTAAGACAAGAAATAAAAGGCATATAGTGTTATATTGAAACTCCTGAAGAATCCTCAGAACAGCTACTTGAACAAATAACTGAATTTAATTTAGCAAGGTCTTGGGATAAAGGATAAATATGTACAAATCAATTATATTTCTACAAGTTGCAAACTGTTAGAAAACAAAATTTTAAAAATCATACCCTTTACAGTAGTTCCCCCCCAAAAAAACCCTAAAATACTTAGGAATAAATTTAACCAAAGAAGGCTGGGCACGGTGGTTCACGCCTATAATCCCAGCACTTTGGGAGGCCAAGGTGGGCAGATCACTTGAGGTCAGGAGTTCAAGACCAGCCTGGCCAACATGCTGAAACTTCGTCTCTACTAAAAAATACCAAAAAATCAGCTGGGCGTCGTGGTGCATGCCTGTAATCCCAGTTACTCGGGAGGCTGAGACAGGAGAATCACTTGAACCCAGGAGGTGGAGGTTGCAGTGAGCCGAGATCGCGCCACTGCACTCCAGCCCCGGCGACAGAGCGAGACTCTGTCTCAATAAATAAATTAATTAAAATAAATTTAACCAAAGAAGTACAACACCTCTACACTGAAACTACAAAACACTCCGGAGATAAGGTAAAGAAAGTCTAAATAAAAAGAGACATGTCATGTTTGTGGATTGAAGATTGAGTTTCTTTGTTTTTTGGGTTTTTTTTTTTTTTTTTTGGTTTATAAAGTGTAATTTTATTTTATGTTACTCTGCTGTTACATAGGGCATAACATTTTCACAAGGCTTTTTTGGGACTACAGTCAATGATTAGCAACACACAATAGTGTTCCAACTCTAACAATCACTAGACAAACAGGACACCCTCTCACGTGCACAGATCTGCATAGAAAAGTACAAAAGTTTTAAATTTAGACTTGTGTACTTTAATTTGTTTCCCCTTTCTAGTGTATTAAAAAATGACATGCACTTTAATTTGCCAAAAGCAATGTTGTATTCTGGCAGCAACATGCTACTTCTATTACATAGTAAAGTGAATACCAGAACTACAAAGACAGGAGGTATAAGTGAATTTTTATTGGGAAGGGAGGTTGTCAACTTAAACAGCAGCAAATAAAGAGTGAATAAGGAAACTCCCTGTTGCCACAGATATACATGACCTCCTTATGTGATAAAGGAGGCATTTCAATTTGTGAACCATAGCCAGAGATGGCAAGTGCGTTTTCATTCAGTCTAATACTTCTGGATTCCTACTAAAAAGGAATACATTAAGAGCATGGAAAAATTGCTTATTGAAAGGAAACCCTCGAAGAGTAAGGGAGGGAATGTAGAAATTAAGTTATGTAGAACACTCTTTAAATTGTAATTAACTACATTTTTATATCTTCACAGTAATACAAAACACAGTCACTTGCAGAACTGTTTCAGATTACTTAAATACCAGATACATTTTTAGTCCTCTACATAAGTGTGTGGAAGTTACTTACGTTTATATGAAATGAAGCTATTAATATTTTTCTACAGCAGTAACTGCACACCAGGAAGGCCAAGACAAACACAAATCAGGGAATGAAGTTTTCCCAAAGCTGCAGTGTGAAAAGACTAAAAACAGTTGACTCCAAACACATGAATCGGTTTCTTTGCTATAGGAAATCCAAGTGGAATAAGGAATGGAGATGTGTAAAAAGGTTTCTTGAAGGAAAGAAGGAGGACACCCTGTATGTATTTAGTTTTCAGCCCCTTCTACTGCCTCACATTCTTCTCCTGCACTGTCTGATGTCCAAAGTGTTAGGTTGTCTCTAAGCAATTGCATGATGAGGGTTCTTGTCGGAGGTGTCAGTCTTCTGCTCAATGTTCAAGATGAGCCTCCAGGCGGACCTGCAGCCCCCGACCACATTCTAATAAGGAGCAGGTTGCGCTCCTTATTAGACAGCTCGGCGACCTACTTGGTCACAGCCTTCATGCAGGTGGCCATGTCATCGTAGTGCTCTGCCTGCTTGGCCAGCTTGGCCTTCAGGATCAGCTCCCTCTTCTCCTTGACGGGTGCAGGGCAGAGGGCAAAGAGAGCAAGGGCAAGCGCCGACCCGGAGCAGGAGGAGTCCTTCAGAGCTTCACATCTCCGTGGCCACAACTAGAGTCCCACCACTTTGATCTGCCTTTTAGATAAGTATTTTTTAAGAAGCCACATCTCCCTGAATTCATCTCGATTTTAACACAATCCCACTCCAAATCCCAGCCAGTTTTTAAAATAAAAATGGACAAGTTGATTCCAGAATTTACATGGATGGAAAAATAAAGGTCTTAACCATAGCCAAAGCAATGTTGAAAGGTAAAACAAAGTTGAGAGCTAATTTAAAGACTTACTGTAAAGCTGCAGTAATCAAGATTGTAGGTTTAGGATAAGAGAGAAAGAGATCAATGGACAGAGCAGAAAGAAACACACACATAAATATGGCCAATTCCGTTTTAACAAAGCTGTCAAGGCAATTCAGTAGGGAAAGAAAAGGCTTTTTAACATATGGTGCAGGAACGACCCTGATAAACATGGAGGGGAAATGAACTTTACCCCACCTCACACAACACAAAATTTAATTTAAGATGATGGGGCCGGGCACAGTGGCTCACACCTGTACCCTAGCACTTTGAGAGGCTGCGGCAGACAGATTGCCTGATCTCAAGAGTTCAAGACCAGCCTGGGCAATATGGTGAAACCCCGTTTGTATTAAAAATACAAAAATTAGCTGTGCATGGTGGCCCACGGCTGTAATCCCAGCTACTCAGGAAGCTGAGGTCCGAGAATCACTTGAATGCTTGAACTCGGGAGGCAGAAGTTGCTGTGAGCCGAGATGGCATCACTGCGCTCCAGCCTGGGCAACAGAGAGAGACTGTCTCCACTGTCTCCAAAAAAAAAGAAAAAAAAAAGATGATAGAATCATAGACCTCAAAGAAAATGTGGAAAAATATCTTCGAAACCATGATATGCTAGGATTTCTTGAAGAGAACATTAAAAGCACTGAACATTTTTCTTAAATGAATTGGACTTCATTGAAAAGAAAGATGTATTTTCTCCATTATTCATTGTGATTCCTTTTTCTTTTTTTAATATGATGACCATAAAATGTATTACTTGGTGGTTGAAATTTTTCAAGAGCTTGTTGGGGTTTGTTGAATTTTTTGAACCATAAGATAATGTTTTTCACCAAATTTGGGACTTTTTTGACTTATTTCTTCAAATTTCTCCCCTTTTTCTTCTAGGGATCCTCCAATTTATGCTGATAAATTGTCTCATGGATCTCACTGAGACTCAGTTCATTTTTCTTTTATTCTCTTTGGTCTCCAAATCAGATCATTTTTACTTAAGTTCACTGATTTAGCTCATGTGAATTTTTCATTCATCTGTTGTACTTTTCAGCTCCAGAATTTCCATTTAGTTCTCTTTGTACTTTAGATTTTTCTGTTGAGAGCCTATATATGTTCAGTTGCTATTAGTATATTTTTATTGAATTATTTCAGCATATTTAGAGTAACTGCTTTGAAGTCTTAGGCTGCTAAATTCAGTATCTGGACCCATTCAGAATCAGTTTTAGTTGGCTGCCTTCTTTCCCAAGTTATGTGTCACACTTTCCTGTTTTTTTATATGTCTTACTTTCTTATTAAAAGCTAGACATTTTTAAGATCAGCAGTCCCCAACCTTTTTGTCACCAAGGACCAGTTTCATGGAAGACAATTTTTCCACGGACTGGTGGGGGGTCATGTATTTGGGATGAAATTGTTTTACCTCAGATCATCAGGCATTAGATTCTCATAAGGAGTGCACAACCTAGATCTGTTGCATGCTCGTTTCACAATAGGATTTGCACTCTTGTGATCTCATGCCACCCTTATCTGACAGGAGGCAGAACTCAGGTAGTAATGCTTGCTTGCCCACCCACTGCTGCTCCTGCTGGGTGGCCCAGTTCCTAACAGGCCACTGACCAGTACCAGTCTATGGTCCAGATTTTGGGGACCCCTCTTTTAGATAGTACACTGTAGTGTGTCTGCATTTGGTTTGTTCTGAATGCTTGCCTAGACTAAAACTGCAGTCTCTCTCTCTTACTTACAGTGTATCTCTCTGTTCAGATGTTTCCCTCTAACCCTAGCTAGCTCCCTAGGGGGCCTCACCTGAACTTGATTAGTTTAGTGGTCAACAAATGAATTGAGCAGGCAGCTCAAATACCTCAAAGGCTTCCACCCTCTGTCATCTGAGCTGTGTGTGGATTAGAGAATACATTCAGAGTCACAGCAAATTGACGTCTCCCCAGGCTTTCAGTTTTTGCCAGACTCTGGGATATTCCACATACATGCCTACGTTAGCAGTCAGGCAGGGATCTGGCAAGTTTATTATCAGGCTTTCATAGCCCTCTTGCTTCCAGATTTCATCCTTAAATGGAATCTGTAACCTCCAGCCAGTAAAACTTGTATTTTCATTGCCTAACTTGGGGATAATGGAAACACCCCCAGGTAGGAAGACCATAAATCCACAGTTCTTACCCTATGCGGTTTTTCATGAGTAAACTTATCACCGTTGGTTGTTTTCCCGTGCCCTGAAGTTGTTTTTAACAATTTGCCCAGTTTTATACACCCATCTTTCTTAACACTATTATCAAAAATACAGTCATGGTAACATTGTTTTAGCTGTGTCCCTTGGGGCCAATATGTAGTTGGACATTCATTTTTATTGTGGTGGTAATTGTATTTTTTTAAATTTAGGCCAGGCACAGTGGTTCAGGCCCGTAATCCCACTACTTTAGGAGGCCAAGGCGGGTGGATCACCTGAGGTCAGGAGTTCGAGACCAGCCTGGCCAACATGGTGAAACTCCATCTCTACTGAAAATACAAAAATTAGCCAAGTGTGGTAGTGGGCGCCTGTAATCCCAGCTACTCAGGAGGCTGAGGCAGGAGAATCGTTTGATCCCAGGAGGTGGAGATTGCAGTGAGCCGAGATCATGCCATTGTACTCCAGCCTGGGTGATGAGAGCAAAACTCTGTCTCAAAAAAAAATAAAAAATAAAATTTAGATATAATTCACATACCATAAAATTCACCCTTTTAAGGTATACAGTTGATTGGTTTTCAAGATATTCATAGTGTTGCGCAATTGCCACTAATTCCAAAGCATTTTCACCACCCAAAAAGAAACCCTATACCCATTAACAGTCACTCCCCATTCCTCCCTTCTCCCAGCCTCTGACAACCACTAATATACTTTCTGTCTCTATAGATTTGCCCATTCTAGACATTTCATGTACATGGAATCATATGTAGCCTTTTGTGACTAACATCTTTCACTCAGCATAATGTTTTGGAGGTTCATTCATGTTGTAGCATGAATCAGTACTTTATTTTCATGGCTGAATCATATTCTCTTTTACAGATAATACCACATTTTGTTTATTCATTCACCAGTTGATGGACATTTAGGTTGTTTTTGGTTTTTGGCTATTATGAACAATGCAGTTGTGAACATTCATTTACAAGTTTTTGTGTGGATGTGTCTTCAGCTCTCATGGTATATACGTAGGAGTGTAATCAGTGAGTTAATAGGGTATTTCTGTTTAATTAGGAGGTAATGACAACTTTAAAACCTGATTTCAGCCATTTAGTAGGAAATTTAATGCACTCACATTTATTGTGATTACCATTACTACTACTTTGTTTTGTGTTTTCTATTTACTAGTCTTTTCTGTTTCTTGGGTTTATTTTTCCCTTCCTTTTTATTGGAATAGTTGAGCATATATGGGTGTTTGCACTCTATCTTTCTGTCTCTATCTAGTGAGGAAACTTGACTATCCTATTTTTACTTTTTAAATTGTTAACAAATTAAAACTTAAATGTTTATATTAATGTCTACAGTTGATCCAAGTCTCCATTCAAGCTGGGAAAGAACATTATCATGCTTTCAATTATTCTTTTCCTAGCATCTCCCTAAAGAAGTCATCTGGAATTTTAATACTTGTTTCTCTTGTTTCTTTTACCTTTTTACATTATGTTTTAATGATTTTGCATCCTTGCCTATCAATTTTACTGATTTCTTTGGCCCAACACTATTTTTTGTATAACACATCTTTTTCCTGGATTCATTATTATTTTGTGGGAGTACTTAAGGAATTCTTTCAGATAGGCTTTATGGCTGATAAGTTTTCTGAGTCCTTACATATACAAAAATGTCTTTTACCTGGGGTGTGGGGAGGGGGGAGGGATGGCATTAGGAAATATACCTAATGTAAATGACGAGTTAATGGGTGCAGCACACCAACATGGCACATGTATACATATGTAACAAACCTGCACATTGTGCACATGTACCCTAGAACTTAAAGTATAACAAAAATATACATATATTAAATAAATAAATAAATAAATTGAACAGGAATAAAAAAAAATGTCTTTTCCCCTTACTCTTGAATGATAGTTCAATGGAGTAAACATACTCCATTGTTTACTAGCTTCCATTGCTGCTGATGAGGATTTTGATGTCACTCTGATTCTCAGTCTTTTGACTCTTCTATCTAAAAACTCTTAGGACTCTCTGTAGCCTTCAAGTTCTAATGTTTTTCTGCCTAGTATTTAGGAGGTTTTCTTTTTTCTTCCATCCTGCTTAGTACTTGGTGGATAACTTTCTATTTGAAGATTTCTGACTTTATCTTGGGGACATTTTTATGTGTAATTTTCTCCTGAATACTCTTATTTGTCAGATATTAAAACTTCTAAATCCATCCACGATGGTACTTAACTATTCTATTTTTGCTTCTTTTTCTTCTTGTACTGTATTTTTGGAAAGACCTCAGTAAAATCTTTCATTTTCACTAACTCACATTGCAGTTCACTCCAGTTAACACTGTTAACTGTGAAATTAACCCTAATGATATCATGACAGTATATGTGCCTGGGAGCAATGCCCTTTCTCCACATATGCTGTGTTACAATTTGTCCAGAAATGAATAAATATAGCAATTTTCAGGGTATGTGCATTCTTTGTGTATTCAACAAATCTAAAGATAGAAACTCCTTGAAAAATTTTAAAATTCTCTGACTATAATGCCCCCTGTAAATTAGTACCCAAAGACATAGGTCTCTTCCCCCCCAATTTCTTAAACTCCTGATTTCCTCAGATGTTATCCTCCTTTGTTGCACATATGTCTCTTCTTCAGAGTGATGAGTTTCCTTAACTGGTGATTTTTTTTTTTTTTGGTGTTTTACTCATCTTTGTGTTTTGCAGTCCATTTACCTACTTGAGTGTTGAGTAGCTTACTGCCAATGATTATGAGGGAGGGACAGGACAAGCTGCTGAGGGGCAGGAGTGCTGTTGCTTGTCTTCTGGTGTGGGTATTCTCTCCTTCCCTTCTGAGAGTTAGCAGCTACCTGTGACATTGCACTGCTCTGCAGCCCAGTATGCATCCTTGCTGCTTTAGCCTGTGAATATATGCCTCTGTTGACTGCTGCTTAGCACAAACCTGGGAATGGGGAGGGCCTGATTGACCCAGCTGTTCCACATGCAACTCACCGATTAATCATCCTGATGTATGTCTGAGTGCCCCCAACCTTCAGCTGTCTGTGTCCACTGGCTCTGGCTTGAAACTCTTCCTTAACCACTCCTACTTTTGCAGATGTCTTATTGTACATCTGGCTTAGACTATGGCTTCCTTCAGTTACTGCCTCCCTGCCCCACCATTCAATTCCCCACCCCCATAAATATAATCTCGTCTGATTCTAGGAGATTGCTGATAGTCTTTCCTTATTATCTCATGCATTTATGATTTATATTTGTTAACTGTAAATGTCATTTCCTCAGAAAGTTTTTTCCTAGCCACCCAATTTAAAGTAATTTCTCACTTTCTATCACATCACCTCAGTTTATTTTCATTGTAGCATTCATCTCTATTTAATATTTATGGTCTTTTGTCTTTCCAGACCTAAATGCATACTCCTTTAGGAGCCTTATATGATCTATTTACAGCTATATCATAAGTGGTTAGAACAGTGCCTGATATATAATAGACATTCAGTATATGATAGTTGAATTAAGTGACTTTATCTTTTTTAAAAACATTATATGTCACATTTGCTTGAATTACATAAATTTTAGATTTTATACCAGAAACCAGGCTTATCAAATATTCCATCTTAACATCTCTGTCAAGACAAAAAAAAAAGAAACATACCTTTATTAACCAAATAGTTTTCTTTGCCCAAAACTATGCAATTAATTGGTTAAATAATATAAAATGCAAAGTTTCTTAACCTCCAGCACTTCAATCTATATGTCATTCAAGCAAAGCTTGGGGGTGAAATAAAAGCAAAGCTTTGATTTTTCTAAGAACAATATTACAAAATGACCAGAAGTTAGAATTATGTTTGCTTATAGTTTCTATGACTATGTGAGATATAATTTATTCTCAGGTAAATCGTTAAGTTGAAATGCATCATATTCTTATGCCATGTTATTATGGAGCTCCTTTAGCAAATTCAAATTTCCTTAATGGAATTTCCAAAGTCTTAGGTTAAGGATTCATTCTACCAGATAAGATTTTTACTTTTTTTCCCTACATCTCTTAAATTTTGTAGCTTTTGATCAGGTGGCTGATCAACCCATATGGGACAATAATGAACAGTTTTTCAGTTTAGAAATATTATTTTGAGGGTTAATCCCTTCATTAAATTTAGGTTAGAAAAATATAAAAATGCACATAGGTAGTCATAGTCACTGCTTACATAGTAACTCCTCCATGAAAGAAAAGTCCTTGTCTAGGCAAGTTTTGAGTTGGCCTCTTTTGCTGAGTCTATTTTTTCAGTCCCCATATATAAAATTTTGTAACTTTCTTACGTTCTACACAGAGATCAAATTTAGTCCCAGATTTTTCCTTGAAAATGTTTTAATATTATATGGCAAAGAAAAGCAGTGGTCACTTTAGAAGACAATCAAAATTCATCTGTTCCATGAAACAAATATTTATATATATGCCATTTGTAAGTCTTCTGTAGGTTATTTACACTCCTACCATCAAGAGGATGAGCTTAAACCCTACAGAATTAACCTCTCATCTTTATAATTCTGATGGAAATTACTTTAATTTTGTTTTACTTTTTTTATTATTTAGGCAAAGATGCAATCTACACAATCCCAGTAAAAAACATTCTTGCTGTGGAAAAACTGGAAGAGAGCTCTTTCAACAAGAAAAATGTAAGTTATGTAAATAAATATTTAAAGCTTTCTGAACTGCATATATTACTTAAGTATTTGTATTTCGAGGTATTTGTTAATACCTTGTATTTGTATCACCTATTACTTAGATATTTGTATTCAAATTTTCAAGAAGTTGTTTATTGGATTGTTTACTATTAATCATTAATAGTTCATAAATAGCTAGCTGAAACTCTGTCTTAAAATTGTCCTTTATTGTTGATGCCTCATATAGCTTGCCTAGTTTGTTAAGTTAAAAATACTTTTCTCAAGATTTCCCTGTTATACTGCTGTACATGATATTCAAGTTTCTAAGTAATACAGTCCCAAGCTATCTGTCCAGCTTTGTCTTCTGCTCCCATTCAGTGCATACCATACACTTAAGCCAACCAGGATGATTTCCTTGTTCCTAAATATTTTTCTACTGCTTTTTCTTTATACTTTTTCTTCCATTAACAATTCCCTCCCTTTATTCTTATCTATATGATAGTCCATTCCTTTGGATATGTGTGGCTTCTAAAACTTACATTCTTTTGTACTGCTTAGTACCATGTGACTCAGATTATGCTTGGGACTAACTTGCTTGAAACATAATAATTTCTAAGACATCTTAGCACCAGTTATCTAGCCAAGCAACTAGATTCCTTTAGGTACTTTTCTTCTGTTTTGTACTGTGTGTTGGTTTTTGGACTCTTGTCACTAACTTTTTATCTTAATTGCCTATGAAGATGTTCCAAGTAATACATACGGAGAAACCACTCTATGTCCAGGCAAATAACTGTGTAGAAGCTAATGAATGGATAGACGTACTCTGCAGGGTGAGCCGATGCAATCAAAACAGGCTCAGTTTTTATCATCCCTCTGTGTATCTGAACGGAAATTGGCTCTGCTGTCAGGAGACTGGTGAAAACACTCTCGGCTGCAAGCCATGTACTGCGTAAGTTTCTTTCTGATTATAAAAGCAGTGTGTCAAAATTTGATATATCCATGCAATGTTAATATTATTTGTCCATGAAAAGGAATGACATACTGATCCATGCAACAACAAGGATGGGACCTTGAAAAATTATGCTAAGTGAAAGAAGTCAATCATAAAGGCCACGTATTATCTGATAACATTGATATAAAGTGTCTAGAATAGGTAAATTCATAGAAACACAAAGTAGATTAGTGGTTACAAGGGATAAGAAGGGAGGAATGGGGAGTGCTATTGGATGCAGAGATTCTTTTAGGAGTGAAGAAAATGTTCCAAAATTAATAGTGGTTGCACAAGTTAAAAAATTTTAAGGCAATGTTTAAATAGAAGCATGAGCTTGAACCAAGATATCAAGAAAGAAGGATCCTTAGCATTCTCTTTCTAATTGTATGGAACAACCATTGTATTTCTATAGACTTAAGTAATAATATATTGTTTTGTGATGAAGCATAGGTTGTGGAAATGATTTTACTTTAAAATTTCCCTCCTTCTGATTAGAGTCACATAACAACCAAAACTCTCCTTGGCCCCACTTTATTTTAACTGTCAAATGAAACTAAATTTCCAGACTTCCTTCTGCAAAAGTCTGTGGTTCTATTTTTAGTCTCAAACCATCAGAAGTCCTTGGCATGTTAACAAAATAAAATTTGTATAATATCTTTATTTTTTTATTTTTACCATAGAGGTGTCCCTGCAGACATCCAAATAGATATTGATGAAGACAGAGAAACAGAAAGAATTTATTCCCTTTTTACCCTCAGTTTACTTAAGCTGCAGAAGATGGAAGGTAAATACACAATCTATTTTTATATAACCATAATCTTTCATTACCAATTCCTAAAGTATTGCTTTAGCATTATACAAAAGTTGAAAATACTCATAGATTTACCAAAATGTTATTTATTGAAAGTTGACAAACCCACAGAGAGGCATTTTTCATTGACATTCATGAAGTAAAAATACTGTTTTTGCATGAATGTGATGATCCTAATAAATAAAATGTATATATTTTAGTTATCTCGGCTCTGCCAAGGGAAATCCCCTCAGCATAAGACACTTGAAAAATTCTTATTTGTACTACATATTGCATTTATAGAATTTAGTTGTCTGATCAGAGATTTATTTTCCTGCTCTTTGTAGAGGCTTGTGGAACTATTGCAGTCTATCAAGGACCACAGAAAGAGCCTGATGATTATTCTAACTTTGTAATCGAGGATTCTGTAACAACCTTTAAGACAATTCAGCAAATAAAAAGCATAATTGAGAAGCTGGATGAACCTCATGAAAAATATAGGAAGAAAAGATCCAGTAGTGCAAAATATGGGAGCAAGTGAGTAATTTTTAAGCTATTGTAAACATATTTTTAAACGGAGTTTGAGATTGCCTCTCCTGCCCCAACCTCACACCTCCTGCTCACCCACATCTGTCAACATCCCGCTCAGGGCCATTCTCTGGTGCAAGTTTCCCTGGCCACTCCAAGTGCTCTTTGTGTTGTTCAGTTTAGCCATCATTTCACTGTGTTGGTGCTATACTTTATCGACTTTTTAATTTCATATATATGTATATGAAATTATATATGATATATGTATATAAATATATATTTTATATATATTTATATTTATATATTATATATTTATATTTATATATTATATATTTATATTTATATATTATATATTTATATTTATATATTATATATTTATATTTATATATTATATATTTATATTTATATATTATATATATAAATATATATATATATATATTTAGTTTTTGTAGAGACAGGTTCTTGCCCTGTCACACAGGCTGGAGTGCAGTGGTGTGATCATAATTCACTGTAACCTCCAACTCCTGGGCTCAAGCGATCCTCCCATCTCAGCATCTTGAGTAGCTAGGACTACAAGTGTACACCACTGTGCCCAGCTATTTGTTTTATTTTTTGTAAAAACAGGGTCTCGCTATGTTGCCCAGGCTGGTTTTGAATTCCTGACCTCCAGCGATCCTCCTGCCTCGTCTCTCAAAGTGCTGAGGTTACAGATATGAGCCAACACCACCAGGCTGTAACCAGTTTTAATGTTACATTCAGTTGTAATTCATTTCTTGAATACTTAGTAGCTCTTCGTTTTGTTTTTGTTTTTACTGATCCTCCTTCTACAGTACATAATAAGAATTCACAAAACTCACCCCCAAAAAAATTAAGCTGTAAAAGTGCTAGAATTATTTTATAGTTGATTTTTTGGACCACTTCAGGTGTAGATGGATACTGCAATGGATAACAACAGCAACAACTCGCATTTATTGGGAACTTACTCCAGCAAGGGGCACTGTGCTTATAGTACTTTACAGCTTATGTAGATTGCTTTTAGAAGCAAGTTAATGAAGTCCCAATTGAGGTGGCTTAAACAATAAAACTATTTACTCTTGCAAATTAAGTAGTTAACTTCTACAGTTGGTTAATTCAGCAGCTCAGCACTGTCATCAAGGAACACCTGCCACTCAGCCAACCTCAACAAGGTGATTTCTCTCCTCCTCAAGCTTGTTCCCCCATGGTCACAGATGAGCTGCAATAATTCAGAGCCCCACATTTTTATATGATAGCATCCAGAGGCAGAAAAGGCTGTTTTCTCCGTACTAGGAGAAAGGAACCTTCTCTAGAGTTACCCCCAGCTTTCCCTGAAACACATGGCTACCCAGTGGTAGAGCAGAATCAGGGTCTGTTACAAAGAAGTGGATAGGGCGGGGATGGGTCTTGGGCCAGCAAGGAACAGTGTTTGCCACAGTGAACACTCATTGATCCTCAAATCAGCCCAACTTGGTTTTATCCTCATTTTACAGCTAGAGAAACGGAGGCTTAGGGAAGCTAAGTGCCTTGCCCAAGGTCACACAGCTGACAAGTCACACTGCTGACTAGGGCTCTGAATCCTGGCCCTACCACTTTAAATGTTCTTTGAAAAATATGTGAATTAATAATTATATTTTTTATTCATGTACAATAAAAATCAATTTGACAAGTATAAATATTTATATGTTCTTCCTAGATAGATGCCTCAATTAGAAAGGTTATTAGAAGCATCCTAATCCTGTCTTTTCTGTATTAATGTAATTGGTTCTCTTCCAACAGTAGTAATCCAGTTTCCTTGGAGCCCTGGGAAGTTTCCATATGAGATCCCAGACATTCTTTCTTAAATAGTACCTCTCCACTCATACCCATACACACCATACCACTTCCCAGCTTTATTTTTCTCTATTAAAAAATATCAACCTCTACCATACTAAATATCTTATTAATTTTATTTACCCTATACCAGAGTGTAAGTTCCATGATGGCAAGGGTTTTCTTGGTCTGTTTTGTTTACTACTTTATCTTTAAGTTCTACACTAGGGTCTAAGATTGAATAGGTGGTCAGTAAGTACTCATTGAATTAATGAAACAACATTTGGCATGAGAGATTATCCAGGGAAAATTCTAAATACTTAATGGATTATATATTTGTCACCCTTTAAATTTTTGTATTTCTTAAATTTTGAAAAATGACTTTTTTTCTTCTCTAGGGAAAATCCAATTGTTGGGAAAGCATCTTAGAGTTTAACAGATTGGTTCAGAAGAACTGGAAAATATTATTTTTCTTGGAGCTTTTCAATTCATCATGTATTTTGTTCATGGTATTTAAGAATGAGCATCCGCTTCAATGTCATCTGCCTCCACATTGTATTTAATATTTAATAATTGAAATTAATTGTTTGGGAATCCTGGTATTGATGTATTACTAGAGAATTTAAAGCCCAAGATTCCCTTCATACCTGTGTGACCAAATCCATGTTTCTGCAACTTCTTTTTAATCGAAAGAATCTTCCTAGAAAAGCTTTGTAACAAAGGGAGAACTCCTCCGTAGCAAGAAACCATCTCTTCTTGTAACACTCTGTTCTGTGGACTTGTTTTCACTACCATCAGTGCCTGCTCTATACTGCCAACATTGTGTTTTACTAGAAAATTCCAATTCATGACAGTTCAGAGCTTTTCATTTAGTTCATGTAGACCCTCCCACTTTAAAAAAGAAAAAAAATAAGAAGTGTTTTTCCTTTGGTCCATCAGTCATTACAGGTTCCATTCAAGACAGTGATAGAAACTTTAGAAAACTGCCAGAGCATACTTGAAAGTTGGTAGATCCTTTTGCCTAAAGATGTAAACAAAACTCAAGACAGAAGGAATCAGGGAATATGTGCTATTGTGTGCATCTTGTTTACATTTGGGATCAGTGATGGCAAAAGAAGTAATGAGACCACTGAAATTGTTTTCATTGTTTTAAATACCAGGTACTCATTTTCTTGATTTGAAAGTTTAACATGACTTCTAAGGACATCTCTTCAAAAAGAAAGTAAACAGGGAATGAAGGTGGTGGGAAAATCACTTCACTTCACCCACTATTTCATGTTGTAATAAGGGCCACCATAAGGATGCCCTCCTCATAGTGTTCGGTTCTGATCTTCCTCGAGAACAGTCACTTGGCGCACTTTAATAATCTGGACTGCTCCAGATTTGACTTTAGATACTCCATGGTATCTAGTCTTTATGATCAGTTGAATGATCAGTGTTTAAGTCTAAAAATAATGCTTTCCTGAAAATGTTTATATTTCATTGCTGTTTCCTTATTGCCTGCTAGCCAAATGGAATTTGGGCAAGCAACTCTTTGAAGACTTTTTTACCCTAGAAATTTACTTTTGTCCTAAAAACCCTAACTGTAAATAAGCAGTCGAAGCAAGTTGCCACCTTGAAGTTGAGGGATACACTTTGCTTCATCAGTATTAAAAACCATGGTACTCTTATTTTGTCTTTTTTAATTCAAAACATTTTCTAAATGTGGTACTTTGAACCTTGGAGTATTTACATGTTTCTGTTCAAAACTGTGACTTATTAATGTAAGTCTGCTAGTAGTACTTTTTTTGTCTGAGCATAAGCTATATTTCAAGATATACTTTGCCAATTTTGTTATTGGTGGGTAATCATTTTTAAATTATATTGTTATTAGGTAATTATTTTTAAAGACTACTGGCATACAATCAAAGTTGTTCCATAAAAGAATATAACTGAGCAATGTATTTCTCTAAATGACTTGTAAAAATCAATGAATTATGTTTAAGTCTGCATTATGGTAGGTTATTACTCCCAGCTCATTTTAAAGACAAGTTTGAAAGAGTCCTTTAAATTTTATAAGCTTGTAGATTCCATAAACTACACTGATTTATACATTTGAAAGAATTTAGCCATTTAATAAATTTCTTATTCTCAAATTGCATTTAGATTAAAATTCCTTTTAAGAGTGTCTGAAATGTCTGCCTGCGAAGAACATGTAAACATTGCCAGATACCAGTCATTATTCTTTAGTGGCTTTTTAGTCCTCTGCTTTTTTTTTTAAGGCAAAAGAAATATGCATCTAGCATTTCTAATACCAAATCCCCAATTGTGATTGTTTTAAAGATCATGGTATGATCACAGGGACCAAGGCTGTGTGCATATATAACTCTGGATTTGAAAGGAGGAGAGTTCAGCCATCTAGTTCTTTTCTTCACATGACACTTTTAAACAGCCAGTTTGACTGGAATTAACCAACTTGGCACAGCCTAAAAAAGGAGTAATGTGAAATTAAATTATTTTTCTTTGAAAGTCTTTTGAAATAAGAGACCATGTAAGTAGGACCCTAAGACAACCAAGGAATTTGCTTCCAGGGCCCTCATTCCTCTGCTGTTACTTACAAATGTTTTAATTTTTACTACCTGATATTCTTTCTCTACCTTTTCCACATTTGAAAATATACAAGGCAGCTCACTTCATCCTAAAAACCTAAAAACTCCAGGAAGGAAAGAAAAGGATGATATGGGGAAATTTGCCATAAATGCCGGTTCTGGTTCTTAGTTTAGCCATTTCCATCAGTTGAAATTGTGGTGTGATCTGTTGCTTGTTTCGTTGTTGTTTTGTTTTTGTGTAGCTTTGTTTTTTAATATTCATTTAATAAGATGATGGGCAATAGCAAACATTTTTACTCCCAGGAATATAATTTATCAAATTGAACTATTTTATTTGCCAAAGAAACTTGTTTTTAATATCACGGGTAATGGGTAAGTGTGAAAACTAGGCTTTTTTTTATGAAACAAAAAAAGGTGACGAATAATATGGCTTTTGTTTCTGTTTCTGAAGCCTGATTTCATTTATGCCAGGTTTTGAAAAACAGATCTTTTTCTTAAGTGAAAGCACCTTTAATTTGCTCTAACGGTACATCCTGTAAAGACAGAATTCTGCATAGCCTTTTAGGTGTTTTTACAGTATGTGAAAAATACAAGACTCATTCTAGAGTTAAATTACCAATCTTGGTTGATATTATCTGCTTCCATTTTTATTAATTTGGAAATTAATATGTTGCTAGTAAATATTGGTTTTTACAGTACCCAGTTTGAAAATGTAAGTTATCAAAACTTAATGTAGTGAATTTGTGTAACCATGTTGTATTGTTGAGAATGTATTTTTATTTAAATTTTATTTTCTTATCAAGAGTATTATAAAAATTAACTTTTGTAACTGTCGCTTGGAAATAACTCAAATAAATTACAAGAAGCCTGTCTGTTCTTTGTGAGACTGTATTTTCTTACTGATTTAGTAATTTCTTCTTAAAATTATTATACCTTTCCTATTAGTAAGGGAACTGTGGAAGTGAGAAGTCTCCAGTAAGAATGATGCAATCTGAAAAGTGTTCAGTTTTCTTGCACTTAACTAGGCTGATTTTTGATGGGTGTGTTCTTTTTTTTTTTTTTTTTTTTTTTTTTTTTTTTTTTTTTTTTTTGAGACGAAGTCTTGCTCTCCCCAGGCTGGAGTGCAGTGGCACAATCTCGGCTCACTGCAACCTCTGCTTCCTGGGTTCAAGCGATTCTCCTGCCTTAGCCTCCCGAATAGCTGGAACTTCAGGTGCGCACCACCACGCCCAGCTAGTTTTTGTATTTTTAGCAGAGATGGGGTTTCACCGTATTGGCCAGGATGGTCTCTATCTCTTGACCTTGTGATCTGCCCACTTCGGCCTCCCAAAGTGCTGGGATTACAGGCGTGAGCCACTGCGCCCAGCCTCTAATGGGCTGTGTTCTTACATGTTCATTCATTCAACAGACTTGTTTTGAGGACCCATGGTGTTCAAAACACCTTGCAGGCTCCTGTCATTCCCTAGAGCCATGTACAACTGTCATGGAGGAATATAATTCACTTGTGTCTAGATAAAGTTTAAAGCTGAGTTTTCCAGACTATGTTTGACTTTTTAAAGAAGAGTAGAAAGAAGAATTCTTTCAGAGCCTATGGTTACTCAGGCCCTGCACTGACCCGTGCAGATTAACCTACCCCATAGCTTGACCTTCAGTGCATCATCCTTCAGGATGTTAGAATTTGCCTGTGTTCTGCCATTTTGGTGAGATGCCTGGAGAATATAAAGTGACAGCACCAGAGACCAGGTTAGTGGGTATAACTTGTGCCCTCAACAAGAGAAGCCAGGATCCTCCCTGATTCGTGCCTGAACCCTTTTATAATAGCATCCCTGAAAAACCCTTCTATAAAACAAAGTCCCTGGGCTCCGGAGGAATTAAAGGTTAACAAAGTGCAAAGGATAGGGTTCTGAATCTCTATATTTATTGAAACATTAGAATTCCTGTCATACTAGCCCATGTATAGAATAGAACTTGTGAAAAGCATCAGATTTAGGGTTCTAGTCTACGATAGAAGTAAACTAGGCATTTAAGGGAGAGGGGACCATACTCCTATTTCAAATTGTATGATTCCAAAATGAGAGACACCTAGGGCCAGAGTCCCTTTATTACACAAGAATAAGAAACAAGACATACTTTGCCACTCCTGGTATATGTTTTTCTACTCCAGTGGCAAGTACTGAACTCCTCTGGAAACGTTTCAGAGAATAACCTGTCGTGGGTGCTGACCATATTTAAAGATCTTTGGTCTTAATTCTTCATACATACCTTCACCTGAGGTTTGCTCTTTTGTGGCCAAGAAGTTCATTCTTTGGCTTACCATTTTGCCATTTGACTTCACAGTTTGGGGACACCATTTGCCATCATATTTTGAGCTTATGCCTATTTTTTATATTGACAGCAGAGGTGTGACTTGTTTAATTAAAGTACTATTAAGATTTCATCGCTTTTCTGCCTTGTATTTCAAACCTTTTTGTTTTGTACTATTAGGCAAAGGCTTTGTGCTTTTTATTGATCTGCTTTTTGAGATGGAGTTCAGTCTTAGATACATAAATTTTACTCATCAAGAAAGAATTCTGTTGTCTAGAGCAGATAACATTGTTTTCCAAACTTAACATTTTTTTTCTCAACTCCATCCAGAACCAAGAAGACCACACTGCCTGCAGAGTTAAAGGAGCAACCATTATTTTAATGGTTCCCTGTGCACAATGAGGTAAATGATCCCTAGACAGACACCTCAGAATCTGCATCAGAATGTAGTTTTTTTGTTTTTGTTTTTGTTATTTGAGGTGGAGTCTCGCTCTGTCGCCCAGGCTGGAGTGCAGTGGTGGGATCTTGGCTCACGGCAACCTCCACCTCCCAGGTTCAAGCAATTCTCCTGCCTCAGCCTCCCGGATAGCTGAGATTACAGGTGCCCAACACCACGCCCGGCTAATTTTTGTATTTTTAGTAGAGACAGCGTTTCACCATGTTGGCCAGCTGGTCTCAAACTCCTGACCTCAGGTGATCCGCCCACTTCGGCCTCCCAAAGTGCTGGGATTAGAGGTGTGAGCCACCTTGCCCAGCCAGAATGTAGTTTGAAAGACATTATCAATATTATTTTACGTTTGGAAATGCAGAATGTCACCTAATTTTATAATACAAACTACCAAAAACAAAGGTCAACAAAATCATCACTGAGAGAGAGTCATAGATGAGGCCATAATTCTCACCTGGAGACCTTTGGGGCCTGAGGTTTTGGTGTTAATGTGGGACATTTGCTTTTAAAGCTTGGAAAACACAGGAATATAGGCTAAAGTAAATTCCAAATCTTGACCTAAAGTCTTAGTAATAAACTGCCATCAAAATTATGTGTCAGGAGTAAGAATACAGCAAAAATCACTGGTCCCTTACAGCTTGAACTCTGGGAAATTGAAGAAAAGTAAAATATGTCAGATGGTGGTATGGAGCAAAGTAATGTGCAGGAAAGAGACAGGGAGTGCTGAATAGGATGAGGGGTCAAGGAAGGAGATATTTTTCAACAAAGACCTGAAGAAGGTGGGGAAGGAAGTGATGTGGATAGGAAGCGAAGTGATGTGATATGAGGGGAAGATCCTCATAGGAAGAAGAAATAAAATTACACGGTATACTCAAGAACAGCAAGGGGATTGGTGTGGCTGAAGCAGGATGAGTGAGAGGGAATGGGAGACAGGAGACCTGGGTGATGGAGAGGTCAAGTGGCTCAATGACGTGATTCACTTACCTTTTTTGGATTGCTCTGACTGCTATGTTGAGAAACATCTCAAGGAGGCCATAGGAGGAAGAGGGGACAGGTAGGCCAGTACACTCATCAGGTGAGGGGTGATAGTGATAGCGAGTGCCATGGGTGATTGGAGTGGTCAGGTTCTGGTTATGTTTGATGGTAGAGCCAACAGGATTTACTGACAGGCAGAATGTGGAAGGAGTCTGGGAAGATCCAGTAGCCTAAGCAACTGGAAGAAAAGGGGTCATTCACTGAGATGGGAAAGACTATAGGAGGAGCAGGATTTTATGTGTTTTATCTATGTCCATGTTAATGACTCCTGGAAGCCAGGTCCACTTAAATCACTTAGTAGCAGCACGTATTTTATCTAGTTTTAGACATTTATCATAACTTCCTCACCAGATTGTAAATGACTCCAAGGATAGGGAAGGGCTTTTATTATACCCTACAACCCTTGCTCTTAGTTGCAAAAAGGCGCAATAAACATTCCATGAAGGAATAACTTACTGTGGCTAATGATGGAACAGCAATGTCTTGGCTGACAGTGATGACTCAACTAGAAACTACATTTATGATCTTGGTTAAATAACCTCTTTGGGTTTGTGTGTCTTTACACATGTAAGATTTTAAAGATTATATTGTCTAGAAAAAGCATCGGGCCCCTGCTACGCACTACACACCCTGCTAAACCCAGGGGCCCTAAGATGCTGCCCTCAAGCTGCTCTGGGTCAAGCTAGGGACTGGACCAGAGGGACCTGAGGATTTTTCACAAGTTCAATGCCCAGACAACCCCTAGGGCCCCTCCCACCCCCCAATTATTTGTGTAGATCATTCAATAATTCCTCCAGTGGACTCTTCCTGAGAGGATCTTCCCAGCCTTCCCCAAAAACTCCATGACAATGGACCAATTTAGTAGCATCTTTGACCCTATAGAATGTATTGTCATGCTTCCCCCAGAAGAGTCCTGGTCATTCCTGAGATTTTTGGCTTAACCGATGAAAGAGCCTGATGTGGGAAATGAACCCAGCACCCATTCCGCCAACGTGTATGGACAAAAAGCAGCCTTGACCGGGTGCGGTGGCTCACGCCTGTAATCCCAGCGCTTTGGGAAGCTGAGGCAGGCGGATCACTTGAGGTCAGGAGTTCGAGACCAGCCTGGTCAACATGGTGAAACCCCATCTGTACCAAAAAGTACAAAAATTAGCTGGGCATGGTGGCGCACACCTGTAATCCCAGCTACTCCGTAGGCTGAGGTGGGAGGACTGCTTGAATCCAGGAGGCAGAGGCTACAGTGAGCCAAGATTTTACCCCTGCACTCTAGCCTGGGTTGGACAGAGTAAGACCTTGTCTCCAAAAAAAAAGAAGAAAAAAGCAGCCTTATGACTCAAATAAGGAGTGGACTGACAGTTGCATTCTGTTGGCACAGAACACATCTTGGATGATAATGGCCCTTCCAGTGTGCGGCATAGATCCAGATATTCTCTCCTCTGGCTGGGCAGCCACTCGTCTACCCCTCCCACTGTTTACAGGGAACATGGAAAAAATTAAAACGTGTGGCCAGTAAGAGTGTAACCATCATTTGGAGACTCAGTTGGATTTTTCTGTGTGGTGGTTTGAAAGAAAACAAAACAAAAATGCTACATTTCAAAAACATTTGCAGCAAAAAATAAAGTAAATCATTATCTCAAGCTAATTTTTATAAGTAAATGCTCTATTTACTTGTATCTTGGAAAGTTTCAAAACATTTTATTTTATTTAAATGCTTAAGGGAATGTAGAGATTTGCTCAGTTATGAGATAGAAATGCTTAAATCTAATCACTCTATTTGAAACATTTTATCCACATATTGAGAAATATGTGAAAACTTTTACCAACAGACCACTAAAACATAGTAGGGAAGCAAATCATATCACCTGCGTACCCTAAATTCCTAAAGTCTATATAGCAGTCAGCGAAAGTGCCGACATTCAGTTAACCTTTGTTTTTCAGCCACCCTAACAACAGCGAGGGGTGGCGGGGAGGGGGATGGAGTTCACGTTTCCAGTCATAGTTCAAGAGGTGTTTTCTCAAACCAGACCCAGGCTTCCTACAATTTCCTGCAATTCCAATACAACCAGCCCCACAGGGCTGGGGGTGGGAGGAAGAGCTTGTCCTTTGGCCTCCTTTTCACTGGAACCCTTCACTTGTCATCTTAAGAAGACAAAATGGCCTGGAGGTGGGGGCTGTGGGGGCTCCTCAGGCACCAACAGCCATTTACAGAGCCTGGGAAGGCCCGGCCTGCACCAGCCTCAGACCCCACAACCCTCCTCAGGGCTTCCAGGGCCACCCTTAGGGCCACATAGGTGGGCTTAGAGGATCAGTGCTATCGTGCCCTCTGCTGAACTAGTGCACATAATAAATTCTAAATAAATGTTATTATTACTACGAGGCCTGAGACAGACACCCAATCTCATAAGAGGTGCCCAAAACATTTAGGTAGCCCTCCTTCAAACCCTTGATGCTCACTCAACCTGTGGGGGTTTTGACTGGGGGTCACACTTTGAGAGCCATTGGCTGCTCCATCTCTTCATGAGACTGGCTCTGCCTGTGACAAAGCAACACCTGGACCACCTTAGAACAGTGATTCTCAACCAGGGATGGTTTTTGCCCCCAGGGGACATTTGGCAGTATCTCAAAAAAAAATTTTTTTTTAAATTTTTGAGACAGTCTCGCTCTGTCGCCCAGGCTGGAGTGCAGTGGTGCAATCTTGGCTCACTGCAACTTCTGCCTGTGAGGTTCCAGTGATTCTCATGCCTCAGCTTCCCAAGTAGCTGCAACTACAGGCATGCCCCACCATGCCCGGCTAATTTTTGTGTGTATTTTTAGTAGGGGTTGAGGGGGTTCACTATGTTGGCCAGGCTGGTCTCGACCTCCTGACCTCACGTGATCCTCTCATCTTGGCCTCCCAAAGTGCTGGGATTACAGGCATGAGCCACCATGCCCAGCCTCAAAAAATTTTTGTTGGTCACAACTAGGAAATTGCTGTTGATATCTAGTGGGTAGAGGCCAGAGATGCTGCTAAGCATCCTACAAGGTACACAACAGACCCCAACCACAAAGAAGTGTCAGGTCCGAAATGTCACTAGTGCCTAGTGTATCCAACAGTTAAGAGCACACAGGCCTAAGGGACAGACCTGGTGCCACTGGCCAACTAAGCAGCCTTGGCCTTGTTCCCTAAGCTCTGCAAACCCCAGTCTCCAAGCATCAAATGGGAATGATAATGATATCTGACCTCAGAGTTGGTGTGTGGAACATAAACAGAGTCACACAGCTCAGGTCCTTGAGCACACAAGCAGGTGCTCAGTGAGTGTCAGGCTTTATTTTTGGGTAATCCAAAGCTGTCTGCAAGGGGAACTCCACTTTGCTCTGTCTGAGCTACAGAGACCTTGTTTTCACAGATCAGGGCATCATGACCCCAGGTTCTCCATTTGGCTGTGCCCCTGACTTCTCCTCTCTATTACCTTTGCTCAGTGCTAGGGATACTCATGCAAGCGTGCAGGTGGAAGCCTACCAGGGGCGAGAAGTACACAGAGAAATCTCCACCCTGCTGAAGAAAGCAGCAGCATTACCACGCAAGAGCTCCAGAGAAACCTCTTTTCTCAGAACTGCTGGCTCAGCGGAGCAAAGGTGACTTTGTGGGACTCTGTGTGGGTTGAACCAACCCTAACTAGGATATTAGGAGCCATGCTGGTCCCCTAGTAGGAGGCTCCAGGCCTAACAGTGGGGCCTCAGGAGGAGTGGCCTCCACACCACACCTGAGAGGAGGGAGGTGGGGAAGCTGCTGGGCCTAGGGGATGGACAGCTAAAGGGCTCCCTGAAGAGGAGAGATCAGAGCCCCGCCCGAGGCCCTGGTGGCCAGAAGGGCACAGAATGGGAGGCACGCCGTGATGATGACCCCAGGCCAGAAGGAGATTTCTTTTCTTTCTTTATTTTTATTTTTATTTTTATTTTTTGAGATGGAGCTTTGCTCTGTCACCCAGGCTGGAGTGCAGTGGCACCATCTCAGCTCACTGCAAACTTCTACATCCCAGGTTCAAGCGATTCTCCTGCCTCAGCCTCCTGAGTAGCTGGGACTACAGGCATGCACCACAATGCCAGGCTAATTTTTGTATTTTTAATAGAGACAGGGTGTCACTGATACACACAGGAGACAGGGAAATACTGGATAGAAGAGGGCAGTTCCCTGGCAAAGGCCCACCCTCAAGCCTGGAAACCTGCGGCCCTAAATGAGGACAGGCATTCCTGTTTTCGCCCCCAAAAGTTGCCTTTTGACCTGCCATGCTCCCCTATCCTGTACCCGTATAAACCCCAAACCCCAGGCTCCACAAGCAGATGAGATGAACAGAAGAGCAGAATGGCAGAATGGCCTGGCGGAGAGAAGAGGAGTGTGTGAACACGGAGAAGAGTTCGGCTGGGGACAGTTGGAGAGGAGATTGGCCACTGAATGGCCAAACTCGAGGGGAAGATCATCTTCCCACTCCATCCCCCTTTCAGCTCCCCATCCATGCCACTGAAAGCCACCTCCACCACTCAACAAAACCCCTGCATTCACCATCCTTCAAGTCCACATGCAACCTGATGCTTCCTGGATGCTGGACAAGGACCTGGGTACCAAGAGGGCACTGAAGTTGGTTAAAACTTGAGCCGTCCATGGACGGCAAGGCTAAAAGAGGGCACTGTAACATGCACCCACTTGGGCTTTGGGGGTCGCAGACACCCACCCCTGGGCGCTGCCCTGGGGCTGGAGCCCAGGGGTATTCGCCCCAGCTCCTGCACCTGCCCATCTGCTCCCCCTCCCATAAGGGGTTTGAATGCATATGGCAGCCAAACAGACGAGCCACACTCCTGTTGCACGTCCTGCGTGGAGGGGTCAGGGGACTCTCCCGTTTTCATCACCATGTTGCCCAGGCTGGTGTCAAACTACTGAACTCAAGCAATCCACCCACCTCAGCCTCCCAAAGCGCTGGGATTACAGGCGTGAGCCACCACCCTTGGCCTCCAGGAGGAAATTTTTACTGTGTCGAACCAAAAACTGCCTCCTGCAGGCCCTGTCCTTCCCCCAGCCCTCTGTCCCTCCACCCTGCCTCTTGAAGGCAGCCCCACCCAGTTCTGGAACCGTCCTGGGGGCAGAAAGGACTTCAGAAGCTCCCACCGCAGCAGCATGTGGGTTCCGCCTGGGCTAGGGTTAACAGATTTAGGAAATAAAACACAGGACACCCAGTTAAGTTTGAATTTCAGAGAAACAACAAATAATTTATTAGTCTAAGTATGTTCCATGCAGTACTTATGTATTGTATCTGGCAGCTGTCCTCTCTCCACACACACAGGACACAGTCCCTCGGGAAAAGGAGCCCCTGGGGAGAGGCGCTCTGCCCTTGGCCCGCCTGTGGCTGCTGGTTCTGAGGGGTGGAAGGTGCCTGTTGGGGGTGCGCCCCTGAGCTCTAAGCAGGATGCAGTCAGCTTATGAGGGACCATCTTCAAGTCTCCAGAAAGTCCTAAGTTCAAGGAAAGGATAAAACTCCAAGCAGGCCCAGGGTAGCCCCAACCTCCCTGTCCCATGGACCCCTCCTTCCTCCCTCCAGCAGGGCCTCCCCGCCCAGCCTCAGTAAGGACTTGGCCCCAAGAGGCCTCTCTCAGGTGACTCACTGGGCACCCGGCCTTTGCTCCATCGGTGGAATCGCACTGGTGCGGATGTGTCTCAGAGCCTGGAAGCTGGAGTCAGGGCCCTAGGCTCCTTTCCTTGCTGTCATGTCCCCTTAGACAAGTCCCTTGCTCACCCAGTCTCCACTCCTTTTGCTGGAAATTGGAGACTAAGGCCTCTGCCTCCCTCAGGAAGTGTGTAGTTGGTGGTAAAGGAGGACACCTGTGTTCGGGGCAGTCATTATTCTTTGGGGCCCTAAATCTAAGTCCATGCAAGGGTTCACCTCTACGGCCATCTGCTCTTTCCCATTTGAAAACGTAATAGCGTGAAGAGTAGCTTCGGGACAGGCTCCAGGGACCCTTTAAACTCTTCTCATAGAAAAGATGCGGCCAGGCGTGGTGGCTCATGCCTGTTATCCTAGCACTTTGGGAGGCCGAGGATGGTGGATCACCTGAGGTCAGGAGTTCGAGACCAGTCTGGCCAACATGGTGAAACCCTGTCTCTACTAAAAATACAAAAAAGTAGCTGGGTGCAGTGGCATGTGCCTATAATCCCAGCTGCTCTGGAGGCTGAGGCAGGAGAATCGCTTGAACCTGGGAGGTGGAGGTTGCAGTGAGCCAAGATTGTGCCACTGCACTCCAACCTGGGCTACAGAGGGAGACTTGGTCTCAATGAAAGAAAAAAGAAAAGAGAGGAGAGGGGAGAGGAGGGGAGGGGAGGGGAGGGAAGGGGAGAGGAGGGGGGCTCTACCCTGTATAGAAGGATTAGTCACACCTCATAGTAGAAAGGCCCCCTCCATTCCTTGCAGTTCAAAAACCCTCATTTTGAATCTTTTCACATTCCAATAATCATATTTGCAGAGCATCTTTGACTCTTTTTCAAATTCCCACATCATCTAAACTTTCATGGCCTTGGGGAGAGAACCTAGTCCACCCTTCTAGCCCCACCCGGCTCTGCCTCAGTGCACAATTCTGCCAGTATACAGCCCACCCACAGTCCAGATCACCAGGTGCAGGCAAGGTTCAGGTGCCAGACACTGGGGTCAAAGTGGACCAGAGTTCTAGAAGCAGGGATGCGAGCTAACGCAGAGGGCATTCATATGCATTTCATGAGCACTCTCTTACATAATCCTCACAACGGTCCTGACACCGAGGGAGATTCTGCTGCCCAGAGAGGGTAAGTGGCCATCCCAACAAGGAAGGTATGGCCCAGAGCAGTCCAACTCATCAGGCCAACGGGTGGAAGCCTGAGTGCAAGGCTTAGAAAACTTGAAGGCAGGCTAGCACATGCTCAGTGCCTCTGTGGGAGGCTCAGCTACCACTGAGGAGCAAGGGCAGAGGCACAGGATGCAATGGGGCCGCTGACCAGCCTCCGAATGCAGGGGCCCAGAAGGGAACCTGGAGGACCAGGAATGGGGGAAGCTGGATGAGGAAACAGGAAGCATCATGGCAGGCACCTGTGATGTCTAACCTGCAGCCCACCTCAAAGATGCCACATCTGACGCCAGACAGCCCAGGAGTGCGCCCCTCTCGGGTCTGAATGGGCCCAGCAGGAGGTGTGGAGGACAGCCACGTGAGACAGCAGGGGCCCAGCCAGAGCCCAGGGGGACAGGTGTATCACCGGCCCTGGAGCCCTGAAGTTCATCCCTCACATGCCCTGGTGAAATGCTTCCCAGCACCAGACCTAAGCTGGGCCCAGACACAGGGCACTGTGCCAGGATGGGCCCTGAGTCACCCCTGCCCTCCCAAGCTCAGAAGCCACCTCCACCCTCATTTCCCCACACTCTGCTCTGCTCCTTCCTCAGTGTAGACTCCTGACGAGCCCACTGTCCCTGCACCTCCAGGCCCAGGCCTCAGGCTTACTGGACACTTGTTTCTAACTCTCGTTCACTGACAGAGTTTTCTGCCCAGTCCTGCGGATCTGCCCACCCGGGACAGGCAAGGGGCCAAGGTCAGGCCTCAGACTCCCTCCTCTCTGTGGCTCAGTCCCAAAAACTGACTGGGCTCAGATACTTAAAACTTTAAGGACTTTCTCCCAATATTGTGGATGCTCTGTCCCAAGTTCAGACAGCCACAGAGAATCCAGGATAATCCTCTCCCAGCACAGTCATCCCAGGGAGTGACCACATCTGAGTACCTTCCAGGAAATTGTCAGGTACCAGGCAGATTCTTGACCCTTGAAACAACCCCTTCACCCAGAGCCTGGGAATCAGCCAGAGGGTCCTTTCTCACTCGCCCTCCTTAAACCCCCTATTGCAGTTCAATCCCTGGGAGATGGAGTGTTTCTTCTCAGGCTTCTGCAAATCGGTTTCCCATCTGAGAGTTAACATTTTAGGGAGCTTTGGAAAGAAAGAGAAACATTAGACCAGTGGCTCACCAAGTGTGGTCCCCAAGACTAGCAGCATCAGCATTACCTGGGCACCTGCTAGAAATGCATCTTTCCAGCCAGGCGCAGTGGCTCACACCTGTAATCTCAGCACTTTGGGAGGCTAAGGCAGGTGGATCACAAGGTCAAGAGATCGAGACTATCCTGGCCAACATGGTGAAACCTTGTCTCTACTAAAAATACAAAAAAAAATTAGCTAGGTGTGGTGGCACACGCCTGCAGTCCTAGCTATTCAGGAGGCTGAGGCAGGAGAATCACTTGAACCTGGGAGGCAGAGGTTGCAGTGAGCCGAGATCGCGCCACTGTGCTCCAACCTGGGTGACAGAGCCAGACTCTGTCAAAAAAAAAAAAAAAAAATAGAAATGCATCTTTGCAGGCCCCAGCACAGATGAGTCAGCCACTGCGGGGTGAGCCTGAGCCATCTGTTTCACAGGCCTTCCAGGTGATTCTGACGGTGACTCAAGTTGGAGAACCCCTGCTTTTAGCACCCTCCAAGCTGATCTGGAAAGGTGATCAGGTGCTGTAGACCTCCCTGACACCTGCTGCCAAAGGGAAATCGGCCGCCTGCCTCTGGAGGGCACAGGCAATTCCTGGAAGCACCGGGTCATCCTGCAAGCCTCCTCTGACTTACTGTAGGTGTTAACACTGAGGGGGAGCCCCGAGCTGAATCCAAGTGGCATGGAGCCACCCAAGATAAAAAATTAAAGTTCTCAAAATATTATTGTTGGGAGTACTTGGGAAGGCTCTAGTGTGGTGCCTTTTACACAAATATTGTGAATCACAATAACTGTGTTTATCTTCTTTTTCCTTCAGCAAATAAGGAAACATCTGTGGGGGTGCTGATATTTATTTATTTTTGAATGAGCATCATAATAGTGGAAATATTTTGTATGTGATTATAGAACCCTGGGGCTAAAGCACTGCCCCTGAGGAGGAGCGACGAGTTAATTGGTAAATAATGTAGACATTCTCTTCTAATTAAGAAGACTTAAACGATAAATCCTTGTTTTTTAGGTGACATCGCTTGGGGCATCTCTATAAAATGCAAGGTCAGCCCAGTGGGGAACGAAGGTAGTCCTAGCAGAGTGTGCCTGGCCCAACAATCTCAAATTATACTGCCTTTTCTGGACCTCAGTTTTCCCTTGTTTCTCTGCCTCCTGGAGGAGCTGAGAAACCAGGTGTAGCTCTCTGAACTCAAGCCTCTGATCTTGTCTGGAGCCAGCTCCTTAGGAAGAATCCATCAGTGCAGATCCCCACTGTGGCCGCCATAAACCTCCTGCCTAAGAATCACATTGACCTACATGATTCATGCACTCAGTGCAAGCGAAAAGAAGGTGCTCTGTGTCCTGGGGTGACAGGGCAGAAAAGAAGGACAGCCTCTTAAACACCCACTTAAAGAGAGCTTGATCCTGAGGCTGGATGTGTGCTCCGACTCTGCAACATAAAGAAATGCATAACAGGCCAGGCCCAGTGGCTCACGCCTGTAATCCTGCACTTTGAGAGGTTGAGGCGGGCGGATCATGAGATCAGGAGTTCAAGACCAGCTTGGCCAACATGGTGAAACCCTGTCTCTACTAAAAGTAAAAAAATTAGCCAGGTGTGGTGGCGCACGCCTGTAATCCCAGCTACTCGGGAGCCTGAGGCAGAATCGTTGGAACCCGGGAGGCAGAGGTTGCAGTGAGCCGAGATTGCGCCACCGCACTCCAGCCTGGGCAACAGAGCAAGACTCCATCTCAAAAAAAAAAAAAAAAAAAGAAAAGAAAAGAAAAGAAATGCATAACAGGTACATGTAACAGGAGGGGTGAATCTCAGCACCATTATTCAGAGTAAAATAATTAATAATTGCTGGACAAGAAAGTGTACTTGCTGTGTGACTTATTTATATAAAATTCTAGAAAGTGAAGACTAATCTATAGTGACCAATAGCAGTGATTGTCTTGGGGGAGGGATTACAAGGGGTCCAAGAAATCTGGGAAGTGAAGGAGATGCTCACTGTCTTAATTGTGATGATGGTTTTGATGGGATTCAGGACTACCAAAATATGGCACTGTAACTGAGGGGTGAAGCCAGCTGGACTTCCTGGGTCGAGTGGGGACTTGGAGAACTTTTCTGTCTAGCTAAAGGATTGTAAACACAGCAATCAGCGCTCTGGGTCTAGCTAAAGATTTGCAAATGCACCAATCAGCACTCTATAAAAACACACCAATCAGCACTCTGTGTCTAGCTAACAGCTTGTAAACGCACCAATCAGCACTCTGTAAAAACGGGCCAATCAACACTCTGCCAAATAGACCGATCAGCACTCTGTAAAATGGACCAATCAGCAGGATGTGGGCGGGGCCAAATAAGGGACTAAAAGCTGGCCACCCAACTCAGCAGCAGCAGCTAGTTGGGGTTCACTTCCATGCTGTGCAAGCTTTGTTCTTTTGCTCTTCACAGAAAATCTTGCTGCTGCTCACTCTTTGGGTCCGTACTACCTTTATGAGCTATTAACACTCACTGCGAAGGTCTGCAGCTTCACTCCTGAAGTCAGCAAGATCACAAACCCACTGGGAGGAAGAAACTCCGGACACATCTGAACATCTGAAGGAACAAACTCTGGACACACCATCTTTAAGAACTGTAACACTCACCGCGAGGGTCTGTGGCTTCATTCTTGAAGTCAGTGAGACCAAGAACCCACCAGAAGGAATAAATTCCAGACACATAACCACCCAACAGGTTCCCCCTGCCCATTGCCTAGACAGTGCCAATTTATCAAGACAGAGGAATTGCAATAGAGAAAGAGTAATTCACGCAGAGCCAGCTGTGCAGGAGACCAGAGTTTTATTATTACTGAAATCAGTCTCCCC
Source organism: Homo sapiens (assembly GCF_000001405.40). Classification (NCBI taxonomy): domain Eukaryota; kingdom Metazoa; phylum Chordata; class Mammalia; order Primates; family Hominidae; genus Homo; species Homo sapiens. The sequence continues at coordinate 141,629,126 of NC_000003.12, forward strand.
AAGCATTTGGGGATAGGAGTTTTAAGGATAAGTTGGTGGGCTGTGGGCAGCCAGTGACTCAGGAGTGCTGATTGGTTGGATGCGAGAGGAAGTCGTAGGGAGTCTAAGCTGTCTTCTTGTGCTGAGTCAGTTCCTGGGTGGGGGCCAAGAGATTGGATGAGCCAGTTTATCGATCTGGATGGCACCAGCTGATCCATCAAGTGCAGAGACTGCAAAATATTTTAAACAGTGATCTTAGGTTTTACAATAGCGATGTTATCTCCAGGTGCAATTTGGGAAGGGTCAAAATCTTGTAGCCTCCAGCTACATGACTCCTAAACCATAATTTCTAATCTTTGGGCTAGTTCGTTAGTCCTACAAAAGCAGTCTAGTCCCCAGACAAGAAGGGGGTTTGCCTTGGGAAAGGCCTGTTACCATCTTTGTTTTAAACTATAAACTAAGTTCCTCTCGAAGTTAGTTCAGCCTACACCCAGGAATGAACAAGGACAGGTTGAAGGTTAGAAGCAAGTTGGAGTTGGTTAGGTCAGGTCTCTTTCACTGTCTCAGTTACAATTTTGCAATGGCGGTTTCAGTACATTGGCATATTGAATTATGTTAAGCTGAAAGAATTTCAGAAAATAGTCCCATTTCCTTTTCTCCACCCGTCTCTCCTGAAGCAAGTCATTGTAAGGTCAGCTGAGAGAAAGGAAGAATAGACCCAAAGTCAGGCGAGTAAGTTTATTGAACCTGCCGGCTGCTCCATCACACTCAGAGGAAGCAGCCCTGAGCTTACAAAGTGAGGAGTTTATATTGAGGAGGGGTGTTTGAAGGAGTTCTTTGGTATGGCCACATTCCGGGGTTGTTTGCTGTTTAATTTTGTCACATATCACTTTGTGACGTTTATGGTAGCAACTAGATGAACAGCAGGAATTTACAGGTGTAGGTAAAGTTTGTTTATGCTTCCCACGACCTCCCCCGTGCGGTCCGGGTGGTTTGTAATTGGGGTTTGCTTATCGCAGCAAGCCCTGATAGGTGAAGTCTGCTGGCTTCACCCTGGCGCCTGGTGCCTAGATAAGGGCTTAGAAATGTAAAGGGGCTCAGGGGGAAGGGTGGACGGCACAGACAAGAGTTGCAGAGCATTAGGTGGAGGGGTGGGCAGCATGGAGAGGTTTGGGGGAAGTGTCAGCAGTACCAAGAAGCTGTTGGGGAAGTTTGTCCTTAACAGTCATAAAACCTAGGAGGGATTTTCTGACCTTCCACCAAAGCCGGTCACAAGACACTCACTTGAGAGGTGCCCTTCCTATACTTGGAGGAAAGGAACATCCTTATCTCTGAAATCATGGGGTCACAGAGAAGAATCTGAGCAAACAGGCCTTGCTAAATCCCTCCCAGTTCATCACCAGTAGATCACACCTTTGTTCAATTATATTCCTCCATGACTGTTCACTCTTCATCAAAGTTAGCGTAAAAATATGCAAGTTTAACTGTTTCTTCTGGTCATTTCCTTATGAAGACTCTTGTGTCATGTAAAACTTACATAAAATAAATTGAAGTCCAGGCGTGGTGGCTCATGCCTGTAATTCCAGCACTTTGGGAGGCCAAGGCAGGTGGATCACCTGAGGTCAGGAGTTCGAGACCAGCCTAGCCAACATGGTGAAACTCCCGTCTCTACTAAAAATACAAAAATTAGCCAGGCGTGGTGGTACACACTTGTAATCCCAGCTACTCGGGAGGCTGAGGCAGGAGAATCGCTTGAACCCAGAAGGTGGTGGTTGCAGTGAGCTGAGATCGCACCACTGCACTCCAGCCTGGGCAACAAGAGCGAAACTCCACCTCAATAAAATAAATAAAGAAATAAATTGATATGCTTTTTTTTCTAGTCTGCCTTTTATTATGGGGCCTCCGCCATGAACCTAAAATGGGTAAACAAAAAATACTTTTCCTCCCCTACATTTCTATGAGTGGTCTATATGTCAAAACTTATCCAATTGTACACTTAAATATGAACAGTCTATTATATGTCAACAGTGCCTTAAAGCTTAAAAAATAAACAATTCTGTTTATTTGAGAAACTGTTCACATATGTGCTAGAGTTCCTCTTCTTCCTGACTGAGTTTGAATCATACAGATTTTTGTGGTGAGCTGTTATCATCAAAAGAGACATAAAAGATATTCCGGGGTGAATGGTGCAGGTGTTTGTATAAGAGGTAGGGAATGAATGTATCTTCTCTGTATCAACGTTAATATTGGTAATCAACAATTTGAGCATTTGTTATCTGCCAGGCTGAGCATTTTACAAACATCATATTATTTAACGCTCACACAACCTTTTGAGTAGATATTATTGGATCCATTTCCCAGAGGAGGAACCTTAGTCTCAGGGACGCTAAGTAATTTCCTAAGGGGCAGCAGGCAGACCCAGGACTTGAACCAGGTTCACAGATCTGCATTCTAAGATGTTAAACTGTGGCCATTTCTGGATGGCATGATTACAAGTGAAATTTTTAAAATATTTTTTATTTTTATGTATTGCTAAAACTTTCTACAATGAACATGTACTTTTCTTTTTTTTTTTTTTGAGTTGGAGTTTCGCTCGTTTCCCAGGCTGGAGTGCAATGGCGCGATCTTGGCTCACTGCGACCTCTGCCTCCAGGGTTCAAGCGATTTTCCTGTCTCAGCCTCCCAAGTAGCTGGGATTACAGGCGCATGCCACCATGCCCGGCTAATTTTTGTATTTTTAGTAGAGACGGGGTTTCATCATATTGGTCAGGCTGCTCTTGAACTCCTGACCTCAGGTGATCTGCCTGCCTTGGCCTCTTAAAGTGCTGGGATTACAGGTGTGAGCCACAGCGCCAGGCCTAACATGTACTATTATTAACCGAAGTGTTTTTAAGCCTTTAAGTTATTATAACTACTTTGTAACATACTTTAAAAATTCTTCTCCAGTAAAGATAATCCATACTGCTTACTGAGCCTAGTAGATGCCACAAGCTTAGTTTGTCATTTTAATCTACAAAGTAAAAAATGGGAAGCTGAGGCTCTGAGTAGGTGAGTTGTATTCCCAAAATGACAAGTGTGGGAGGCAGGATTTCAACTCAGAGCACTCTGGCCCTGGAATTACTTATTCTTAGCATGACACCAGATACCACCACATCTGACCAAATGCTCTACAGCCATTTTAACGTCTCTGAAGTCCCTGTCCAATGTTGGTCAGGTGTGCACACGTTTAGCATAGCTGAAGTCACTGCGTCTATCTGTCATGGTTCTATTTTTCCCCACTTCAGATGGTTTGAGAAATATTTTCCACATTACTTTTGAACTTTTTCCACTTCTCATTGGTTCTTTAGAGGACCATGCAATACTTCATGCTGTTGATGTACTATAATCACTGCTTGGCCGTTCTTAAAGAGTGGTTTGCAATGAGCTTTTCAAGGAGCCAAAAAACTACCTAGTAACTTACATTCCTCTTCAAAAGGAACGGAGAGAGAAGGGGCAAAATATACCTTTATGATTAGAAGCAGGTCAGTCACATTCCAAAACATGACAGGGAAAGGCTCAGAGAAATTAACTTTTTCATCCTCAAGAAGGAAGATTTAGGGAAAAGCTCAAAATATTTCTCCATATTGATGCTTGCGGACCATCAGTCCAAGTATTTCTACTCTTCCATAAAATAGCACATTTTCTTTCACTCACTATGAAACAGATTATCCACCCAACCTCTTCCTTGAGGACTACATGGATTCATTATCTCACCACATGCCAACCCTGGAGCTTCCTCTGACAGTGGGTCAACTTGGACTGACACTTGGAAGCCACAAACTAACACACCAGTGGCCACACAGCTATGAAATCCAGCTAATCTATCTGCCTCCTGCCTGCCTTCTGGGCTGTCAGCTGCTTACTCAATGAAGACACCTGTCACCCACCTCATCTTAGCCATGCCTGTCACCTCATTTGGCCTCCCTGGCATGCAGGCAGTGCTCCAGCATGGCCTTATTCCTTCCATGATGTCTGCGTCTCCATCACCTCCAGACTCGGCTGAAGCACTTGCCTCAGAAACTAAGATCTGCTTCCGCAGTGGCTGCGCTGAGAGCCAGGTGGCACAATCTAGAAGTGCAGGTGCAAGGGGCTTGAAATTGACCAATAAGAGATAGGAGGCAGGAGGGAGCTGGCAGATAAATTCTTTTCTCTTCCTCTTGACTCTGCTGAGGTACAGTGGTTGCATTTAGCTTGGCCATAAACACAGCTCTGACTGTGATCAGCCCAGGAATGCACCACTTTGCATTTGCTTTTTCTCTTTCTGAGCCTTTTCCCTCACATTGGTTGCCCTGGGCTTGTAGTTCCAACTTGTTTTTAGGGAATACAAGGTATGACACCCATCAGGTCCATTGTTTGATATAGTAATTTCCCCAGTGATTCACAAACTTTTACACAGGCTCAAAAGCATGACTCTATGCATAAGAAACAAGTATTTTATGAAATACCCAGGAATGGTGGATCTATCTATTGCTTTTTTTTAGTTTTCCTAAAAGGTATCATATCATTCACTTCATAGGAAAAAACAACAACAAACATATGGCAAATGTTAATATTCGATGACAACCACTATAGCAAAAATTACTTTTTAATATTAATTTAGTGCATTCATTACAATGTCTAAAAAATTTAAATTGATTTAGGACACATTTTGGGAGTAGCTGGTGTATGTCAAGGCTTTTTACCAATTACTCATAGTATAAATATCCTATCTCTAATATATAATGAACTTCTAGAAGTCAATATAAAAACCAAAATAGAAAAAAAGTAAAGAAAAATAAGCAAAGAATATACACAGTAGGTTTATAGAGAGGAAAATATGGCTTCCTCACACATGGGGAAATGTTGAATTTCACATGTAATTTTTAAAATACAAATTAAAACTACAAAATATCATTTTTTACCTATTAGTTTTGCAAAAATAAAAAGTCTTACACAGTGTGAGCTAGGGTGTGAAGGAATAGTTACTTTTAGGTATTATGTTAGAAATATTTGCCTCCATGATGAGATCTTGCCACATTAAAAAATAAAAGAAATATTTGCTTACAGAGGGCAATTTAGCAAAATATCGACCAAATTATAAATGTACACCTCTACTGACTATGCTGTTCCATTCAGACATTTATCCTGTGGATATCCAGATAGGTGTGTGCAAAAAATCATCTGCATAAAGTTATTCTCTGCAGCCTTGTTTGAAATGGCAGAAGATTGTAAACATTCTAAACATCCAGTAGGACTAATTAAAGAAATGTTGTTACATCTATACAGGAGTATAAAAGAATGAGAAAGACTTTTATGTACTAATAAGAAACTAACTCTGAGATTTAATGTTAAGTTAAAAAAAAAAAACCAGAAAAGTGAAGAACAGAAGGTTGAGTGTGCTATCACTTGTGTAATCCTGTGTGTATTCTTTATGCATAGAACATCTTTAGAAGGATATTGGATATTTTTAAAATTAACATTGGTTGGAGGTAACTGGGGGATGACAGAAGTGCTTACTTTACATTGTATACCTTTTTGTGCCTTTGAATTTTGAAATATGTGATTATATTACCCATTCTTCAAAAAAAATAAGAGTTTTTAAAAGACAAAAGAAGAAAACAGAAACTTCCCACATAGAGCAATATGGCAGACTGGATGGATATCCTAAAACCCTCTAACAATAAAACACCTAAAATTTTTTTTAAATAGTTTGATTTCTTTCTTTGTTTATTCTTTTTTTGAGATGGGGTCAGGCTGGAGTACATTGGTGCAATCTCGGCTCACTGCAACCTCTGCCTCCCAGGTTCAAGTGATTCTCCTGCCTCAGCCTACCGAGTAGCTGGAATTACAGGCACGCACCACCACGCCTGGCTAATTTGTGTATTTTTAGTAGAGACGAGGTTTCACCATGTTGGTCAGGCTGCTCTCGGACTACTGACCTCAGGCTATCTGCTAGCCTCAGCCTCCCAAAGTGCTGGGATTACAGGCGTATTCCACCGTGCCCAGCCCTTAAAAAATAGTTTTCAATGCATGGCTAAACTGACATGAAATTAAGAGAAATCCTCAGAAGCCGAAACCAAAGAGAAAATACAAAACTAGAAAAGATAAAGCTAAAGCCATTGACTGCCCTAGGGCATCAGGAAGTCCCTGGAGATGAACAGCTTCTGTTTTCAAGGCCCAAGAAGGTGGCTGCAAAATAACACCTAAGGAGCGAGTTGGCACATAGTGTCTCAAATAAAGCTGGGGCCTTAAAGACAACACCCTTAGTGAAGGAGTAATCTAGGGAAAACATCCACTCCACAAAGGGGATAGCAAGAAAACTTGCCAACCATGGCCTTGACTTTGGGTAGTAGGAACGAAAAGGCCCCTCTGAGAAGTCTGAACTCTCCAACTCATTTTATAAAGTTAATATGACCTTGATACCAAAATAGACAAAAGGCAACAGAGAAAGAGCTAATCTTGCTCATGAACATACATGCAAAATCTTTTTTTTTTTTTTTTTTTTGAGACGGAGTCTCGCTCTGTCGCCCAGGCTGGAGTGCAGTGGCGCGATCTCGGCTCACTGCAAGCTCTGCCTCCCAGGTTCAAGCGATTCTCCTGCCTCAGCCTCCTGAGTAGCTGAGATTACAAGTGCCTGCCACCATGCCCAGCTAATTTTTGTATTTTTGGTAGAGACAGGGTCTCACCATGTTGGCCAGGCTGGTCTTGAACTCCTGACCTCAGGTGATCCACCCGCCTCGGCCTCCCAAAGTGCTGGGATTACAGGCGTGAGCCACCACACCCGGCCCAAAATCTTAAATAGAATATCTGCAAACCAAACCTAGCATTAAATACAAAATGTAATACAACATGACAAAGTTGGGTCTATCTCTGACCAAGGTTTAATATTAGAAAACCTATTAATGTAACTGACCACATGAACAGATTAAAAAAGAAAAATAATATCTCAATAGAGACAGAAAAAGCATTGAATAATGATTAAACAAACCTGTAAAAACACTGAGAACTAGATAAAGGATAGTTTTGAAATACTATGGCAAATGTCATACTTAATAGTGAAACAACTGGGTGCGATGGCTCCCATCTGTAATGCACACCTGTAATCTCAGTACTTTGGGAGACTGAGACAGAAGGATCACTTGAGCCCGGGAGTTCAAGATCAGCCTGGGCAACATAGGGAGACCTCATTTCTACAAAAAATTTAAAAGTTAGCTGGGTGTGGTGGCACACACCTGTGGTCCCTACTCAAGAGGCTGAGGTAGGAGGATAGCTTGAGCCTGGAGGTTAAGGCTCCAGTGAGCCAGGTTCATACTATTGCACTCCAGCCTGGGCAACAGAGCGAGAGTCTGTCTCCAGAAGAAAAAAAAAAAAAAAAGAAAGTGAAATATTAAAAACTGAAAGCTTAAAATATGAAACAATATAAATGTCTGCTTTCATAACTCATCATTGTACTAGAGGTCCTAGCTGGTATAAGAAAAGCATAAGAAATAAAAGATGTAAAGATTAGAACAGAAGAAATAATTAAATCAGTTGATAGTTGTAAAAGTTGCAGATACCAAAACGAAACCAGTTTTTGACAAACCCAAACAAATGAGAGGTGGGCAAACACTAACAGGCAGAGCTCATGCTTGCATGTCTGAGATAAAGACTGTCTCAAGGACTTTCTGAAATAAGCCCACAAGAAATTCCTTTTTTAGCACTGTAGCAATTCAGACAAGATGCTCTCAAAAGAACACCTGCCCAGGCCGGGCGCAGTGGCTCACACCTGTAATCCCAGCACTTTGGGAGGCCAAGTGGGGAGGATCACTTGAGGTCAGCAGTTTGAGACCAGCCTGGTCAACATGGTGAAACCTCGTCTCTACTAAAAATACAAAAATTAGCCAGGCATGGTGGTCCATGTCTGTAATTCCAGCTACTAGGGAGCCTGAGGCAGGAGAATTGCTTGAACCTGGGAGGCGGAAGTTGCAGTGAGCTGAGATCACACCACTGCACTCCATCCTATGTGACAGAGTGAGATTTTTGTCTAAAACAACAAAAAAACCAAAAGAACACCGGCTCAGTAACAGCATGAGTAACCAATGAGCCGATGCTGAAAACCAATGAATTCTGTCTTCAAGCAACTTGTGTAAACTTCACTTTTCCCAATAAAAGATTCCCTTTATCTTCCCCTCTTCAGGTACATACGTGGCTTTCCATAACTGTGCATCTTGGATTTTAATCCTTTTTTCTAATTCCCTAATAAACTCAACATGTTTGGAGATGTTTGTGTCTGATTTTTTTTTTTTTTTTTTTTTGAGGCCGAGTCTTGCTCTGTTTCCCAAGCTGGAGTGCAATGAAACGATCTCGGCTGCCTGCAACCTCCGCCTCCTGGGTTCAAGCGATTCTCCTGCCTCAGCCTCCCAAGTAGGCTGGGATTACAGGCACATGACACCATGCCCGGCTAATTTTTGTATTTTTAGTAGAGACGGGGTTTCTCCATGTTGACCAGGCTGGTCTTGAATTCCTGACCTCAGATGATCCGCCCACCTCAGCCTCCCAAAGTGCTGGGATTATCAGGGGTGAGCCACCACACCTGGCCTTGTCTCTGATTTTTTTTTGAGGTTGACAGAGTCCATATAAAAACTCAAAGAATTGCTCCAGGTACGGTGGCTCACGCCCCTAATCCTAGCACGTTGGGAGGCTGAGATGGGTGGATCATCCGAGGTCGGGAGTTCGAGACCAGCCTAATCAATATGGAGAAACCCCGTCTCTACTAAAAATACAAAAATTAGCTGGGCGTGGTGGCGCATGCCTGTAATCCCAGCTACTCTGGAGGCTGAGGCAGGAGAATCGCTTGAACCCGGGAGGCGGAGGTTGCAGTGAGCAGAGATCACTCCATTGCACTCCAGCCTGGGCAACAAGAGAAAAACTCCGTCTCAAAAAAAAACAAAAGAAACAAAACTCAAAGAATCTGCAGCCAAATTAACAGAATTAATCAGAGATTTGATCAAGATCGATGGACATAAGATTATATACAAACATTGATTATGTTTCTGTATACTGGCAACAGTAAAAAAAATTTTTTCTTTTACAAAATATCGTATTCAACATTAACAAAACAGTTAATGTACCTAGGAAGAATCTAACGAAAGATGCATAAGGCATTTATGAAAAAAATTTTGGAATATAATGGAAAGATACTGCATTTCTTAATGTAAACTAACTATTCTAGCAAACTTCAAACTCTTAGTGGTGTAGCACAGTAGAAGTGTTTTTCTTTTACTTTTTTGTTTTGAAATGGAGTCTCGTTCTGTTATTCAAGCTGGAGTGCAGTGGCGTGATCTCGGCTCACTGCAACCTCCGCTTCCCGGGTTCAAGCGATTCTCCTTCCTCACCCTCCCAAATAGCTGGGATTACAGGCGCCTGCCACCACACATGGCTAATTTTTGTATTTTTAGTAGAGACAGGGTTTCACCATGTTGGCCAGGCTGGTCTCAAACTTCTGACCTGAAGTGATTTGCCTGCCTGGGCCTCCCAAAGTGCTGGGATTACAGGCATGAGCCACCACACCCTGCCAGAAGTGTTTTTCTTTCTCTTCCAACAGTCGCATGTGGGTGTTCAGTGGGAAGACTTCCACACCATGACGGGGGAACCCAGGTTCTTTCATCTTGCGGCTCTGTCATTCCTTAGGGTCTCAGAATCCTCTTCTTGATCCCCTGCATCCACCTACAGTTGAGGGAAGAAACAGAGCAAGGCAGATCACAAAGGAGGGCCAGGCCTGGAGGGGTTACCTGTCCCTTGCTCTGCCCTCATCCCATTGCCCAAAACTTACCTTGGCCACAACTCACTTTTAGGGAAGCTGGGAAACACAGCCCAGCTGTGAGCTAAAAGAAAGGGGATTAGGCTTGGTGAACCACTGGACAGTTTTCTGTCACAGACAGATCAGACCTACATAAATGTTTGTTGATAGGATGACTTGAAATTACAAAAGTGTGTCAGGCACAGTGGCTCACGACTGTAATCCCAGCACTTTGGGAGGCTGAGTGGGGGGGTGGGGGGGGGGGGGCGGATCACTTGAGCCCGGGAGTTCAAGACCAGCCTGGTCAACATGGTGAAACCCCATCTCTACCAAAAATACAAAAATTAGCCAGGCATGGTGGTGCACACTGGTAATCCCAGCTACGTGGGAGGCTGAGGCAGTAGAATCGCTTGAAGCCGGGAGGCGGAGGTTGCAGTGAGCCGAGATCACACCACTGCACTCCAGCCTGGGCAATGGAGCGAGACTCTGTATTAAAAATAATAATAATAAAAAAAAAGCTGACTTTTTGATTCAATGCAATGCCCACCGAAATTCTAACAGAGGTATTTGCAGAATTTGAACAGCTGATCTTAAAATGCAAGTGAAGAAGGAAAGGGCCGAGAATAGCCAAAATTATCCTGAATGTGGGGAGAAACTACCCTGTCAGGAAAAAGGGCTTGCTTTAAAGCTATAATAATTTAAACAGTGTGGTATTGGTTCAAAAACAGAAAACTATACCAATGGACAGAATTGAAAGCCCATAAACAGAGCCCCACATCTGTGAGGGACACAAAAGTAGGTGAACCACAGATGAGCAAATAAAGAACAGACTTTTCAATGAATGCTGCTGGAATCAATTGAGTGTCCTAATGTCCGCATTACTATTATCCAAATTATCCATTAGTTGCTTTTTTTGTTGTTAAATAAACAGGTAAATGTGAATGGTAAAAACTTCAATACTTTTAAAAGAAAATATAGAAGAATGTCTTTAAGACCACACAGAAAAGGATTTTTAAAAAAATAAGTCACAAAAGGCCAGGTGTGGTGGCTCACGCCTGTCATCCCAACACTTTGGGAGGCTGAGGTGGGTGGATCACTTGAGGTCAGAAGTTTGAGACCAGCCTGGCCAACATGGTGAAACCCCGTCTCTACTAAAAATACAAAAATTATCTGGGCATGGTGGCAGGTGCCTGTAATCCCCACTACTCAGGAGGCTGAGGCAGGAGAATTCCTTGAACCTGGGAGGCAAAGGTTGCAGTGAGCTGAGATCACACCACTGCACTCCAGCCTGGGCAACAGAGCAAGACTCTGTCTCAAAAAAAATAAAATAAATAAATAAGTCACAAAAATGTCATATGAAAAAAGGAAATGATTGACACAAAAATTAGGAAGTCGAGTTCATCTAAAGAAGACATAAAGAAAATGAAAAGACAGACCAGGTGTGGTGGCTCGCACCTGTAATCCTAGCACATTGGGAGGCCAAGGTGGGCAGATTACTTGAGATCAGGAGTTTGAGACCAGCCTGGCCAACATGGTGAAACCCCGTCTCTACAAAAATACAAAAATTAGCCGGGCATGATAGCATGTGCTTCTAATCTCAGCTGCTAGGGAGGCTGAGGCAGGAGAATCGCTTGAACCCAGGAGGCAGAGGTGGCAGTGGGCCGAGATTGCACCATTGCACTCCAGCCTGGGCTGGAGTAAGATGCCATCTCAAAAAAAGAAAATGAAAAGACAAGCCACAGGCTAGGCGAAAATATTCATGACACATACAACTGACGAAGGAGTAGTATCCAAAATATATAAAGAATTGCTACAAATCAATAAGAAAAAGAAAACAACCCTATAGCAAAATGAAATAAAGACAGAAACATATTTTCACTAAGAAAGGAAACCCAAATGACCAATTAAACACATTTAATGATGTTTAGATTCATTAGTAATTGTAGATATGGAAACTACAGGGTGCATTACAATGCAAATTAAAATGACAATAAAATGTTTTCCACTCACTAGAGTGGCAAAATTGTAAAATCTAACAACTGGGGAGCAACAGGAACTCGTTTACACAAGATGTGTACATATGGTGTAACTCTATAAAGAAAAAGAAGGGAATAGGCTGGGCATGGTGGATCACGCCTGTAATCCCAGTAGGCAATTTGGGAGGCTGAGGTGGGTGGATTACCTCAGGTCAGGAGTTCCAGACCAGCTGGGCCAACATGGCAAACCCTGTACTAAAAATACAAAAAAATTAGCCGGGAGTGGTGGCACGCACCTGTAATCCCAGCTACTCAGGAGGCTGAGGCAGGAGAGTCGCTTGAACCTGGGAGGTGGAGGTTGCAGTGAGCCAAGATCATGCCATTGCACTCCAGCCTGGGTGACAGAGCCAGACTCCAACTCAAAAAAACCAAAGAAAAAGAAAAAGAAGGGAATAATAAACACCAAATTCAGGATAGGGGTTACCATAGGAGGGGTGGTATAGAGAGAGAGGGGCACCCAGGAGGGCCTCCCAGTCTCAGTACATAGGCAACATTGGTTACATAGATGTTTCTATTTTTATTTTGTATACCTTATATGTGTTTAATATAATATTCTATTGTACACATATATGTGTGTTCTATTATGTATATATGAAATATTCTATCATGCATTTATTTATTTATTTGAGAGAGAGCCTGGCTCTGTCACCCAGGCTGGAGTGTAGTGATGCAATCTCAGCTCACTGCAACTTCTGCCTCCTGGGTTCAAGTAATTCTTGTGCTTCAGCCTCCCGAGTAGCTGGAATTATAGGCATGCACCACCACGCCTGGCTAATTTTTGTATTTTTAGTAGAGATGGGGTTTCACCATCTTGACTAGGCTGGTCTCGAATTCCTGGGCTCAAGTGATCCACCCGCCTCAGCCTCCCAAAGTGCTGGGATTACAGGAGAAATATTCCATCATTTTAAAATTGTTACTAAAAATAAGATAAAATAAAGATACTATTTTGATTCTGGAAGGGCTTGAAATATTGTCAAGAAAACAGAAAACCAAATCATTCCAATATAATGTAGGTGGGTATAAGATGCCATGGGACCCAAGAGGAGAGACATGCTAATTCTGCCTGAGAAAATTAGAAAGACCCTATGAAAGAGGGGAAACTTTGAGTTGGGTCTTAAATAATGAATAGGAGTTTTCTGGGTCATTCGACATCAGCAGCACTAGATTTACAAAGCATAAGAGAGAGGAGGCCGGCATAAGACAGCATCGTGAGGGATTGCAAGAACTTCAATGCCTTGCTCTCACAGATATATCCATGCCATGTTTTTATTTCTGCTGTTAGGCTGAAGGCAAAATGGTTGGGTCTTTTGTGTTTTTCAAGCCATTTTGCCAGTATGAACACATATAAACTGAAAATTGAATTTCTGAAATAAATGAGATTGTGGTATGGGCATGAAACAGTCATGTAACCATGATCAGCAGAGTCATCTATGGTCAAGGTGATGGAGTGACCCAGCCAGTCAGTCTGCAGGATGTGTGATTGCACACCGTCCTTACCAAGCAAATAGAGGAAGCTCGAGAAGGTATTTGCAGAGCCTCAGAAAAATGCTGTGGTTATTCTGAGTAAACTTAAGCATGGCTTTGAGGGAAAAATAAAATTTTGGATTTTGAGATCTGTCTAAATTTTGGATACTTTATATCTAACCACATTACACTTACAAAAAAAAGCAGCAATTTTTTTCTCATCAAACCTCTAGCTAGCCTTATTAATTATCGAAATGACTAATTTAGAATTCAGCTTTCCTCCACAACCCCTGCTATTCTCTGACAGAAAGAGGAAAAGGGAGAGGAGAGAGGATACATTTCTAGAAGGCAGGTGCCCTGAGAAAAGTAACCGGCCACTGTGGTTGGCCATCTGCACAACCACATAAGTAATTGACCTGCAGAAACATCAGTCCATAAGTAACTGACCTGCAGAAACATCAGGGAAAACAGCCTGAGCCAAAGACCTGCAACCGGAATCCATTTAATTTTAGGCCTGGTGCGGTGGCTCACACCTGTAATCCCAGCACTTTGAGAGGCCAAGGTGGGCAGAACATTTGAGGGTCAGGAGTTCAAGAGAAGCCTGGCCAACATGGCCAACTAAAAATACAAAAATTAGATGAGTGTGGTGGTGAGCACCTGTAATCCCAACTACTCGGGAGGCTGAGGTGGGAGTATTGCTTGAACCTGGGAGGTGGAGGTTGCAGTGAACGGAGATTGTGCCACTGCACTCCAGCCTGGGTGACAACGCAAGACTCTATCTCAAAAAAAAAAAATCCCTTTAATTTAAAAAAGTATCTTCCACTATTGTTAGAAAGTCATCTTACTATTATCCAGATTCTCCAAACATTGTTTTTGTTTGATAAGCCTTCTTCATATACCCTGGGTTTGGCTGAGGGGTTTAGGTGTTTTAATAATATTATTACAATTGACCCAGTAAAGCAGTCAGAATCCATGGAAACTTAAACTGGCTTTAACTTTTAGCTGTTTTGGTCTCTCAGCAGGAATCAGGCAAAGAATCTCAGAGGAGTCTGCTAACCTCTCAAAAGTGACAACTGGGATAAGAATGTCAGAAATCCCTCAACTACCCTAGTTATTGGAGAATGAGGGTATTGTGGTGCATTGACTGCTTTTTATTAAGTAATCTACATTTTGGAAGGCTTTCTGTTGCTTTTTCTTCTATGGTGGTTAATGATTTTGTTAAATCCAAAGAGGTAGTAGCAACTAAGAATGTGGGTTTGGAGTCTGACCAACCTGGTTGGAAGCCAGATTCTATCCCTTTTAGTTTTAGTAGTTTCCCTATCTAAATAAATGGACTATAATTTCTTTTTTCTTTCTTACTTTTTTTTCTAGAGACAGGGTTTCACCATGTTGCCCAGGCTGGACTCAAACTCCTGGGTTCAAATGATCCTGCCACCTCAGCCTTAAATGTACCATAATTTCTTAACCACATAGTTTCTATTTCTTTACATTTATGAATAACACTATATCAAATATCTTCGTATGAAAATGTTGGTTCCCTGTGGCAGACACCATTGGCAGCTTACCCAAAAGAAATTTACCCTCCTTCCTTTGGAATGCTACCCCACTGGTATTCAGGCAGCCATGTTCCTGCTGGGCCTTGAATGGCCTGAGCCCATCATGGAGATCTCACTCCTCTTTGTTAATGATACACACCCAGAAGGTGAAGGGAAGTGTTTACAAGCTTCTCAGAAAGGCATTTTTGGAGAAGGTCTGTTTTGCCCCACTCTCTTCTTTTGTATTTGTCCATTGTCAAATGAGAATAGGATGCCGCGAGTGCTACCATGAGGGGAGACAACACGTCCCCCCAACTCTGGATGGCAGAGTGGGAAAAGAAAGATCCCAGGTTCTTTGTTATACCATGGGGACACAAAACCACTTCCAGGATTCCTTACTACCTAACTTATATGAGCAAGAAATGTCTGAATGCTGCAGTCACATTAGCTGAGTTTTTTTGTTTGTTTGTTTCTTTTTGACAGAGTTTCGCTCTTGTTGCCCAGGCTGGAGTGCAATGGCGCAACCTTGGCTCACTGCAACCTCTGCCTCCGGGGTTCAAGTGATTCTTCTGTCTCAGCCTCCCCAGTAGCTGAGATTATAGGTGCGTGCCACCACGCCTGGCTATTTTTGTATTTTTAGTAGACACGGGGTTTCATCATACTGGTCAGGTTAGTCTCGAACTCCTGACCTCAGGCGATCTGCCCGCCTCAGCTTCCCAAAGGGCTGGTATTACAAGTGTGAGCCACCGCGCCTGGCTGAGTTTTCTATCACTGGCAACTGAAAGCATTTGAGCTCTTACACCTAAATTTAATTTATTTCCTAGAGTAGGTTCCCACCTGTGGAACTTGTAGACCTCATCTATACAGGCAAATCTCACTCGAGAAAAGCCTCCATTTATACCCCCATCAGCATATAGGAGACTACCTTCTCACCACAGTCTCTTCAATATTGAGTCACTGAGTATTACAGACTATCATTCTTTAAAAATCACTGCTAATTTGGTAGGCAGAATCTGCTATTTCAAAATTAGTGTTTGCTCAACTGGAGTTGGTGGAGCACAGTGTGATTGGACTTGGCATAAGAGAGCCTCCTGGCGGCCCGCCCAGGCACTGCAGGAAGAGGTGTGGTCAGTATAAGGCTTCCAGAAGCAGTGACAGTGACGGGTAAGGGTCAACAGTGAACTCACATGGGAAGGATCAAGAGCTCTTCCAGGTGAGGCCAGAAATGTGAGGGCAAGGGTGTAAAGCTGGCCTGAGCCGGCAGGAGGTGACCTGGGATCACAGACAAGGGCCGGCCCCAGGGAGGAGTGGCCCTCTGGAAGGCCCCAAAGTCTTGTGTCTTCTCAGCCAGATTGTGTGCCTCTGCACTGTGTTCCACCCAGACATGATCTTAAAGATGCTCCTTAGCCCCTGAGGATCTTTCTTTCTCTCTCCCTTTTTTTTTTTTTTTTTTTTTTTTGAGACAAGGTCTCACTCTGTTATCCAGGCTGGAGTGCACTGGCACAATCTCAGCTCACTGCAACCTTGACCCCCTCCAGGCTCAAGCCATCCTCCTGCCTCAGCCTCTCGAGTAGTTGCGACTGCAGGCGTGCACCACCACACCCAGCTAATTTGTGTATTTTTTTTGTAGAGATGAGGTCTCACTATGTTGCCCAGGCTGGTCTGAAACTCCTGAGCTCAAATGATATGCCCAACTGGGCCTCCCCAAGTGCTGGGAGTATAGGTGTGAGCCACCACACCCGGCCAAGATCTTTCTTGATAAAACCCAAAAAAGAGGATGGACTTGGTGCTCACGCCTGTAATCCCAGCACTTGGGGAAGCTGAGGTGGGCAGATCACCTGAGGTCAGGATTTCGAGACCAGCCTGGCCAACATGGTGAAACCCTATCTCTACTAAAACTACAAAAAATTAGCTGGGCTTGGTGGTAAGTGCCTGTAATCCCAGCTACTCGAGAGGCTGAGTCAGGAGAATTGCTTGAACCCGGGAAGCAGAGTTTGCAGTGAGCCAAGATCATGCCTCTGCACTCCAGCCTGGGCAACAAAAGCAAAACTCCGTCTGAAAAAAAAAAACAAAAAAACAAAAACAAAAACAAAAAAAACCCAAACAGGAAAATTGAGGAGGCCAAGATGACCTAACTACTGTAAACTGTCTGCTCAAATTTTAAACAGAGCCAAAATTAAATATGGGAATTAAGTTTCCTTACATTGAAACTCAGAAGCAACACTTGTGCCTTTTGTATCAGTCAGAGTTCAGTCAGAAAGACAGAAAACACTCCAGTTATTTCAAACAGAGAAAATTTAATTTGGGAATTTCTTTTCTTTTTTTTTTTTTTTTTTTTTTTTTGAGATAGAGTCTTCCTCTGTCACCCAGCCTGGAATGCAGTGGCTCAATCTCAGCTCAGTGCAACCTCCACCTCCTGGGTTCAAGTGATTCTCCTGCCTCAGCCTCCCAAGTAGCTGGGACTACAGGCATGTGCCATCATGCCTGGCTAATTTTTGCATTTTTAATAGAGATGGGGTTTCACCATGTTGGCCAGGCTGGTCTTGAACTCCTGACCTCAGGTGATCCACCCGCCTCTGCTTCCCAAAGTACTGGGATTACAGGCGTGAGCCATCGCGCCTGGCCTAATTTGGGGAATTTTCAACAAAATTGTTAGAAGGGCTAGAAGAGCAAAAGGTTGAAGAAAGAATGCTGGAGAAACAAAACAAAACAAAAAAAGAAACAGTGATAACCAAAGACCAGAAGCTGCTAATATCACCCTGAGTGGGGCTCTGAGACCCTACATCTGCTGCCACAATTTTGGAGCCACCATTGCAATTAGTTCTAAATCCATCAAAGAGATGAAGAGATAAAACCACTGAAAATGTTCTGCTTCTATCTGGGCTTCTAGGGCCTCGGAATGACCCTACTTCTGCTGCCTCAACAGCAACTGCGAGGACCTGCCAACAACTGCCAGGGAATGAAGGCCAGTGTAAGACTCTCCTCCCTTCTCCCTACCCTCTGGTCTCCTGCCTGTCCTTTGATTGGAGGAGCCCACGGATATCCAGTTGGCAAAGGGGCCTGGGAAATGTAGTTTGCAACCTCTCAACCCCAGTAGTTCAGAGTGTACCAGGGCAGGAATGAAGCCAAGAATAAACAGGAAGTAACTTGCACATTATCATATCCAATTCTACAACCTCTATTTTTTGCTCTAAATTGGACTATATAACTTATTTTTATATTTGATTCTGGGTGAATTTCTCATATGAATCTAACTCCCCTCCATGAGAGTTTTTCATAAAAGTTGACCACGAAAAACAATTTGTGTTGGCCATTCTACACAGAACACAGGAGCTTGGCACTGAACGGCGCTGTCTTTTACATATGGCTGCGCTGAGGACCCATGTCAGTCAAAGACAGCATTTGAGAGGTTCTGTTTCAAGGTGTACTTTGATAGCGAACATATCTACCTCAAGGAACCTCATTCTAGGGAATGTTTATTGTTTTTCCTCTGACCTGTTTCCTCTCCACCTCTTATCTGGCAATAGCACCCCACACCTTGCAATAGAAAGACCCAGCCAATTCTTCCTCTTTCAAGAAGTTGGATCTTGAATAGACACAGACACAGATCATGGTGCTGTGGAGTCATCTAATGGCACATAGTATAGTGCAATGGTACATGCCCAGGTCCCCAGGGGTGACCTGTTTTCTGCCTTTCCCAAGGCCTAGTTGTTCAGCTGTCCCTTAGCAGTGTATTAGTCAGGGTTCTCCAGAGAAACAGAACCACTAGGATGGGGGTGGGTGTGTCTTGAGAGAGAGACAGAAACAGAGAGAGAGAGAGAGAGAGAGATTTTGAAGAATTGGCTCGTGCAATCGTAGCAGCTGGCAAGTCTGAAATCTGCAGGGCAGGCCTGCCAGCTGGAGACCCAGGGAAGAGCTGAGGTTGCAGTTCAAGTCCACAGGCAGTCCAGAGGCAGAATTCCTTCTTCCTCGAGGGACTTCTCCGTCTTTTCTCCTAAGGTCTTCAACTGACTAGATTAGCGATCACCCACACCATGGAGAGTGATCTGCTTTACTCAAAATCAATTTATTTAAATGCTAATTACATCTAAAAAATGCCTTCCCAGCAACATCTGGACCAGTGTTTGATCAAAAACTGGGTACCATGGCCTAGCCACGTTGACACTAAAATTACTTATCACAAGGATTCTGCCAATACATCCTCTTTTTTTTTTTTTTGCCCTAGTTAATTGGAAATATTTTCTGTTGCTTGCAACTGCAGAACACGAACTGCTACAGAATGTAATTTGTTTCAACACCAGTCTGTCCAAATTGAACTTTGACCTGACAGGTTGATAATTTGCCTCAGTAAACAGAGATCTGACTGTGAGTAGCGGGGGTTCCCTTTCCTATGGCATCACTTAATTTTTATATGAAAATAAGGCATATGTTAATAATAGCAAAAATACTTTAAAAATAATATATGGCCTACCTCTCACTAGTTCTTGTCTTTACTTGCTATTTTTGGACCTCAGATCCCTGGAAGTTCCTGGGAGATGTTTTCGGGTGTTTCACACAGATCCCCCAGCTAGCCCAGGCAGCTGAAGTGTTGCTCTGCTTTCCTTCTCCTCCCCTGTCATCTGCTGGGCCCAGACACAGCTCTAATTGGTCATCGCTGTTAGCGCCGCTGAGCCACCCTTTCCTCCCGAAGACTGCCACCAGGCCATGTGAGGTCTTGAACTACCCAGGGCCTGCAGGGAGGCTGGGAGCTTGGCTAGGGTACCACACTCCCTTGCTCCCCACTGTCTGCTCTCCCACATCAAACCAACCACAGAGGCATGCTTATTAGTACATGTACACCTCCCCCTTCCACGGATAAGGCTAGCTCCTTTTTCCTTTAGGAAACCTCCCTGGTCTTCCACATCCAGTCAACTTCAGATAGCCCATGCTGTCAATTCTTCAGATGTGCCCAACAGATCTGAAATTTAGCAATGGTCCCAACAGGGGCTGGGATGAAGCCCCTGCTATAAGAGCAATAGAGCTACAGACCTGTGGCACCTTGGATAATCAAATCAAATTTAAAACATTGGGTCAAACCATTGGTTTGATCTAAATCATCCATACTCTCAGACTTCAAAACAAACCAGGGCTGGGCGCGGTGGCTCACACCTGTAATCTCAGCACTTTAGGAGGCCGAGGTGGGCTGATCATGAGGTCAAGAGTTCGAGACTATCCTGGCCAACATGGTGAAACCCTGTCTCTACTAAAAATACAAAAAAATTAGCTGGGCGTGGTGGTGCGTGCCTGTAGTCCCAGTACTTGCGAGGCTGAGGCAGGAGAATGGCGTGAACCCGGAAGATGGAGGTTGCAGTGAGCTGAGATCTCGCCACTGCACTCCAGCCTGGTGACAGAGCGAGACTCCATCTCAAATAAATAAACAAACAAAAAAAAAACAAAAAAAAAAAAAGCAAATCCGTATGCCCATATGCCTGTTAGCTAGACTTCTTCTCCAACTGGATATAAAATTGAATGGAAGCATTACTCACCTTCATAGATATTTTGGCTGGGAAGGCAGCTCATTAAGTTCCCCAAGGAAAAATTAAACTATCTGGGGGAATACAAAGCATTAACAACTACAGAATCTGAAAAGTAACAGAAAGTTCACTAGTTGCAAATATGTGAACTCATATAATAGGAAATACTTTCTGATGCTTGCAACCACAAGACTAATTAATGAATCTGTTCAAACTTAAATTTACTTAACGAGCTGCTACTCTACCTCAAGAAATTATATATTGTATTTGAGAATATACCCATTTTCAGCATATAACACTTAACTATTTGTGGAAATGACTATGTTTTAAAAATAAAACAATTTCATGCATTAACAATACCATAAAGAATTATGTAGAATAGTGAGGACTGAATGACACAAAGAGAGTTCAATAATGAGAATGTCATCTTCTCCATTGTGGTGTCTTAGGCTTGTGAGAAAGAAAGCTGTGGGAGTTAAATAAAATGTCTAAAACTAACTTTTTAATTCAGTAATTTTTGTCTGGATTCTAAGCTGAATTTTGAGTCAGCAAAAGCAGGAGCTATTTGTCTCTGCCATCCCACACAAAGCCCACAGGGAACATACCTTTCTTCTCAGGCTTAGCAAATGTTCTTGTGCACTCAGATTTCTGAATCTGCAGCGCTTTGCACGGCTGCCACAAGGACACTCGCAACATGAGAACTTCAGTGTACAAAGGTGGTGATTGCAAATCTACAATGAAATTCTATTCTTGGATTCCACAAGAATAAAAAAGTCTTTGCTCCTCTTCTGTACCCAGGAAAGGGAACCTAGGAAGACCACTGGAGCGAGGACAATTATGGAACCATGCAACTGGACTTCCAAATTCAATGAATTGCATGCCTGCAAGCTTTCTTCATGGTCCATAGCCCACATTCACCTCACAAGATGGGGGAAGAGATAAAACACTTTGGTTTTCTTAATGCAATGTTGGTGTTTCTTTAAGAAAGTATAGCCTAGACCAGGCTGGGTGCAATGGCTCACACCTGTAATCCTAGCACTTTGGGAGGCCGAGGCAGGTGGATCACTAGGTCAGGAGTTCAAGACCAGCGTGGCCAACATGGTGAAACCCCATCTCTACTGAAAATACAAAAATAAGCTGGGCATGGTGGCGCATTCCTGTAATCCCAGCTACTCAGGAGGCTGAGGCAGGAGAACTGCTTGAACAAGGACCCAGGAGGCGGGGTTTGCAGTGAGTCGAGATCACGCCACTGCACTCCAGCCTGGGCTACAGAACAAGACTCCATCTCAAAAAAAAAAAAAAAAAAAACAAAAAAAGTATAGCCTAGACCTTTATCACAAGCACAAAGTCAAGGCACCCAAAGTCCAAACACTCCTTTACCTCATGGAGACATCCAGTCTTCCAGCCCAGAGTCCACAGTGGTTTGGGAGTGGCTCCCCTCTGTCTTGAACTCATCCGACCCAGATTCTCCAGGGACGTGGTCTTCATAGGGAAGCCCTTGGGGCTCCACACCTAAGAGCCCTCCAGTTCCTTGGCCCTTTCTCACCTTCTTCCCCAGGGTCCTCTTTGCAGCTTCTCATCTATGTGGACAATCATTCCATTTTCCTCTTGATGGTGTGGGAGGAGGACTGTAGTCCTGGAGATGAGGCATCTACAAGGCAAGTAGGCCTTCATGTTGTAAAAAATGGCCCCCTCTTAGTTTACTGTGTGTGTTGAGCTTAAACTATGTTATTATACTGAAAAAGGGAGGGGGTGCTGAGTTGCATTACCAAGGCCATATCTGTTAACTCAACTTCAGTATGCAGCAGGAAAGCAAAATTGCTGGGAACTGGGGAGGATGAAGGGAAGAAAAAAGTTCCGTCCTATTACCAAATATAAAATTGAATACTCAAATTTATTTGAATAAGATTTAAGTTAATTTGAGTTAATTAATTTGAATAAGAAGAAGTTGTCAACTTCAGCAATAAGACTTTGACCTCATATTTTTGCCCTATTTACCAACAACTACTAAAAGAGGTGCTTGATATTTTGCAGCAGATAGCAAAGTACAATAAGATCTTACCTGAAGAAAAGGCAACAAATTTTATTCCGCCTGGCTCTTCTGGTATGCTACTTCTGCTCTGTGATCTTTTAAGGTGACAGATTTATTAGGTTTCTGGATATTATTTCCTTGCAAATACTTGACACAGAGAACTTGGCCATGAGAACAGAAAAGATGGGGAGATAACATTTTTAAAGCAGGCATGCTGGATTTGGAGAGGAGCAGAAAGGACCTCCAAAACAGTTACGGTGCTCTAGAGACTGAGCCAACAGAATGTGTGTATAGATAGGTTTATCATAAGGAATTGGCTCACATGATTGTGGAGGCTTGGCCAAGTTCAAAATCTGATGGGGCAGGCTGGAGACTCAGAGAAGAGTGGGAATTTGAATCCAAAGGCAGTCTGCAGGCAGAATTCCTTCTTTCAGCTGGGAGGTCAGTCTTTGTTCTAGTAAGGGCTTTAACTGTTGGGAGGAAGTCCTCCCACATGACAGAGGGCAATCTGCTTTACTCAGAATCCACTGATTTAAATGTCAATCTCACCCAAAAAAACATCCACACAGAAACATCTGGAATCATGTTTGACCAAATATCTGGGCACCATGGTCTGGCCAGATTGGCACATAAAATTAACCATCATACTAGGGAAATGGTGATAGGTCCAAATTCCCAGAAGGAATGGCTCCTCAGGGAACAAAATCCGGGACAGTGCTGGGAAGGCATGCACTAGTGGCCCCCAGGATCATGTCTGGTGTTGATGGATTTTCAATTGGGGTACTGAGGAAGAGCAGTGGTTTCTGTAGCAATCAGAAAGACCAGGTACCAGAGAATCTCAGAACCAGAAGAGATTTTGGAATTTACAGGGCAGAGGTCGTCAGACTTAAGCATGCTTCAGAATCACCTAGAAGCTTTGTTATAACAGATGGCTAGATCTTGTCATACTCAGAGTATCAGAGTAACAGTCCAAAATTTTGCATTTCTAACAGTTTCCCAGGTGGAAGGACAATGGCCGCACTGCAGTCAAGTATAGGCCGAGGTACACATCCGGCATAGCATGACACAGCAGGATTGGAGCACAGGCACACAATCCTGTGTATTAAACCACCACAGCTATGTAGCCATAACATGGGAGGGCTCATCACATGACTCTGAGCCACTGTTGTCTGTGAGGTGCATAAATGCAGCACTGACAGTGTGAAAGAGCTGCTGAACAAAGCCATGTCCCACCTGCCTGTGGTCTCTCGCATGTTCTTTCAGCTGCCCTCCCCTCATCAACCGACTCCCCTTGGACCTCAGCTTGGGCCGGAACCTGACACCAGGTGATGCTGAGGCTGCTGGTCTTGGGACTACATTTTGAGAACCACGGACCTAGGACCTTGCTATTCCAATTATAGCCCACAGACCAGCAGCATTAGCAGGATCCACGAGCTTCTTAGAAATGCAGGTCTCAGGCCCCACTCTTCACCTACTATACCAGACTCTCACGTTGACAAGATCCCCATGTAACTTGTGTGCACATTAAAATGTCAGAAACACTGATATTGCAAATGAGAACAATGAGAGTGGCGGAGTACCTTGCTTGACAGTGGAGAGGACTGATTCCTGATTCCTGGTCTCAGCACTCTTCCACACCCCTGTGCCTTTCCAAGGCTGCATGTTAGAGCCACCTGAGAACAAACACTGTTGCCCCACCCCAAGGATAATGATGTAACTGGTCTGGGGCAGGGTCTCAGGCATGGACATTACTTTCAAACTCCCAGATGGTTCTAATGTAGCACTGGGGTTAAGAAGCTCTGATATAGCCCACATTTAAGGCTTAGTTTTGTATCATTACCCCATTCACCTTGCTGAAAAACTATTTGAGATTTGTTTTCAAATGTCTTTCTCCATTGAGTTTTTTACTGGAAAACATTCCTGTCCTTTAGTTAAGAAGTTTATTTGAGTTTTTTTTTTCTGATCATATCACTTCTCAGAAACACCTGCAAATGGTTTGCAAGGCCAGTCCTCACTGAGCCCACAACACCTAGTGCCTGTGAATTTCAGATATGCCCAGCCCCAGGAAAACCTCCTCTTCCTTCTAAGTACACCCTAGAAGAAAACTCTTCCTTAGCCGCCTGATGTAAGGGTCTCACCATTTCCTCACTGGAGATTTTGCTTTTTTTGGCGTAGGAACCCTGTCAGGACTGAATGACGACTACAGAAAGAGCAGAAAAGAGAGAGAGCTTCCTTCCCTGGAACTCTGCTGGGGGAAGTGGGCTTGGAAGATGGTGGCTGCCTGTTTAAGGGTCCAAGGCTTCTCCTTTCTCCTCCTGTTGGTGCCAGAAGAAACAGACACATAGATGGAGGACAAGTTATTTGAGGCCAATTTGAATGAGTTTCCAAAAATTCCAACTCCTGCCAGGGCTGTGCTCTGTTGCCTGCTCCTCCCACTCTCATCAATTCCTGACCCTGCTGGAGCCCATAAACAGGGGAGGGGCTTACAGCTCTGGCTTTGGGGTTCTGTTAAATGTCACTGACAAAAGATTACCAGGATTTCTTTGATCTGCAGTCCAAAAAAAAGAAAAAAAGACGTTAGATTTACTGGCCTTCCTACAATAGGAGCAAATGTCCCCAGAGGAACACGGGGACTTCAGGAAGAAGGAGTTGGGAGAGGTTTCTTACAGGATTGGACTCACATGGGGTGACTCTAGGAGGGGAAGAGGAAAGTGGGGGGCAGTCCTAGATTGGATGCTGTCAAGGAGTACGGGCAATTTGTAATCGTATGTGAATTTTATCAAGACTATAGGAGCACTCCAGATGGCCGTCATTGGTGATGGACAGCAGTCATTCAGGTCCATCAGAAGAGGACATTTAGTCACTTTCGTGCTTGGAGAATGGCCTGGTCTGTCTTGCCCCAAACATATTGTTGGGAGGTGGGAGCAATGCTTATGTGCAATTTGGAAGCCACACTCTGGCGGCCAGCAGGGCCAGTTGTCACCTTTTTAGTATTCAAAACTCAGTGTTCTCCTTGAGAAAATGAAACGAGACTGGAGATTGTTTCCTAATTTCTCTTTTTTTTTTTTTTTTTTTTTTTTTGAGACAGAGTCTTGCTTTGTCGTCCAGGCTAGAGTGCAATGGTGTGATCTCGGCTCACTGCACACCTCCGTCTCCCAGGTTCAAGTGATTCTTCTGCCTCAGCCTCCCCAGTAGCTGGGATTACAGGCACCCACCACCATGCTCAGCTAATTTTTTGTATTTTTAGTAGAGATGGGGTTTCCCCATGTTTCCCCATGTTGGCCAGGCTGGTCTTGAACTCCTGACCTCGGTGATCTGCCCACCTCAGCCTCCCAAAGTGCTGGGATTACAGGCATGAGCCACCACGCCCAGCTGTGTCCTAATTTCTTACCACTATAATCCCTGTTCTCTTCAGAACAGTTTCTGTAGGTTTCAGAGACAGGTGAACAACACAAATTCACCAATCAAAAATGTGATACTACCACTGCATACTTTCTAAAATTTGGAATTGAGTGTTTGCACATTTCTAAAGATGCATCAGTCAAGGAGTTTATATATCTGTAAATCTGAGAAATCCGAACAGTTTTGCTTTATGAAATGAGAATCCAGGCCAGGTGTGGTGGCTTAGGCCTGTAATCCTAGCACTTTGGGAGACCAAGGTGGGAAGGATCACATGAGGCCAGGAGTTTGAGGCCAGCCTGGGCAACATAGTAAGACCCCATCTCTTAAAAAAAATTTCCGTTTTAAACTTAGCCAGGAGTGGTAATGTGTGCCTGTGGTCCCAACTACCTGGAAGACTGAAATGAGAGGATTGCTTAAGCACGTGAGTTCAAGGCTGCAGTGAGCTATGATTGTGCCACTGCATTCCAGCCTGGGTGACAGAGTGAGACCCTGTCTGAAAAACAAACAAACAAACAAAGAAAATACAGAAGAGGGCAACTCAGGCTGGTTCAGGGGCTCCATGATGCTACTAAAGATCCAGACTCCTTCCATCATCTGCTCAGCTATCCAAGGTGTGTTTGACATCTAGTGATTACAGAACGGCAGCTTAGTCTTCAGCACCATGACTGTATTCCAAGCAAGAAGAAATGGAGGAACAAAAGACAGAAAGGTCAAGCCACCTGGATCTGCCTCCTTGTAAAGAGCCTTCTGGGAAGCCTCTTTCATCAATGTATGCATATGTCTCATTGGCCAACGCTATGTCACATGGTTATCCCATCAACAAGAAAGCCTAGGGAATGTTGTTTTCCTGGCTTGTGGGCCCACATACCAAAACTGAGTTCTGTTAGCAAGGTAGAAGAGGAGAATGGATATTCAGGCACTTTGGCCATGCACCGTCTAGAACCTGTGAATCTTCCATTATGGAGAAAGAAGTTCCTAAGTGTGTTAGTCTTATATTGGTGGTACAGCAAATTATTCTACAACATAATGGCTTTATACAACAAGCACTTATTATCTCACACAATTTCTGAGAATCAGGATTCTGGGAGTGGCTTAGCTGGGTGGTTCCAGCTCAGAGTTGCTCATGAGGCTGCAGTGACTTGAAGGCTTCACTGGCTTGAAGAATCCACTTCCAAAATGACTGTTGGCTGGAGGCCTCAGTTCCTTGTCACATGCACCTTTCCCAGGGCTTCTTGGGCATTTTCACAAAACGGGGCCTGCTTCCTCTCAGAGCCAGTGAGCCAAGAGGAAGAACAAGAAGGATGTCGCGATGCCTTTCTGACCTGGTCACACACTATCACTTCTACCATGTTTTATTCACTAGAAGCCAGTCACTAAGGTCAGCCCACACCCAAGGAAAGCAGAATGAAGCTCCATCTTTTGAAGGAAGGAGTAGATGTATTTGTGGATACATTTAAAATCCCCACATCAGGAGTGGGTCACCCCTGAACTGGTCTGTCCCTTTGACTTCACCTTCCTCCTTTGTCTCTTCTCCCTCCTATTCTCATTTTCTCTCTTTCTTTCTCTTTCTCCTTTCCTTTTCTTCTCTCAGGATTTCTCCCCTCTGGCATACAATCTCCTGTGTATTCAGTAGCACAACAGCCCCTCTCCACCAAAAGCAAAATTCATCTCAAAGGCCTTTTAAGAGTTCCAGTGATGGATTAGCAGGGAGCAAAGGCACCCGGTGGGGTAGGCTGATATTGATTCTGAGTACCTGATCATGTTTTTAAGAACCAAAGAGATTGTGGCACATCCATCTTTCTCTTCTATGTAAATCAAAAACCAAAACAGCACTGCACTGCAAAATATAAATAATGAAGCCCAACAAAGTACTGATTTTTCCCAAAACTATTTTGCTAGCTTTTTGTTTGTTTGTTTGCTTGCAATATGAAATAGCAAGTTCTTTCCTTCTCATTGCTATTGTTTTGTTTCCAACTTTGCTGGAGCCCTGCACACATACTTGGTTAGCCTCTTAGGTAATTCAGCCCTGGTGAGTCACATCCAAAATTACAACTGTTAAATGAGTTCCAGGCTGCCCCTGCTTTACAAATGCTCAACGTGTGAGAAATCCACATAGTACTGATAGTGACAGGAGTCAGCCAAATGCCTAGGGAGATAGGGGCGGGTCCCCAGTGAAACTCCACCTCCAAGCCAAAGAAAGTTTAAAGCCTGAAAGCCAAGCTACATGTCAAATCCATGGACCAGATTGAGAACCCGTCTTTCCGTTTGGCATGCTTTCCTCTAATTGATCCCCACCCTTCACCTATTTTACATATACCCACACTTCCCTAAGGGTTTTCTACACTGTTGTGTGCACCTTTGAGTGGTATCTTCGCTTTAAACTTTTTTGCATACTCACAAACCAATCAGCACACACTTGCCATTCTGAGTCCATAAAAGCCCTGATTCAGCCACATTGGGAGAGAAACCCACCCAACTGCTGGCATGGGGGACCACCCCCGCATCTCTTCTCTGCTGAGAGCTGTTCTGTGGCTCAATAAAATTCTTCTCCACCCTCCTCACCCTTTGAATTGTCAGTGTATCCTCATTCTTCTTGGATGTGGGACAAGAGCTCGGAAACCACCGAACGCAGGTACAAGCCATAACACAGGTGGGCCAAGTGGGGAGGGTGCCTCCAGCAGCAGGCTGTGGGCAAGTGAGACCTGGGAGGCAGGTGAGGCATTGTTGGCTAAGGAGGTCCCCAGTTGGCAAAGTGGCTGAGAAGAATCCTGTGTCAGTACTGATAAACTGGCAACTATCTCACCACTGCACCTGTCATTGCTGTGGCTCTGGCAGCTACCAGCTGTGGTGGCTCAGGGTGCTAGTTATCTCCCAATATCTGTCTTTCCCTTCTTCTGTAAGTAACAAAAGCTCCCATTTTCAGGTGGGCACATGGCTGCCTATAATAAAGGTTACATTTCCCAGCCTCCTCTGCAGCTAGGTATGATCTTGTATGGTCATGTCCCTAATCTAGGGGGATGTAAGCACAAGTGTCATGTGCAGTTTCTGGAAGATATCCTTAAAGACAGAGAATGTGCCCTTCTTTTTCCAGCTTTCTTTCCTGAATTTGGGACAAAATGGCTGGAGTTCAACAACCATTCTGGGCCATGAGGTAGAAGTCACACACCAAGGATGGAAGAGTAATAAAGTAAAAGTTGCTTTGGTTCTTTATAATCCTGGAGCTTCTGCAGCAGCTCTGGACTGCTCACTCCTGAACTTCATTTACATGAAAGGGAAGTGACTTTCTGTATTGTTTCAGCTGTGTAACTGGGTTTCTGTCACTAGCAGCTGGACCAAATTCTAGTGACATGGTTCCTTTAAGAACTTGCCCACAGTGCATACGAAGGACCCTTCATCTCAGCTCTGATGGGCTGTCTAGCTTCTGCCCCTCACTGTCCCTGTCCTCGGGCTCTGGCCTTCCTGACCATTCCTCTGCTCCCTAAGCATCTGCCCTGAGTCTCAGCGGGTGCCCTGCAGGTGCCCTCTTGCCTACTCTGGAACTCTCCTCCCTCACTGCCCTCCTCTGCTTTTTGTCTTATGAAGGCAGAAATAGTCATGCACAAAATAGGACCCTTTGAGAAAAGCTGTAAGTTCCAGCAGAGAGAGGAAGAGAAGAGGCAAAAATAACAGAGGGGCACAGACTCCTAAGGGCACACTCACTGGAAAGTCATGTTGGACCAAATTCAGGATCCCTCCTGGCCATTCTTGACCCTCCTCACTTCACTGTGAGCCCAGACTTCCTCCCATTAGAGCCAATTGGGTTTAAAACATACGCTTAGAAAACTACAGCCAGCCCTACAGGAATGAAGGGGTTACTTTCCATTTGCAGTTTACTGTGAATTTATTTAATCCAACTGTTATTTTTATTCACTTTTTTCCATTAAACAAGTATGCATTAAGCACCTACTCTATATCCTAAGATAGATATAGATAACTTATGTGCCAGATATGGAGGGCAGAAATCCCACACAACTTTCACTGGACTGAAATCAAGGAGTTGGCAGGGCTGTGTTTCCTTACGGAGGCTTTGGGGAGAATTCTTTCTCCACTTTTCCAGCTTCTAGAGGCTGCCCACCTTCCTTGGCTTGAGTCTCCTTACCTCCCCATTAAAGGCTTCAACAGGTCGCAAAATCCTGCTCATTTCATCTCTCTCTCTCTCTCTCTCTCTCTCTCTCTCTCTCTCTCTCTCTCTCTCCTCTCTCTCTCTCTCTCTCTCTCTCTATCTTCCTTATCTCTCTCTGACCTAACCTAAAAGGTTCTCAATGTCACGTTCTCAGACTCCTGTGATTAGACAGGGCCCACCTGGGTAATCAAGGATAACCATTCACTCCAACCTGCGCCCTGCTTCGAGGTCCATAACTTTAATCCTGTGGAAAGTCGCTTTTGCCATATAAGGTAACATATCCACAAGTTCCCAGGATTACAGCATGCATATCTTTGGGGGATTCTATTCTGCCCACCACATCCTCCCAAGCCTTCCTTTCTACGCCCCCAGACTACTGCCTGAAGCAAGTGGCGCGATCTTGGCTCACTACAACCTCTGCCTCAGGTTCAAACGATTCTCCTACCTCATCCTTCCGAGCAGCTGGGATTACAGGTGCCCGCCACTACGCCCAGCTAATTTTTGTATTTTTAGTAGAGACGGGGTTTCACTATGTTGGCCAGGCTAGTCTGGAACTCCTGACCTCAGGTGATCTGCCCTCCTCGGCCTCCCAAAGTGCTGGGATTACAAACGTGAGCCACCGCGCCCGGCCAGTAAAGCTTTTTAAAATCCTTTTTCCTCCCCATCCAGTCCTGAAAGCTTCAGCTGTTTTGCACCTTTCTCCTTAACATTCCCCAGAAAAACTCCTGTATAGTCCCTGAGCCTCTGCCTTTATCCCTGCGCCCCTTTTCTCCTGGGATTGGGAGGGGGAAGCAGCCGCTCCATGAAGCCCTTCTAGTGGGCAAGAGAGGACCGGGCGGGACGGCGAGAGCGTCCCTGTCGCCTGCAGCTCCTGCTGGGTGATGCGGGGACGCGGCTCCCTGGGAAATCGTGTTAGCGGCTCCAGGGCTGGTCCACGGCGGCCTTGGGAGCGGCGGCAACAGGCTGGAGCGTCCACGCTTCGGAGGCCTCTGTCTCCCCAAGATTCCCCACTGATGAACAGGGACGCCGGTCCGCCTTCCTCAACTTCCCCTGTTCCCTGCCAGGCAGCGTCCCTCGCAGCGACGTTGGCTGCGACAAGTTTGACCTGCAGCGAGGACACCAGGATTTCTCAGTTTCTCCAAATCCAAGCCCGAGCCCGAGCCCGAGTTCCGACCAGTCCTGACACTGCTTCCCGCCGCCACCTGCCTCCTCCTCCAGCTCCCGCTGTCTCCCCGGCGCCGGCGCCCTGGGTGGCCACAGTCCCTCCAGCCTCCGCCCCTCGCCGCAGTCTCCAGGGCGCCGGACGCCACGCGGGCAGCCGGCCCGGGACGCAGGGAGAGTGAGAGCGAGTGAGTGCGGGCGCCCGGCGGGGCGGGCAGGGGCCGGAGGAGGTTGCCCCAGCTCCAGGAGAAATGCTTGATCCCAGGAGCGAGGCTCCCTGGAGACCATGGTGCTCGCAACCCCTATTCTCTCCCCTATGCACCCGCACAGCCCCAGGGCGGGGGCGGGGAAGAGTGCACGCAGCTGGGCTTTTCCCGGCCTCAGGGTGAGCAGCTAGGATTCTCTAGGGAAATATATTAAAAGCACGGGAGCCTTGGAGAGGGAGCGCAAAGCAGCCTCTCCTTGCAGGCCCTCTCCATGTCCCCTGGGACTCCGAGGTGGACCAGGAGCTGTCCAAGCTGGGCGGGCAAGGGACCCAGAGGGGGGCCCTCCACATCCCCTCGGGACAGAGGGCAGGGTCCGGCCACCTCCACTCTCAGCCCCTCCTCCGGCACCCACGCTGTCCCCACACTGTCTCCAGGACACTGGGGAGGGAGAGTCACTTTCAGAAAAGACAAGTAAAACCTAGCACAGGGCGGGACACATATACCTTAGACCTTCAATAAATATTCATTAATGATTCAATCAATGCTGGCTTTGAAGTGCCTAGATATTTGCCAACCTGAGCATTTACTGTATATAAAAATGACATAAATTCTCGTGATAAAACATTAAGTGAAAAACTCAAGATTCAAAAGTGTCTTATTAGAGCATTTGCAGAATCTATGTGGGTAGTTTGTGCATCTGTAAATACTTTAAATGCTGGTGAGGAATAATCCATAATGTGAGCAGTAATACTGTATACTACCTGTCTTAGCTTGGGCTGCCATGACGAAATACCATAGACCGGGTACTTTAAACCACAGAATTTTCTTACAGTTCTGGAGACTGGAAGTCTGAGATCAAGCTGCCGTTGAGGTGGGTTTCATTCAGAGGGCACTCCTCTTGGCCTGCAGTGGGGGGTGTCGCAATTTCTCTGGGTGCTTTTTTTTTTTTTTTTTTTTTGAGAAGGAGTCTTGCTCTGTCGCCCAGTCTGGAGTGCAGTGACGCCATCTCTGCTCACTGCAACCTCCGCCTCCCAGGTCCAAGCGATTCTCCTGCCTCAGGCTCCGGAGTAGCTGGGATTACAGGCACATGCCACCATGCCCAGCTAATTTTTTGTATTTTTAGTAGAGACTGGGGCTACCGTGCCCGGCCATTCTCTGTGTGCTCTTATGGCCCATGTCTTTGTGCCTGAAACAGTCCTGGGAGTCAGGAGACCCAGTTCTGTTTTCAGCTGAAGTAAGTCCCTTCTTTTCCTTCCTTGAGCCCAGAAGATCAAGGTTACAGTGAGCTGTGATTGCACCACTGCACCAAAAAAAGGTTGACCTTGCCCAATAAACAGTTTTCTGTAGCTGCCAAGTCTGGTTGCTCTGTGGCAGCAGACTGGAGTACAGACTTCTGAGAGGACACCTGGGAGATGGCCGTGAGTGGAGGAGGACTGCTAGAGTTAACAGTGATCCTGGTTTGCCTAGTGCTTTTCTGTTTTTAGCATTCAACATCCTGGATTAGACAATCTGTAAAGTCCCAACCAGAACTATGATATTGTGATTTTCCCTTACCCTAGTATCTGAATGTCTCTACATTCCACTGGGTTCATTCCCCTTTCCAGAATGCTTTTCACCCATGATGGGGTCATTTGCTATGTAAAAATAGGATACGAATACAAGTGTGATCTAATTTGAAATTGTAAAATTCTTCCAGCTAATAATTCACATGACATCTAACAGATGTTGTTGGCTTTCTCTTGAAATTTTAAATTATCCTACAGTGCCCTGTAAATCTGTGGCAGTGCCCCGAAGCGCCTCAGTGTAGTATGGGAACCATGGCTTGAAAGTGCAAAGCATTACTAGAGATAAACAGGAATATTACATAATAACAAAAGAGTAGACTCCTCAGGAAGATTTATCAGTTCTAAATGTATAGACACCTAATAACATAGCTTTAAAATATATAAAACAAATGTTGGCAGAATTAATAGCAAAGTTAGACAAATTCACGTTCACTCTCTTAATAACTGGTAGAATATGCATGTGATAAATTCAGTAAAGATAAATGTAGTGGGAAGCCATTGGAGAGATTTAAGTAGAAGAGTCATATGACCTGATTTACATTTCAAAAACTTCACTCTGGCCCATAATCCATTTTACAGATGGGGAAATGGAAACGTGAAGAGGCTTCATAATTTATCTAAGGCTACCCAGTGGGTCAAGTGGTAGAGACAAGACTAAAGTCCAGACCCAGTCATCTCCAAATCCACATTCTTAACCACTATGATATATTACTGTCTGGCAAGAATTGTGTCTGTAAAGGGAACTATGCCATTTAAAAACCAGTATGTTCTTGGTAATTTTTAGTAACCAGTATAAATGTTAATTGCATTCCTTTATAACTAAGTTCCAGTGGGCATTGCCCCTATTTTGAAGAATCTAAAAGAAGGATATGGACCCATGAGTAGGGAAATTGGAAATTGAACAATTCCTTTCAATGGTCTCCATTTTGACTCCTTAGTCCCATTTTAAGATAAATGAAGCACTTCAAGATTTTCAGAGAAGGGTATGCAGCAATATTTTCCTAATATTTTTAGTGGAGGAAGTATGTTCTGCTCCTTAAAAAGACACCTGTATGTTGGGTTTCAGGGCAAGTTACTGTTTTCAGAATCCAAGTGAAATCTAACACTATAAAACAATGCCAAGAGCAAATGAAGGAAAACAAAAATCTAAAGGGGCACCCCTGCCCATCGTTTTGATTCTTCAAAAGTTTCTGAAAACATATGAGAAACACTGTGCGCAGTCTCAGACGTCCGTGTGTCCAGCCATCAAAAGTGACCTGAAAAGCAGCATTGACAGTGACCAGGTGCTCAGGAAGGTGAGTGTATGGTCTTGTTTTCTTATTCTTCTCTGAAATGAACTGGCTAGGGTTTACTCCCAAGCCACATGGGTACTCGGTCCTTGTGTAACCTCCCAAGGGGTTCTTTCTGCCCGCTGCACAAATAAAGACCACAGCATTGTAGTAAAAAAGAGTTTGATTGACACCAGGCCAGCCACGCCATGTAAAAGATGAAGTTATCACTCAAATCAAACTCTCTGAAAATTCAGGATTGAGGTTTTTAAGGGTAATTTGGTGGGTAGGGGGTCACAAGGTGGGGAATGCTGATTTGTCGGGTTGAAGATGAAATCATAGGGAGTTGAAGCTGTCCTCTTGCACTGAGTCAGTTCCTGGGTAGGGTCCACAAGACCAGATGAGCCATCTTACCCATCTGAGTGGCACCAGCTGGTGCTTTGGAACACAGGGTCTGCAAACTGTCTCAAGCACTGATCTCAGGTTTTACAACAGTGACTCCTAAACCATAATTTCTAATCTTGTGGCTAATTTGTTAGTCCTGCAAAGACAGTCTAGTCCCTAGTCAAGAAGGGGATTTGTTTTGGGAAAGGGTTGTTATTGTCTTTGTTTCGAAGTTAATCTATTAACATAAACTAAGTTCCTCCCCAAGTTATTCTGGCCTGTGCCCAGGAATGCGCAAGGACATTTTGAAGGTTAAAAGCAAGAAGGAGTTGGTTAGGTCAGATTTCTTTCACTGCCATAATTTTCTCAGTTATAATTTTTGCAAAGGTGGTTTCACTTGCAAGCCCAGAGCTGGCTGTGTCATCCACTCTGCATTCCTGACTGAGTGGAGTGCAAAGCCCGGCTTGCCTGCTCAGCCCTTCTCCTCCATTCCCCCTTTGACCTACATGGCTGCCCCTCCCATCCCTTCCAGAGGGCCTGTTCTCACACCACTTCCCTGGAAGGGCCACCGGCCCCTCCTCCACATCTGGAAGGCCCAGCTTGAAAGTCAGCACTTTGGTCATCACCGCAGGACCTCTGCTCCCGGCACTCCAGCCACCCCCACTGACCCCTCCAAGTGAGGGCCTCCTTCTCTTGGCTGCCAATGCGTCCCTGCCGTGAGGTCAGACCTGGTCTCGCCCATGCCTCCCCTCCTGAGGCCGGCTCACTTGGAGTGAGACCAGCAATCAGAATTCTGACTCCAAAAGCACTGGGTTTCAGAAAATATTCTGATGTCGTATCTTTTCTAAGATTAAATCTAGGGCTTGGATGTGAGGGGGAAAGAGGAGAGGAGAGGTCAGCATTGAGATGAAATGGGTAACTTGGGAAGTGGGCACCTGACAGATCAGATGGGGGAGCCTGGCACCCCAAACACATCTGGGCCAGGCCCCAACTCTTCACTTTGTACTCTGAACTTCCAGCTCCCCAGCTGGGGCTCCCTCTCTCCCTTCCTTCCCCCAAGCCTCCTTCCACCCAGCACCTCTTCCACTCTGCCATCCCTCATCCGCCTTTCCCAGTCTCTCTAATCCTTACTTTCACAGTGCCTTTGCTGGGGTCCCTGCCATGTCTCCCCGCTCATCCCAATGGAGGACCTTCCCAGAACCAGCCCTTTTGTGGTAAAATTGTTCCTAAGTCATTTTTTTAAAACTCCAGTTCTTATAATCAGCCTCCGCTACTTAATTATAAGGGCTAATCGTAACTTGTTCAAACCAGTCCCTTCAGCAATATTCAATTATTTTTTTCACTGCAATCACTGTCATAAATACAATTAACATCATGACCCCATGTGTAGGTATCAGCATGCATCAGTACCACCATAAAGGCTGTTTATATTGTGTGGGTTGCTTGGGTAGGGTCTCCATTATGATTCTGAATATCATTAAAATAAAAGTCTCATGAGATAATCATTATTATTTTTACTCCATAAGAGGCACTCAGACAATTTCCCTTCTTTTCTATTTTGTTAAAGAAGAAAAAAGAGGCTGGGTGTGGTGGCTCATGTCTATAGTCCCAGAACTTTGGGAGGCTGAGGTGGGAGGGTTGCTTGAGGCCAGGAGTTTGAGACCAGCCTGGGCAACATGGTGAGACTCGTCTCTACAAAAAATTAAAAAATTAGCCAAGTGTGGTGTCACCCACCTGTAGTCCCAGCTGCTTGGGAGGCTGAGGTAGGAGCTTGAGCCTGGGAGCTGGAGGCTGCAGTGAGCTATGATCACCCCACTGTACTCCAGTCTGGGTGACAGAGTGAGACTCTGTAGGAAGAAAGGAAGGAAGGAAGAGAGGAAGGAAGGAAGGAAGGAGAGGGGAGAGGAGGGGGCAAGGAAGGAAGGAAGGAAAGAAGGAAGAAGGAAGGAAAGGAGGGGAGGGAGGGAGGAAGGAAGGAAGGAAAGGAGAGGGAGGGAGGAAGGGAGGGAGGGAGAAAGGAAGGAAGGAAAGAGGAAGAAGGAAGGAAGGAAGGAAAGGAGGGGGAGGGAAGAAGGAAGCAAGGAAGGAGACAATGAAGGAAGGAGGCAAGGAAGGAAGGAAGGAAGGAAAGGAGAGGGAGGGAGGGAGGAAGGGAGGGAGGAAGGGAGGGAGGGAGGAAGGGAGGGAGGGAGGAAGGGAGGGAGGGAGGAAGGGAGGGAGGGAGGAAGGGAGGAAGGGAGGAAGGAAGGGAGGACGGAGAGTAGAAAGGAAGGAAGGGAGGGAGGACGGAGAGTAGAAAGGAAGGAAGGGAGGGAGGAAGGAAGGAAGGAAGGAAGGAGACAATGAAGGAAGGAGGCAAGGAAGGAAGGAAGGAAGGAAAGGAGAGGGAGGGAGGGAGGAAGGGAGGGAGGGAGGAAGGGAGGGAGGAAGGAAGGGAGGGAGGGAGGGAGGAAGGGAGGGAGGGAGGAAGGGAGGAAGGAAGGGAGGGCGGAGAGTAGAAAGGACGGAAGGGAGGGAGGAAGGAAGTAAGCAAGTATGGAAGGATGTAAGGAAGGAAGGAGGGAAGGAAGGAAGGAAGGAGGGAAGGAAGGGCTGGTTGCAACTAATTAGACTGATTTTCTGACCCAATAACACTGGGTAACCTGCTAGAAAAATCTCTGCCCTATAGGACTTTCCATGGAGCTTTGTACATGGCTGGAACTTCATAAGTTTGTCTTTAATTACCACCTCAATGCACACTTGATCCAAAGTTAATACTACTTTTTTTTTTTTTTTGAGACAGAGTCTTGCTCTGTCACCCAGGCTGGAGTGCCGTTGCATGTCTTGGCTTACTGGAACCTCCTCCTCCCACGTTCAAGCAATTCTCTTGCCTCAGCCTCCTGAGTAGCTAGGACTACAGGTGTGCGCCACCATGCCAGGCTAATTTTTCATCATGTTGGTCAGGCTGGTCTCGAACTCCTGACCTCAGGTGATCCGCCCACCTGGGCCACCCAAAGTGCTGGGATTACAGGCATGAGCCACCATGCCCGGCCCAAAGTTAATACTATTTTAAATATTCTTCTAATGTTGTTGTCTAATAAGAGTATTCCTTTTCCACATAGACTTCTCTTTATGATATCCACCGTGATCCTGTTTTTTTCTTACACTCCAGTTTATGCTTGTAAGACCCAATGACTCCCCACCAAGAATCCTACCAGTTTCCTTGGAACCTTTGCTCATGACCATTCAAGATGAGCATTACACACTGGCGAAAGAGATCTGCATCTGGGGCCTTCAACTGAGCAACCCAGAGATTGCCAGACTTGTGAGTTATGGTTTTAAAAATATTTCTTCAAACCTTAAAATTGAATATAAGCATATTATATCATGTGTTCCAGCTGTAGTTCATGTGGTTACTGACTGATATGCTACAAGATTTTCTCTAAAACAAAACAAAAACCAACACTATATTTTAAGTTAAATATTTCAAACATAAAAATGGAGAAAATATTAGAACTGACATCCATGGACCCATGACCCAAATATAATATATTTTTTTAAAGGCACAAAATTTGCAGATATTGACAAATATATTATTACATATGCATGCATGTGTTTATTTGCAAAAATGGAATTACACTGTGTGTATGATTTTGTGACTCACTCTTTTACTCTCATTATGTTGTCAAGATTTCTCCATGTTTATAAATTTCGACTGCTACCATATAATACATAACCTTCATTCTTGAAAGATAGTTTGGCTGGATATATAATTATAGATTAATTTTTTTTTTTTTTGAGACAGAGTCTCACTCTGTTGCCCAGGCTGAAGTGCAGTGGCATGATCTCAGCTCACTGCAACCTCCGCCTCCCAGGTTCAAGCAATTCTCCTGCCTCAGCCTCCCCAGTACCTGGGATTACAGGCACCCACCACCACACTTGGCTAATTTTTGTTGTGTTTGTTTTTTTTTGTTTTTGTTTTTGAGATGGAGCCTTGCTCTGTCACCCAGGTTGGAGTGCAGTGGTGTGAGCTCGGCTTACTGAAACCTCTGCCTCCCAGGTTCAAGCGATTGTCCTGCTGCAGCCTCCCAAGTAGCTGAGACTACAGGCATTTGCCACCATGCCTGGCTAATTTTTGTGTTTTTAGTAGGGACGGGGTTTCGCCATGTTGGCCAGGCTCATCTTGAACTCCTGACCTCAGGTGATCTACACGCCTCGGCCTCCCAAAGTGCTGGGATTACAGGCATGAGCCACCATGTCCAGCCAATTTTTGTATTTTTAGTAGAGACAGAGTTTCACTATGTTGGCCAGGCTGGTCTCAAACTCCCAGTCTCAGGTGATCCACCAACCTCAGCACCCGGCAGATTAACTATTTAAAAAAAAAAATTCTATTATTACTAGTGAGAAGTCATATATAGGACTTTACTTCTGAAAAGTGCAAATCAGATAATTCACACCAACCCTTTCACTGAAGACACACACACAAACACATGCACACACACATACATACATATGTACATACATATTAGGCAAGGAATCCAAGAGAGGCTGGGAGGAGACCCAGGGAGGAGAACATCACAGAGGCAATTATCCCTACAAGCATTTGATTTGTTAGAAGGCAGCTGAGAAGCTGAGAAACTTAACAGAGCTTTTGACAATCTTTCCAGTGCTAGGAGACACTGACTTTCTGGGGAAGCCCTAATAAACTTTCTTGTGCTTTGATTTGAGACCATGAAGGGCCACAGCCTAAGAACAAAGCCAAACTGCAGGTAGACAGGTCCTCAAGGGACTATAGATTGATTTCTGATAATCTCAAGTCCCGAAATTAGATTGAAGGAGCCTGGATTGCTGGTGCCCTCATGGGTCCAGACGCATATGAAAATACCCCCTGAAAGACAATTATAATGTCTTATGCCTCAAATTACAAATTACACCTGTAAACAAGTTTGTGGAGTTTTGTTTGTTTGTTTGTTTGTTTTTGAGACAGAGTTTCACTCCATTGCCCAGGCTGGAGTGCAGTGGCATGATCTTGGCTCATTGCAGCCTCCACCTTCCAGGTTCAAGTGATTCCCCTGCCTCGGCCTCCCCAGTAGATGGGACCACAGGCATGTGCCATCAAGCCCGGCTAACTTTTGGATTTTTAGTAGAGACAGGGTTTTGCCATTTTGGCTAGGCTGGTCTCGAACTCCTGACCTCAGGTGATCCATCTGCCATGGCCTCCCAAAGTGCTGGGGTTACAGTCATGAATGGCCATGCCCACCCTAAAATCTTAATAAATGGGTTTAACAGCATTTTTGATAGATGTAGAGAGATAATTAGTAAAATAAGGACAGATCAGAAGAAAATATGAAGAAAGAATGAAGCATGAAATAACAAAAGAAAGAAAAGTCAGAAGAAAAGGTAAGAGACATAAGTAGATAAGCTGGTCACTGTGGCTTGTGCCTGTAATCCCAGCATTTTGGGAGGCCAAAGTGGGAGTAACACTTGAGGCCATGAGTTTGAGACCTGCCTGAGCAACATAACAGGACCTCCTCTCTAAAAAAAAAAAAAAAAAAAAAAAATTAATGAGCCAGATGTGGTGGCACATACCTGTAGTCCCAGCTACTCAGGAAGCAGAGACAGGAAGATTGCTTAAGCTCAGGAGGTGGAGGCTACAGTGAGCCATGACCACACCATTGCACTCCAACCTGGACAACAGAGCAAGACCTTGTCTCAAAAACAAAACAAAAAAAAAAGAGGCAGACATAGTAGATAAGTGAGATAATCAACATATGTGTAATTGAAGTCCCAGAAGGAGAGGAGAATGAGAATGGGACAAAAGCAATACTTAACTAAACTGGCAAAAGACATAAACCACAAATTCAAATAGAGTTATTAATCCCAAGAAGGTTAAACACAAAGAAAATTTAGAAACATCATAATAACACTATTAAAGACCAAAGAGAAAGAGAAAATATTAAAATT
The DNA here is from genome assembly GCF_000001405.40 of Homo sapiens. NCBI lineage: Eukaryota > Metazoa > Chordata > Mammalia > Primates > Hominidae > Homo > Homo sapiens. Next base: position 141,669,572 of record NC_000003.12, read on the forward strand.
AGTCAGTGAAATCACACATTACCTTCAAAGGAGCTGCAATAAAACTGGCATCTGACTTTTCAACAGAAACAATGGAAGTCAGTTACCAATAGAATATCTTCAAAATGCTGGAGGGAAAATGCCAACTAAGAATTCTATGCCCAACAAAAATAGTTTTCAAAAATGGAAGTGAAACAAAGACATTGTCAGACCAACAGAAACTGGAAGAATTTGTCACAAGCAGATCTTCCCTAAAAGACATACTAAAGCACATTCTTCAAAGAAAAATGATCCCAGATAGAAGGTTGGAGGTGCAGGAAGAATCAAAGAGCCATGAAAATGGCTTTCTTATAGAACTTAAGGGGGCTCCAAGATGGCCAAATAGGAACAGCTCCAGTCTACAGCTCCCAGGGTGAGCGACAAAGAAGACGGGTGATTTCTGCATTTCCAACTGAGGCACCAGGTTCATCTCACTGGGGCTTGTCGGACAGTGGGTGCAGGACAGTGGGTGCAGCCCACAGAGCGTGAGCCAAAGCAGGGTGAGGCATCGCCTCACCCGGGAAGCACAAGGGGTCAGGGAATTCCCTTTCCTAACCAAGGGAAGCCGTGACAGACAGCACCTGGAAAATCAGGTCACTCCCACCCTAATACTGCACTTTTCCAATGGTCTTAGCAAATGGCACACCAGGAGATTATATCCTGCGCATGGCTCGGATGGTCCCATGCCCTCAGAGCCTTGCTCATTGCTAGCACAGCAGACTGAGATCCAACTGCAAGGTGGCAATGAGGCTGGGGGAGGGGCATCCGCCATTGCTGAGGCTTGAGTAGGTAAACAAAGCAACCAGGAAGCTCGAACTGGATGGAGCCAACCACAGCTCAAGGAGGCCTGCCTGCCTCTGTAGACTTCACCTCTGGGGGCAGGGCATTGCTGAACAAAAGGCAGCAGAAACTTCTGCAGACTTAAACGTCCCTGTCTGACAGCTTTGAAGAGAGTAGTGGCTCTCCCAGCACAGAGTTTGAGATCTGAGAACAGACAGACGGCCTCCTCAAGTGGGTCCCTGACCCCCCAGTAGCCTAACTGGGAGGCACCTCTCAGTAGGGACCGACTGACACCTCATACGGCCTGGTACCCCTCTGAGACAAAGCTTCCAGAGGAACAAACAGACAGCAACATTTGCTGTTCAGCAATATTTGCTGTTCTGCAGCCTCTGCTGCTGATACCCAGGCAAACAGGGTCTGTAGTGGACCTCCAGCAAACTTCAACAGACCTGCAGCTGAGGGTCCTGACTGTTAGAAGGAAAACCAACAAACAGAAAGGACATCCACACCAAAATCCCACCTGTACGTCACCATCATCAAAGACCAAAGGTAGATAAAACCACAAAGATGGGGAGAAACCAGAGCAGAAAAGCTGAAAATTCTAAAAATCAGAGCGCCTCTTCTCCTCTCAAGAAATACAGCTCCTCACTAGCAACAGAACGAAGCTGGATGGAGAATGACTTTGACGAGTTGAGAGAAGAAGGCTTCAGACGATCGGTAATAACAAACTTCTCCGAGCTAAAGGAGGATGTTCGAACCCATCGCAAAGAAGCTAAAAACCTTGAAAAAAGATTAGACAAATGGCTAACTAGAATAAACAGTGTAGAGACCTTAAATGACCAGATGGAGCTGAAAACCATGGCACAAGAACTACGTGACACATGCACAAGCTTCAGTAGCCGATTTGATCAACTGGAAGAAAGGGTATCAGTGATTGAAGATCAAATAAATGAAATGAAGCGAGAAGTTCAGAGAAAAACGAGTAAAAAGAAATGAACAAAGCCTCTAAGAAATATAGGACTATGTGAAAAGACCAAATCTATGTCTGATTGGTGTACCTGAAAGTGACAGGGAGAATGGAACCAAGTTGGAAAACACTCTTCAGGATATTACCCAGGAGAACTTCCTCAACCTAGCAAGGCAGGCCAACATTCAAATTCAGGAAATACAGAGAACGCCACAAAGATACTCCTCAAGAAGAGCAACTCCAAGACACATAATTGTCAGATTCACCAAAGTTGAAATGAAGGAAAAATGTTAAGGACAGCCAGAGAGAAAGGTCAGGTTACCCACAAAGGGAAGCTCATCAGACTGACAGTGGATCTCTTGGCAGAAACTCCACAAGCCAGAAGAGAGTGGGGGCCAATACTCAACATTCTTTTTTTTTTTTTTTTTTTTTTGTACTTTAAGTTCTAGGGTACATGTGCACAATGTGCAGGTTTGTTACATATGTATACATGTACCATGTTGGTGTGCTGCACCCATTAACTCATCATTTACATTAGGTATATCTCCTAATGCTATCCCTCCCCGCTCCCTCAACCCCATGACAGGCCCTGGTGTGTGATGTTCCCCTTCCTGTGTCCAAGTGTTCTCATTGTTCAATTCCCACCTATGAGTGAGAACATGCAGTGTTTGGTTTTTTGTCCCTGCAATAAGGAAAGAATTTTCAACCCAGAATTTCATGTCCAGCCAAACTAAGCTTCATAAGTGAAGGAGAAATAAAATCCTTTACAGACAAGCAAATGCTGAGAGATTTTGTCACCACCAGGCCTGCCTTACAAGAGCTCCTGAAGGAAGCACTAAACATAGAAAGGAACAACTGGTACCAGCCACTGCAAAAACATGCCAAATTGTAAAGACCATCGATGCTAGGAAGAATCTGCATCAACTGATGAGCAAAATAACCAGCTAACATCATAATGACAGGATCAAATTCACACATAACAATATTAACCTTAAATGTAAATGGGCTAAATGCTCCAATTAAAAGACATAGACTGGCAAATTGGATAAAGAGTCAAGACCCATCAGTGTGCTGTATTCAGGAGACCCATCTCACATGCAGAGACACACACAGGCTCAAAATAAAGGGATGGAGGAAGATCTACCAAGCAAATGGAAAACAAAACAAAACAAAAAGCAGGGGTTGCAATCCTAGTCTCTGATAAAACAGACTTTAAACCAACAAAGATCAGAAGAGACAAAGAAGGCCATTACATAATGGTAAAGGGATCAATTCAACAAGAAGAGCTAACTATCCTAAATATATATGCACCCAATACAGAGGCACACAGATTCACAAAGCAAGTCCTTAGAGACCTACAAAGAGACTTACACTCCCACACAATATTAATGGGACTTTAACACCCCACTGTCAACATTAGACAGATCAACGAGACAGAAAGTTAACAAGGATATCTAGGAATTGAACTCAGCTCTGCACCAAGCGGACCTAATAGACATCTACAGAACTCTCCACCCCAAATCAACAGAATATGCATTCTTCTCAGCGCCACATTGCACTTATTCCAAAATTGACCACATAGTTGGAAGTAAAGCACTCCTCAGCAAATGTAAAAGAATAGAAATTATAACAAACTGTCTCTCAGACCACAGTGCAATCAAACTAGAACTCAGGATTAAGAAACTTACTCAAACCACACAACTACATGGAAACTGAACAACCTGCTCCTGAATGACTACTGGGTACATAACAAAATGAAGGCAGAAATAAAGATGTTCTTTGAAATCAGTGAGAACAAAGACACAACATACCAGAATCTCTGGGACACATTTAAAGCAGTGTGTAGAGGGAAATTTATAGCACTAAATGCCCACAAGAGAAAGCAGGAAAGATCTAAAATTGACACCCTAACATCACAAGTAAAAGAACTAGAGAAGCAAGAGCAAACACATTCAAAAGCTAGCAGAAGGCAAGAAATAACTAAGATCAGAGCAGAACTGAAGGAGATAGAGACACAAAGAACCCTTCAAAAAATCAATGAATCCAGGAGCTGGTTTTTTGAAAAGATCAACAAAATTGATAGACCGCTAGCAAGACTAATAAAGAAGAAAAGAGAGAAGAATCAAATAGACGAAATAAAAAATGATAAAAGGGATATCACCACTGATCCCAAAGAAATACAAACTACCATCAGAGAATACCATAAACACCTCTATGCAAATAAACTAGAAAATCTAGAAGAAATGGATAAATTCCTGGACACATACACCCTCCCAAGACTACACCAGGAAGAAGTTGAATCCCTGAATAGACCAATATCAGGCTCTGAAATTGAGGCAATAATTAATAGCCTACCAACTAAATAAAGTCCATGACCAGACAGATTCACAGCCAAATTCTACCAGAGGTACAAGGAGGAGCTGGCACCATTCCTTCTGAAACTATTCCAATCAATAGAAAAAGAGGGACTCCTCCCTAACTCATTTTATGAGGCCAGCATCATCCTGATACCAAAGCCTGGCAGAGACACATCAAAAAAAAGAGAATTTTAGAGCAATATCCCTGATGAACATCGATGCAAAAATCCTCAATAAAATACTGGCAAACCAAATCCAGCAGCACCTCAGAAAGCTTTTCCACCATGATCAAGTGAGCTTCATCCCTGGGATGCCAGCCTGGTTCAACATACGCAAATCAATAAATGTAATCCAGCATATAAACAGAACCAAAGACAAAAACCACATGATTATCTCGACAGATGCAGAAAAGGCCTTCGACAAAATTCAACAGCCCTTCATGCTAAAAACTCTCAATAAATTAGGTATTGATGGAACGTATCTCAAAATAATAAGAGCTATTTATGACAAACCCACACCCAATATCATACTGAATGGGCAAAACTGGAAGCATTCCCTTTGAAAACTGGCACAAGACAGGGATGCCCTCTCTCATCACTCCTATTCAACACAGTGTTGGAAGTTCTGGCCAGGGCAATCAGGCAGGAGAAAAAAATAAAGGTATTCAATTAGGAAAAGAGGAAGTCAAATTGTCCCTGTTCGCAGATGATGTGATTGTATATTTAGAAAACCCCATCGTCTCAGCCCAAAATCTCCTTAAGCTGATAAGCAACTTCAGCAAAGTCTCAGGATACAAAATCAATGTGCAAAAATCACAAGCATTCCAATACACCAATGACAGACAAACAGAGAGCCAAATCATGAGTGAACTCCCATTCACAATTGCTTCAAAGAGAATAAAATATCTAGGAATCCATCTTACAAGGGATATGAAGGACCTCTTCAAGGAGAATTACAAACCACTGCTCAACGAAATAAAAGAGGACACAAACAAATGGAAGAACATTCCATGCTCATGGATAGGAAGAATCAATATCATGAAAATGGCCATACTGCCCAAGGTAATTTATAGATTCAATGCCATCCCCATCAAGCTACCAAAGACTTTCTTCACAGAATTGGAAAAAAAACTACTTTAAAGTTCATATGGAACCAAAAAAGAGCCCACATTGCCAAGACAATCCTAAGCCAAAATAACAAAGCTGGAGGCATCATGCTACCTCACTTCAAACTATACTACAAGGCTACAGTAACCAAAACAGCATGGTACTGGTACCAAAACAGAGATATAGACCAATGGAACAGAACAGAGCCCTCAGAAATAATACCACACATCTACAACCATCTGATCTTTGACGAACCTGACAAAAACAAGAAATGGGGCAAGGATTCCCTATTTAATAAATGATGCTGGGAAAACTGGCTAGCTATATGTAGAAAGCTGAAACTGGATTCCTTCCCTACACCTTATACAAAAATTAATTCAAGATGGATTAAAGACTTAAATGTTAGACCTAAAATCATAAAAACCCTAGAAGAAAATCTAGGCAATACCATTCAGGACACAGGCATGGGCGAGGACTTCACATCTAAAACACCAAAAGCAATGGCAACAAAAGTCAAAATTGACAAATGGGATCTAATTAAACTAAAGAGCTTCTGCATAGCAAAAGAAACTACCATCAGAGTGAACAGGCAACCTACAGAATGGGAGAAAATTTTTGCAATCTACCCATCTGACAAAGGGTTAGTATCCAGAATCTACAAAGAACTTAAACAAATTTACAGGAAAAAATCAAACAACCCCATCAAAAAGTGGGCGAAGGGTATGAACAGACACTTCTCAAAAGAAGACATTTATGCAGCCAACAGACACATGAAAAAATGCTCATCATCACTGGCCATCAGAGAAATGCAAATCAAAACCACAATGAGATACCATCTCACACCAGTTAGAATGGCGATCATTAAAAAGTCAGGAAACAACAGGTGCTGGAGAGGATGTGGAGAAATAGGAACACTTTTACACTATTGGTGGGACTGTAAACTAGTTCAACCATTGTGGAAGACAGCGTGGTGATTCCTCAAGGATCTAGAACTAGAAATATCATTTGACCCAGCCTTCCCATTACTGGGTATATACCCAAAGGATTATAAATCATGCTGCTATAAAGACACATGCACATGTATGTTTATTGTGGCACTATTCACAATAGCAAAGACTTGGAACCAACCCAAATATCCATCAATGATAGACTGGATTAAGAAAAATGTGGCACATATACACCATGGAATACTATGCAGCCATAAAAATGATGAGTTCATGTCCTTTGAAGGGACATGGATGAACCTGGAAACTATCATTCTGAGCAAACTATCACAAGGACAGAAAACCAAACACTGCATGTTCTCACTCATAGGTGGGAATTGAACAATGAGAACACTTGGACACAGGAAGGGGAACATCACACACTGGGGCCTGTCGTGGGGTTGGGGGAGGGGGGAGGGATAGCATTAGGAGATATATCTAATGTAAATGATGAGTTAATGGGTGCAGCACATGTATACATATGTAACAAACCTGCACGTTGTGCACATGTACCCTAGAACTTAAAGTATATATATATAAAAAAAGAACTGACTGTTAATTTTATATGGAGATATAAGTGGTGAAGAATAAGCAAGACAATCTTGAACAGAAGATCACAGTTGGAGAATTTTCTCTAACAGACGTTAAACACTTCTTATAGAGAGCTACAGAAATTAAGATAGTGTAATATTGCTACAAGTATAGATAAGTAAACCAAGGGAAAGAATAGAAAGGCTGGAAACAGAGTCTTACCTATATGGACGTTTAATTATTGACAAAGATGACAATACATAGTATCAAGGAAAAGATGATCTTTTCAATCGATGATAATGAGACCACTGGAGATAAGTGTGGGGGACAAAGAAGTTTGACCCCTACTTCACATCATACCCCTAAATCAATGCTGGTGGATTACAGAGTTGAAAGGCCAAATAAAGTTTCTAGAAGGTAATATAAGAAAATATCATCATGACTTTGGAGTGGAGAAACACTTTTTTTAAAGTACACAAAGAGCACTAATCGTAAAAGAAAAGATTGATTAAGTTAGACTCCATTAAAACTAACAACTTTTGTTCATCAAGTATCACCATTAACAGAGTGAAAATGCAAGCTACAGTACTGGAAAAGATATTTGCTACATATATAATTAAAAAGGATTCTTAGGCAGGATGTATATATAACTCCGACACATCATTAAGAAAAAGACAAATAATCCAATAGAAACATGGTCAAGAAACTTGAATAGGAACTTCACAAAAAAAGAAACCTATCAAAATAGCCAATAAGAATATTAAGAGGTGCTCAACCTCATTAGGAATGAGTGGAATTCAAATAAAAAACATTAAGAGATACCAATACACATCCACTGAAATAGTGAAAATAAAAGTACATCATCAAGTGTTGGTGAGGAATTGGAGCAACTGGAATTTTTATACACTGTGGTGGGAGTGTGTATTCGCACAGTCACCTTGGAAAACTGTACTGTAGTATCTACTGATTCCAAAGTCTGTGGTCCAGCAGTTCCACTCTAGGTATATATCCAACATGAATGTATGTACATGGGCACCAGGAGACTTAGAGAAAAATGTTCTTGGAAATCAAGAACTAGAAACAACCCAAATTTCCATCAACAATAGAATAAATAAATAAATTGTGGCATATTCATATAGTGAGACACTATGTAGCAATGAAAATGAACTAACTGTAGCTATACAAACATAAAATATGATGACTGTCACCAACATAATGCCTGCAAATGAAGAGAGGCACAAACAAATGAATACTGTATGTTTGCATTTATGTAAAGTTCAAAAAACAGGTACAACTATAATGTTTGATTATCACAAAATTATGTTTAGGGAGGAAGGAGGAAGCAGAGAATAGGAAAGGACACTAGTAGTCATTTTCTAGTCTCTTACTTTTAAAAAAAATCCTTTATTTTATTTCTTTGAATGTGTTAAAGTTATTTTGTATTCTGTCTAATAGTTTCAATAATCTGAATTATTTGGGGCTGATATTGTGATCTCTTGCTTCTACTGGCTCTTACTCATGGTGACACCAATTTGTGTGTTTTGTGATTTCCTTTTTACTGTTAACTCATATTTCCTGGGATAATGGTTGTGGCAATTTCCTGAGCTCTGGTTTGAAGAGAACTTCCTCTTCAGGGCTTGAATTTGTGTCTGCCATTCACTCTGGGTGCTACCATCCCAGGGTTATATTAAATTAAATTATTGACCTGTGATTTCTTTGAACCATCCAGATGGTTAATTAACACAGGGTGCAAAACTGTATTAGAGCTAGTTTGTGAGTTCTCAGGAGATACATTTTTTCCTCATATTTATCAGTCTGAGATAGGCAATTTTCCCTAGGGTCCTTTGGGAAAAAAAGAGAGTTAGGTATTTATTTCTAGTTATCCTTACTCTAAGAGAAAAAACCTATGGCCCACTTTGTATTTGGGGCCATAACTTCATGTAGCATTTTCTACTGGACTCCTTGTCTCCAGTGTCTATGACTTTATCTCCTATTCCCTGGACTCCACGATCCATGAAAACCAACTACTGTTTGAGTGATACTCTCAAAGGAAAGCTGGAGTCAGTGCTCTGCATACCCCACTGGGCTCCCACTTTCTCTCATTCATTGATCTTTGGGTATTCCTCACTAAACTGCCAGCCCATCGACACATTTTAAAAAGATATATATATATTTTTAAATCCTTAGAAGAAAACATAGAGGAAAAGCTTCATCACCTTGGATTTGGCAATTATTTCTTGGAAATGACACCAAAGGCACAGGCAAAAAAAAAGAAAAAGTAGATAAATTTGGCTACATCAAAATGTAAAACTTCCATGCACCAAAGGACGTAATCAATGAAGTGAAGAGGCAAACTTATGGAATGAGAAAAAATAATTGCAAGTTGTATATCTGATAAGGGGTTAACATCTAGAATATATATATATAAAACTATTACAACTTTGCCGGGTGTGGTGGCTCATGAGAGTTCGAGACCAGCCTGGCAACATGGTGAAACCCTATCTCTACAAAAAATTAGCCAGGCATGCTGGCATGTACCTGTAGTCCCAGCTGCTCAGGAGATTGAGGCGGGAGGATTGCCTGAGTCCGGGAGGTGGAGGTTGCAGTGAGCCGAGATCACACCACTGTACTCCAGCCTGTCCTGTCATGGGAAAAAAAAAAAAAGAAAAAAGAAAAAAGAAAAAAAAACTGCTACAGCTCAACAACAAAACAGCAAGCAACCTGATTTTTTTTTTTTTTTTTGATATGGTGTCTCGCTGTGTCACCCAGGCTAGAGTGCAATGGTGTGATCCATCTCAGCTGACTGCAACCTCCGCCTCTCAGGTTCAAGCGATTCTCATGCCTCAATCTCTCGAGTAGCTGAGACTACAGGTGCACACCACCATGCCTGGCTAATTTTTTTTTTTTTTTTTGTATTTTTAGTAGAGACATGGTGACCTCAAGTGATCCACCTGCTTTGGCCTCCCAAAGTGCTGGGATTACAGGTGTGAGCCATCATGCCTGGCCACAACCTGATTTAAAATAGGCAAGGAATTTAAATAGACATTCATCAAAGAAGATATACAAATAGCCAATACATGCACGAAAAGACGTTCAACATCACTAATCACTAAGGAAATGCAAATCAAAACCACAATGACATGCCAACCTCACCATCAAAAATAAAAAAATAAAAAAGATAAAAAACACCCAGAAAATAACAAGTGTTGACAAGGATGTGGAAAAGTTGGAACCTTGGGCACTGTTGGTGGCAATGTAAAATGGTGCAGCCAGTAGGGAAAACAGTATGACGGTTCCTCAAAAAGTTAAAAATAGAATGACCATATAATCCAGCAATACCACTTGTGAATATATACCCCAAATAATTAAAAACAGGATCTCAAAGAGAGACTTCTATACCCATGTTGACAGCAGCATTATTCATGAGAGCCAAAAGGTGGGAGCAACCCAAGTGTCCATCAACAGATGAATGAATAAACAAAATGTGTTGTATACAGACAATGGAATATTATTCAGCCTTAAAAAGGAAGGAAATTCTGACACATGTTGCAGCATGAGATGAACCTTGAGGACATTGTGCTAAGTGAATAAGCCAGTCACAAAATGACAAATACTGTAGAATTCCACTTACGTGATGGACCTAGAGTAGTCAGATTTATACAGAGAGAAAACAGAATGGTGGTTACCAGGGTCTGCGGAAAGAGGAGAATAGGGAGTTATTGTTTAATAAGTAGAGTTTCAGTTTTGTAAGATGAAAAGAGTTCTGGAGACGGATGGTGGTTAGGATTGCACAACAATGTGAATGCTTCATGCCACTGAACTGTATACTAAAAATGGCTAAGGTGGTAAATGTTATGTGCATTTTGCCACAGTTAAGAAATACATTTTTTGGCCAGGCTCAGTGGCTCACGCCTGTAATCCCAGCACTTTGGGAGGCCGAGGCGGGTGGATCACGAGGTCAGGAGATCAAGGCCATCCTGGCCAACATGGTGAAACCCTGTCTCTACTAAAAATACAAAAATTAGCTGGGTGTAGTGGTGCGCAACTGTAATGCCAGCTACTCAGGAGGCTGAGGCAGGAGAATCACTTGAACCAGGGAGTTGGAGGTTGCAGTGAGCTGAGATGGTGCCACTGCACCCCAGCTTGACAACAGAGCGAGACTCTGTCTCAAAAAAAAAAAAAAAAAAGAAATACATGTATAAGTTACTTTAAATATGTATCCTGCAATTTTAGTTGCTTTTATTCAGAGTGTCAGTCAGGGTACCCAGTCCACTCAAGCTGGAAATAAGATGCTGTCCATGCATGTTAAAAGTGATCCTTAATAGTTCCTTAAATGTAGCCCTCTTGCTAATCTGGAGGCTGCTGAGGAATTCTATCTTGGATAGCATGGTCCTTGCCCATGGCAGTACTGGTGCCGAAGGAGTGACATGTAAACCTCTGATTAGGAGCTTTAGGACCCAGTCAAGAGCCCATTTAGCACAGACTGATGTTAACATAGGCACTGACATGCCACATTGATTGGCTCCTCTGTCAGAAACACAGCTTGCAGAATCCAGTCCAGCACTCAAATGAGGCACCTGTCATTAAAGAGGCCTTGGGCACCAGCTCTGTAGTTAAGGTCACAAGTGCCTTTTTAATCTCTGCCAAGGTATAATTTGGAATCCTATATCTGACCATGTCATTGCCTCAAAAAACTCTGAATTCTCCAAACTCCACCAAAGCTTCTTCTAGGCTTAAATTCTGAAATGAAGGATCCTCAGGTTGTGATGGCTCTAATTGCTAAAAGGTGGCCTGTTCACGACATTCTTGTGATTTACATTTTTAAATACCCTCTCCTTTCATTAGGTGGGGATTTATCTGTCATTAGCATCCATTGTTACCACAGGAAATGACCTGGCCTTGGGCCCTCCACACAGGAAACTGTGGGAACCTGGGCTGGCTCCAGTGCTCATGTGTTGGCTCCAATCCAACACTCCAATCCAATTCAGTGACTCTTTGTTTTAAAGGGAAAGTATTTTATTTTCATGCCACCTTTTCCTTAGATAATTAGAAAGTTATCTTGGGGCAAAAATGTTGAGGTAATTAACATGATGGACTTGAAAGCAACATTTTAAAGCACAGAGCATAGTTGTCATCATTATGTAAGCATTTTTTATATCTTGCATTCTTAGGCTTTGCTTCTGGAATTGAAGGGGCACACCACCTGCCCGTTTACCACCCTAGAAATCATTGATTGCAAGATGGATCTGTGGTCTCTAGAGCGACTTGGGAAGGCTCTGCGGTTCAGTAGTTTGCATTCTCTTGTCCTCGATTACTGCAAGTAGGGCTGGAATTCCTGCAGGGCTCTTACAGCTGTCAGCTGGGGGAAGCAAAGATGGGGAGGGTTGGGGGGGTTGCATGTCCAGTTTCCTTGCACCTTATCAAGGCATGGCTGAAGAGGACCCTCTAAAACCTTAGAGTTAATGTTTCTGAGTAAATATTAGAGTTCTCAAGAAGAGTCACTTTCATTTATTTATTCTTTCAACAGATATTTGTTGAAGGCTAGTTTATGCAAGATATTGTGCTCAGTGCTAAGAAAGATACAAATATAGAAGGCAATGCTGCTGTTCCAAGGTGTCCTTGGTACAGTAGAGAAGAGATGCTCTTAATGCAAGGTAGAAAATCTGAAGACCACAAAAGATGTCCATGTATATTATTTTGGTAGTTTGGACAAGGGAAACCACAATTCCCTAGGTGACGGGTCAATATTCACCAGATGAGGAGGTAGAAAGAAAGGTGTGGTGGGCTGGGCACAGTGGCCCTCACCTGTAATCCCAGCATTCTGAGAGGCTGAGATGGGAGGATCACTTGAGCTGAGGTGGGGGATGAAAGCTGCGGTGAGCCGAGATCATATCACTGCATTCCAGCCTGAGTGACAGAGCAAGACTCTGTCTCAAAAAGAAAACAGAAGAGAGAAAGAAAGAGGAAGGAAGGAGGGGAGGAAGGAAGGAGGGAAGGAAGGAAGGAAGAAGGAAGGAAGGGAGGGAGGGAGGGAAAGAGGGAGGGAAAGGTGTGGTGTTGGGGAGGAGTGGAGCAAGTCCTTCAGAGCTGGGGTATCAAGCATGTTAAGGGAATGTCCACAAGATGAGAATAATAATAATATTTCCAGCTAATGGTTAATGAGTGTTTATTGTGTGCCAAACACGATGCAGGAATGAGCTCATTTCTCCTCCCAACAACCTCATGAGCTATGCACCATTACTATCCCTAGACTGTGGATGAGGTCCACAGACTTGTTCAAGGCTATTCAGTCCCCCAGGGATGGAACCTTGATATGGATTCAGGTTGTCTGAATCAGAGCCCACCTCCGATCCATGACACTAGATTGCCCGGGGTCTATAAGTTGCCGTCCACAAACAACTTCAAACTGTGTGTACCATCTGGAGTAAGTCACAGAACCTTTCTGGTCTGTAATGAAATGATCTCCCCCACTCCAGGAGTCTGTGATTCTGTGACTCTTCCCATGCAATTGGGTGGGGCCTTAGACTCAAAAGGCCAGTGGGCTGTGAGGAGAGAGAGGAGATTCGAGCCTGAGAAGTGGTAGCCCAGAGACACAGAACTGGGATCCGGCCAGGGCCCTGGTGGTAAAAGCTGGGGAGAGGGCGTTCTCTGTGGAGGTTCTCAGGGTTTCTGAAATGCTGGGAGGAACGTCAGGCAGGGTCTTGTAACAGGGGGCAGCAGGAGCCCAATGCACACGGGACGCCATGCAGTGACTGTAGGATCTGCTTGCGAGTCCCCCAGTTTCCCACACTATTGGGCAGCACCAGCCCCACTGCTAAGAGACCCCTCCAGGCTCCAGCTCCTGGGAGGGGCACCCAGAGACCTGCACTGGTGGGAAGAGAGAAGGAAGAAAGAAGGAATTCTCTTCTTCAGCAGACAACTTGTTGTAATAGTCAGATGACATACTGCCACCGACGCCAGGACACCTAGTGTTGTCAGGCTCGCCTAGCTGGGAATCACCACCCGAGACCTTAACACTGGTAACACTGCAGGATACTGGCCTCTGGGGGTTGCAGTTCTCTCCTCACTGTCTCCACTGAGGCTGTGAGGTCCATCAGACAGTCCTTTCTCACACAAGCTGCATCCCCATGCCCACCTTGGTAGGTGGCTCAGGGAAGGCCCTCAGTCATTACTTGTTCATGAATTGATACATGTTAAAAGTTATTTCTGTTCATCTCACCCACCTCATTTTAAGGTTCAAGCTTTGACATTCCAAATTCCTTAAAGATGTTGCTTTCCTTCACCAAGCCTCGGTTTCCTGACCCATGGCTTTTACCATTACCTCCCCGCAGAGGCTGTGGTTGAGGCACAAGATTTCACTTTGCAAAGTAAAGCCTGCAATGCAAGAGGAGGGAACAGCCCTGCTGGGAGTCTCTAGGACTCCACCTGTCTCTGCCCTTCTCTGTAGCTCTTCTCTCTGGGGTTTAGAGTTTGTTCTCCATCCGCTGCCCGGATTGGGTAGTTCCAACCATCTTCTGCTCCCTTTACCCAGGAGGCAGACTTCCGGCCCTTTCCCTCATGCCCAGGCTACCCACTATGGCCAACCCAGCCCACCCGCATAGCCAGCCCTGGCCCTGGAAGCTCAAATTAGGGATCAGCAGAAATGCCGCTAATTATCCTGGAAAGGGCTTTACAATTAGTAATCCAGTGAGTGGCACAGGTTTGTTTGGTTTTTTTTTTTGTTTTTGAGATGGAGTCTCACTCTGTCGCCCAGGCTGGAGTGCAGTGGCACGATCTCGGCTCACTGCATGCTCCGCCTACCGGGTTCACACCATTCTCCTGCCTCAGCCTCCTGAGTAGCTGGGACTACAGGCACCCGCCACCACGCCCAGCTAATTTTTTTTGTATTTTTAGTAGAGATGGGGTTTCACCGTGTTAGCCAGGATGGTCTTGATCTCCTGACCTCGTGATCCACCCACCTCGGCCTCCCAAAGTGTTGGGATTACAGGCATGAGCCACCGCGCCCGGCCCCACAGGTTTTAAAAGCCACTAATTTGGCCGGGCACGGTGGCTCATGCCTGTAATCCCAACACTTTGGAAGGCCAAGGCGGGCAGATCACCTGAGGTCAGGAGTTCGAGACCAGCCTGACCAACACGGTGAAACCCTGTCTCCACTTAATATACAAAAATTAGCCAGGTGTGGTGGCATGTGCCTGTAATCGTTGGTGAATTTCAGAGCAAGACTCTCTCAAAAAAAGAAAAAGAAAAAGAAAAAAAGTCACTAATTTGTTTCTATTGTGAAAATTGTCAGATTAAAGTGGAGTCACTTGTGTTGAACAACAACAACAAGAAAACCTGACAAACAGAGCCAGGGAAGGCCATGAAAGAAGGGCTCTCATGCATAAATGCCTGGTAACAAGAACTATCACAAAAGACCCTGTAGCAACCACAGCCTTGCACAAGGCCATCATAACCTTACACAAAAAAATACTTCTACAAGGACATCTACCCAGCAACTGTCCAACCTTAGTCTGGTGCCACCCTTGTTATTGATCCTTGTAGTCAAGGATAATTATCTGAAAACAATGATGTAATCCTCCTCACTTTTCATTGAAAGACCTTTGTCTTCCTCTTCCTCCCTGAATATGTGCATAGTTTACCATGGCCTGTGTATTCCCATTCCCATTGCAATTCTGGTTCTGAATAAACAGGCTCCTTTTAGAGAGCTTCTCTGTTATTTAAGTTGACACTGTCATTTCTTTTTAGATTTGGAAATGAAGAACTTGAGAGCATTTTCTCAGGCCTGGAGAACAACCAAAGGCTTCAAGGCCTCAGTCTGCGTTACTGTGGTCTGGGACCTCAGAGCGGGCTAAGGCTGGGTTCGGTCATCAGCCAGAGTGCCATTTGGTGAGACGTGTCCCCCACTGCCCCCTTCTAATCTTGGCTCTATTCTGTCTTGAGTTATACAATCTGTTATAATTCTAATAATCTCTTCTCCACTCTTGTTATTTTTGCTTGCCTTTTCTTAACCATAAGAGAAGGTCCTTTAGTTGAGTTTGAAAATCAGTGGTGTCACACTGAATGCAGGTGTTTGACCAGCTGACATGGTCACTAGGTCTATTTTTTATGACATGGCCTATTATTAATTAATTATGGTTATTCCTTATTATTTTATGACTAGGTATATTATTTCATCAGATGAAAACCTTAAATCCAATTTTTTTTTTTTTGAGACGGAGTCTTGCTCTGTCACCCAGGCTGGAGTGCAGTAGCACAATCTCAGCTCACTGCAAGCTCCGCCTCCCGGGTTCATGGCATTCTGATGCCTCAGCCTCCCCAGCAGCTGGGACTACAGGTGCCCGCCACCACGCCCGGCTAATTTTTTTGTATTTTTAGTTGAGATGGGGTTTCACCATGTTAGCCAGGATGGTCTCTATCTCCTGACCTTGTGATCCGCCTGCCTTGGCCTCCCAAAGTGCTGGGATTACAGGCGTGAGCCACCGTGCCCAGCCCTTAAATCCAAATTTGAGGAAGTAGAACTAACATAAAATAAACAGTGTATTCTGCTCCCTTCCCCAGCGAGCTGTTCCTTGATGGCAATTACTTGGAATGTTCCGGAGCACTGGCTCTTCTCAGGCCCATAGCAGGCTTTGCGGAGACACAGGGGGAAGACCAGCCAGCCCCAGGCTCACCAGACACTGGAAATCCCCCTCAGCGGCTCCAAGGTAAGTGCTGAGGAACTTGGCACTAAAATCCTGTTGGTGCCACCTAAAAGGAGGACGCTTTGCTCTGTGATTAAAAGTGACCTTCTCAGTGGTCAAGTGTGATTCTTCTTCTTGAATATGTGTGGGAGACAAAATAATGGCTCCCAAAGATGTCTTTGCCCTAATCTTCAGAACCTGTGAATATGTCACTTCACATGGCAAAAGGGACTCTGCCTGTGTGAGTTAAGGATGAGAGAGGGAGATCATCTTGGATCATCCTCGTGGGTCCAGTGTAATCACGAGGATCATGATAGGAGGGAGGCAGGAGAGTCAGAGAAGATGTGACCATGGAAGCAGAGGTTAGAGTGATGTGAGGAAGGGGCCAGGAGCTGGGGTACGTAGGTGGCCTCTACAAGGTGGAAAAGGCAAGTAAACTAATTTTCCCCAGGGCCTTTAAAGGAATACAGCTCTGCTGACACCTTGACTTTCACCTTTAAGACCTATTTCAGAGTTCAGAACTCCAGAACTATAGGATCAGAAACTTGTATTGTTTTAAGGCACTAAGTGTGTGGTCATTTGCAACAGCAGCAATAGAAAACTACTATAGTGTGTTAATCAGATTCTTTAGGTTAAAAGTGAAAGCAACCAAACAGGATTAAAGACCAGTATGGGTTTATAGGCTGACATAACTGGGACATCCATGGGTACAGCTGTCTTCAAAGATGATCGAATTCAGGGGCTCAAAACACCCCACCAGGAGACCCAGAATTTGCTGCTCTTGACTCTACTTCCCTTCCAAGGGTTGGCCTTTCTCCCTCCGGCTGCAGCCAGGCTTTCTCCAAGCAGGAAAAGACAGCTGATGTGCCTGCCAACAGTCCCAGGGCTACATCATCATGACTGTAATCAAACAGAAAGTGAAAGCTTCTTTCTTCCAATGACTATGTGTCAAATCCCATACGGAGATTCTGATTGACCCTCCTTGGGTCACATACTGACCTCTTGGCCCAATCTCAGGTCAGAGCGAAATGTGATTGGCCAGGACGCATCCCACGCCCATCCTGGAGGGTAGAGCACTGTGACGGGCAGCCCTGCCAGCACCACTGGATTTGCAGTGGGGAATTGGCAGTCCCCCAAAGAGTAGGCAGATGGGAGGACAAATGCAGGACAGACAAGAACAACAGCTGCTTACTCCCCTGTAAATGGCTTTCCATAGCTGACATTTAACTTCAGCCGACAGCCACATATTAGACAGTAGGGTGAGGAGTAGATGGGAAAGAGAGGCTAAATCTGGCAACCCTATTCCATTCCCATCACGTGTGAACAAGGTTTCTCAGCATTTCAACTATAACAATGAAAAATGGAAATAGAATTGATGCTGAACTCTGCCTCATGCTAGCAGTAATATTCAATGAATACATGAATTCATTATAAAAACAAATAAATAAAACTGCACTATCCATCTCACTGAGCAATGCATTCAAAAAATTTATTTTTCTATGTAATTAGAATCAATTACATACTTCTAAAAATTGATGAAAAACTGGAGAAGAAACTTTTTTTTTTTTTTTGAGACAGGGTTTCACTCCATCACCCAGGCTGGTGTGCAGTGGTGTGATCTTGGCTCACCACAACCTCTGCCTCCCAGGTTCAAGCAGTTCTCCTGCCTCAGCCTCCGGAGTAGCTGAGATTATAGGTGCAGGCCACCATCATACCCAGCTAATTTTTGTATTTTTAGCAGAGACAGGGTTTCTCTACGCTGGCTGAGCTGGTCTCAAACTCCTGGATGGCAGCGATCCACCCATCTCAGCCTCCCAAAGTTGGGATTACAAGTGTGAGCCACCGCGCCCAGCCTGATCCCAAGAAATTTTGAAATTTGAGTATTTGTACATGTAACATTTTTATTACAAAGAAGTATAACAGGATTAGCTATAAAATCTTTTTTTTTTTTTTTTTTTTGAGATGGAGTCTTGCTCTGTCGCCCAGGCTGGAATGCAGTGGCATGATCTCGGCTCACTGCAAGCTCCACCTTCTGGGTTCACACCATTCTCCTGCCTCAGCCTCCCAAGTAGCTGGGACTACAGGCGCCCCCCACCACGCCAGGCTAATTTTTTGTATTTTTAGTAGAGATGGGGTTTCACCGTGTCAGCCAGGATGGTCTCGAGCTCCTGACCTCGTGATCCACCTACCTCGGCCTCCCAAAGTGCTGGGATTTCAGGCATGAGCCACCGCACCTGGCCTATAAAATACTTTTTAATACAAGATTTTACAGAATAAATAGAATGGAAATATATGTAAAACACAAGAAGAAAAGGGAATAATGTAAAAATGTCAATTGCTAAAGAAGAGTTTGCTCATGTTTTCTGTTGTTGCGATATTCTGGTAAGTGATGGCGAGTATCAAATGGTTTGGTTTATATTCCATTTGATACACTTAAGGGAATGATATAGCAGATTTTATTTTTAAATGTCACTATTTGCCATAATCTAAAAATCTCTTTTGAAAATTTAAAAGTGATGATGAACTGGGCCCGGTGGTTCATGCCTGTAATCCCTGCACTTTGGGAGGCTGAGGCAAGCGGATCACCTGAGGCCGGGAGTTCAAGACCAGCCTGATCAACGTGGAGAAACCCCAACTCTACTAAAAGTATAAAATTAGCTGGGTGTGGTGGCTCATGCCTGTAATCCCAGCTACTTGGGAGGCTGAGGCAGGAGAATCACTTGAACCTGGGAGGCAGAGGTTGTGGTGAGCCAAGATCGTGCCATTGCACTCCAGCCTGGGCAACAAGAGCGAAACTCCGTCTCAAAAAAAAAAAAAAAAAAAGTGACGTTGAAAATCTTAGATACTAACCTAAAAATGTGCAAGATGGTCCATAAACTTTTTAATATTCCTCTATGTTGTTATGGGAACAAAAATGTTTGAGACCACTGCTTTTTGAGGACCAAATGTTTGATCTCCTGTTCTGTGAGCTACTCCCAGGCCTCTCGGTAACTCTTCCTTCTGGCCAGAGTCAGCCACAGGGGCTTTCAGTTGATGACAACCAAAGGGGCCCAAATGCCTTAGGACCCAATGACAAGTTTGTTTTCTTAATCATAATTACTTGTTATAGTGTAGAAATACAATTTTATTTGCTGTTTTTTGTTTTGTTTTGGTTGGTTTGAGATGGAGTCTCACTTTGTCACCCAAGCTGGAGTGCAGTTGGGCGATCTCGGCTCACTGCAATCTCCACCTCCTGGGTTCAAGCTATTCTCTGGCCTCAGCTTCCCAAGTAGCTGGGATTATAGGCATAAGCCACCATGCCCGGCTAATTTTTATATTTTTTTAGTAGAGGTGGGCTTTCGCCATGTTGGCCAGGCTGATCTCAAACTCCTGACCTCAAATGATCCACCTGTTTTGGCCTCCCAAAGTGCTGGGATCACAGGCTTGAGCTACTGTGCCTGGCCTAAAATACTTTTTAATACAAGATTTTGCAGAATTAGTAGAATTGAAATATAAGTAATATGTCAATTTTTACATTATTCCCTTTTCTTCTTGTGGGCAGGAAAGGGTGCGGGTGGGCAGGGAGGCCTGTTGGGTGGCTGTTGACCTCTAGGAGAGAGCTGTCTACCCAGGTGAGACAAGGGCAATAGCGGGGAAGGCAGCGAGAAGCAGTCAGACTCTGCATTATCCCACTTCCTAACGGATTGGATGTAGGGTACAAGAGAAAGGAAGAGTCCAGAATGACTCCAGAGTGATATGTTCTAATATGTTGCTTTAAACATGCCAAAAAAGAGTTCCTCCCTGCTACATTCTTACTAATTCCAGGGCTTTGGAGTCACTTTTATAGACGGCAGCTTTGAAACATAAAGAAGAAGCAACACGAGGCTGGCAGGATGGTTCTTGGAGCTCTACTTGGTTGCATGTTCACCCTGAGACTTTAAGGAAAGAAACACAAAAACCACAGGACCCAGCTGGGTGCAGTGGCTCACACCAGTAATCCCAGCACTTTAGGAGGCCAAGGCAGGCAGATCACTTGAGGTCAGGAGTTTGAGACCAGCCCGGCCAACATGATGAAACCCCGTCTCTACTAAAAATACAAAAAATTAGCCGAGTGGGGTGGTGCACACCTGTAATTCCAGCTACTCTGGAGGTTAAGGTGGGAGGATCACTTGAACCCAGGAGGCGAGGGTGCAGTGAGCCGAGATGGTGCCATTGCACTCCAGCCTGGGCGACAGGGCAAGACTCCATCTCAAAAAAAAAAAAAAAAAAAAAAACCACAGGACTGAACTGAAGTGAATGTGATCTTGACAAGCGGCCAGATCATTCTCTTTTGTGAGAAATATCTCTGCCTAAAGTGAACATAAAATAAAGGCCATAACCAACATCAAGGTGTGTCAGAAACCCATTCATTTGACTTTGAACAGGCTACTTTTTAAAAAGTCTTTTTTTTTTCAACCAGCCAAACAGAGAGGAAGTTCAACTATGAACCAGATTACAAAATCGTCTGAAGCTGTAACAGTGAAAACTACTTCAGGGAAGAAAAAGAGAAAAAAAGGTATTTTTTCTGTTGTCGTTTCAACTGTTCCTTCCACTTCCCTCATCTTCTAAATCACTTCCTTCTTTCATGAGCTGTGTGTTCCACTACTAAGTAGTTGCACCAAACAGAGAAAAACTCAAGTGGAGAAAAAAGAACACTCAATGTCTTGTGACTTCATGTAAACCAAACACCAAATGGCTTTGCCACGGCCATCAGAGGAATTCATCTTTGACATATTCAACACTCCAAAAAAAAAAAAAGAGTAATGGGGCCTCAGCTGGTTTGGGAATATCTCTGCAATGAACAGCCTGTGGAATCTGATCAATTCAGCTCACAGACTTCCATCCTATGATTTTTACTTAGAATCAGCAACTGTGTAATCTAGAAGGAATTTGAAGAAATCAACAACTCCGTAACCTCTGAACTGGGTTAGACTATATGAGAAGCTATCTAAGTATTAAAGATGGGCAGCTAAGCATTAGGGACCCAGATTCTATCCCTGACACTTCCACTAATGTCTGGCTCTCAGAATCCTCTTCTGCAAAATGAGAACTTTTCACTCACAGGATCCTAAATTCCACCCCAGCTTTACCATTTTGAAATTCTAAAGAGACAACGCAAGATTATCACTGCGTGGTCATGAACACAGTCTTTGGGAAGCTCCTTGTGGAGGCTAATCTAAATTTGTGTTGTTCTGTTTTAGTCCGTTTCATGTTTTTCTCTACCATGAGTCTGGGGGAGGGCAACTGGCCCTTATAATGAAGCTTGTCACCTTTTGGCTTTCTCTTCTTCAATATTCATCTGTTTTTCTGCAGTCGTTTTCTGTCCTGGAAATTATCCTTATAACTCCTCCATGAAATATCATTGAATTAGAAAATTACAAATTCTTATGATCCAAAATGTCAAATGAAAATGTAAAGTAAGAAAATTCATCAGACTGGCCAGGTGTGGTGGCTCAAGCCTATAATCCCAGCACTTTGGGAGGCCGAAGCAGGCAGATAACCTGAGGTCAGGAGTTCGAGACCAGCTTGGCCAACATGGTGAAACCCCTTCTCTACTAAAAAAAATACAAAAAAAATTAGCTGGGCATAGTGGCAGGTGCCTGTAATCCCAGTGACTCAGGAGGCTGAGGTAGGAGAATCGCTTGAACCCAGGAGGGAGAGGTTGCAGTGAGCCAAGATTGCACCATTGCACTCCAGCCTGGATGACAAGAGCAAAACTCTATCTCAAAAAAAAAAAAAAAGAAAATTCATCAGACTGTCTCTGTTATCTGATATTGGCTAATAAAGGCTATTAATATAGCTTTTCCACTGGGCAGAGCTAGTTTTGGAAAGTCTATTAAAGGAAGGAAAAAAAAGAATCAAGTGAGGTTATCATTTGTTTTTGACAGTGTCTTAGTCAGTTTGGGCTGCTAGAATAGAATACAATAAAGTGAGTGGCTCAAATAGCAAACATTTATTCCCCACAGTTCTGCAGGCTGAGAAGTCCAAGATGAAGGCACTAGAGGATTCAATGTCTGGAGAGGGCTGCTTCATAGATGGCCATTTTTTTCCAGTGTTCTCTCATGGTGGGAAGAAGGCTAGAGAGCTCCCTGGGATCTCTTTCCTAAAAGTACTGTGAACCCAGGAAATCTGAGACAGGTCTCAGTTAATTTAGAAAGTTTATTTTGCCAACACTTGGGTAGGTAGTGGAAAATTACAGTCAAAGGGGGTTGTTCTCTTGTGGGCAAGGGCGAGGGTCACAAGGTGCTCAGTTGGGGAGCTTCTGAGCCAGGAGTAGGAATTTCACAAGGTAATGTCATCAGTTACAGCAGGAACCGGCCATTTTCACTTCTTAGAAGGAGCATTTGTCATATAGAATGATTGGTGATGGCCTGGATACAGTTTTGTATGAATTGAGAAACTAAACGGAAGACACAAGGTCCAAATAAGAGAGGGAGAAAAACAGGTATTAAAGGATTAAGAATTGGGAGGACCCAGGACATTCAATTAGAGAGTGCCCAAGGGGGTTCAGCATAATTACTTGCTTGGTTGGCGAGTTTTTGGGCTTTATCCTTCAGTTTTTTATGTTGTCATATATCAGGCCAGATTGATTTAGGTAAAAACAACACTCTTCATTTACAAATATGCAGCGTCCTCCTTTTTCAGCAGTGAGTAAGTCGAGGCCTATTCCTGTCTTCTTATATTCATAATAAAAAAAACAAAACAAAATAGTATTGAAGTGCTGGTGTCATGAGGGGAACAGGAAGCTGTTTGGTCCTATTTGCAAATTGAATTTTGTGAGTAAGGAAAAGTAGTGTGCATGTGCCTGTCCAATTAGCAGGTAAACACATGTAGGTGGAGGATCCACAGAGGAAGAAGAGACCTTTTGTAAGGCAAAACTGGAAATGTAAAGTGAAAAGATGAGGAGAAAAATTGATCTTGAGGGACAGAAGTTGGAAGGCTAGCTGCTTCTTTAGTTACCTTATTAGCATAAGCGTTGCCTTGAGCAATGGGATCTGATGCCTTTTGATGGCCCTTGCATGAATGACCCTAGCTTCCTTGCAAGTAGAGCAGCTTTAAGAAGAGTTTTTATTAAGGAGGCATTAATGATGAAGGACCCTTGTGTAGTGAGGAAATTTCTTTCTGCCCATATAACAGCATGGTGGTGCAGGATATGGAAGGCATATTTAGAGTCAGTGTAAATATTGACACATAGTCCCTTTGCAAGAGTGAGGGCCTGAGTTAAGGCAATGAGTTCGGCTTGCTGAGAGGTAGTGGAGCGGGGCAGAGCAGTAGCCTCAAGGATAGATGTGGAAGATACTATAGCATAGCCTGCCTTTGCTGGTGAGTGGCGAATGGGCCTGGAAGAACTATCATCAATAAACCAAGTGTGGTCTGGGTGGGGAACAGAAAAGAGGGAAATATGGGGAAATGGGGAGAATGAATCATTTAGTTAGGAAGGCAAAACCAGGTATCCAAAGGTGAAAGTACCTAACCATGTGTAGGAAGGAAAGGAGTTGTTTTGTAGAAGGAGTTGGGGTTTGGAAGATTAGCCAGACATGATCAGCAGGGAGAGAACCTGTGTTTTTATGAAGAATTATGCCAAGATAGGTAATGGATGAGGAAGAAATTTGGGCTTGACTGAAGTAATGGGGGCTGTCCCTGAAACCTTGCAGCAGTACAGCCCAGGTAAGTTGCTGAGGCTGATGGGTGTCAGGGTCAGTCCAAGTGAAAGTGAAGAGAGGCTGGGATGAAGGGTGCAAAGGAACAGTAAAGAAAGCATGTTTGAGATTCAAAACAAAATAATGGGTTATGGAGGGGAGGTATTGAGGATAGGAGAGTATATGGGTTTGGCACCATGGAGTGGATAGGCAAGACAATTTGGTTGATAAGGTGCAGATCCTGAACTAACCTGTAAGACTTGTCCAGTTTTTGGACAGGTAAAATGGGGGAATTGTAAGGAGAGTTTATAGGCTTTAGAAACCCATGCTGTAGCAGGCAAGTGATAACAGGCTTTAACCTTTTTAAAGCCTGCTGTGGGATGGGATATTGGCGTTGAGTGGGGTAAGGGTGATTAGGTTTTAATGGGATGATAAGGGGTGCATGATTGGTCATCAAGGTAGGTGTAGAGGTATCTTATATTTGTGGATTAAGCTAGGGAGACACAAGGGGAGGCTGCGAAGGAGGCTTTGAACTGGGGAAAAGGGGAGCAATGAGGTGTGGCTGTAGCCCAGGAATAGTGAGGGAAGCAGATAATTTAGGTAAAATGTCTCAACCTGATAAGGGAGCTGGGCAGGTGGGGATAATTAAAAAGAAGTGCATAAAAGAATGCTGTCCAAGTTGGCATCAGAGTTGGGGAGTTTTAAGAGGCTTAGAAGCCCGGCCGTCAGTACCCACAACAGTTATGGAGGCAAGAGAAACAGGCCCTTGAAAAGAAGGTAATGTGGAGTGGGTAGCCTCTGTATTAATTAAGAAGGGGACGGACTTACCCTCCACTGTAAGAGCTATCCATGATGGTCCAGGAGGATTTTTAGGTAATCAGGCAGCATCAGTCTTCAGCCACTAAGCCTAGAAGATCTGGGAAGGAGTTAGTCAGAGAGCTTTGGGCCAGAGTTCCAGGGGCTCTGGGAGTGGCTGCCAGGTGAGTTGGACAGTCTGATTTCCAGTGGGGTCCCACACAGATGGGACATGGCTTAGGAGGAATCCCAGGCTGTGGGCATTCCTTGGCCCAGTGGCCAGATTTCCAGCACTTGAAGCAAGATCCTGGGGGAGGAGGTCCTGGAGGAATGCCTGGCCGCTGCAGTTCAGGCATTTTGAAGTTCTTCTGTGCTGGAGATGTGGCTGGGGTTTCTCTCACAGCGGAGGCAAGTAATTGCAACTCTTCTCTATTATTGTCCACCTTGAAAGCGAGGTTAATTAAGTCCTGTTATGGGGTTTGAGGGCTGGAATCTAATTTTTAGAGCTTTTTCTAATGTCAAAAGCAGATTGGGTAATACAATGTATATTGAGAATAAGACAGCCTTTTGGCCCTTCTGGGTCTAGGGCGGTAAAGGGTCCGAGGGCTGTTGCCAAATGGGCCATGAACTGGGCTGGGTTTTTATATTTGATGAAAAAGAGCCTAAATGTTAACTGATTTGGGAGAGGTCGGATAAAGAAGAAGGAGCACTAACCTTGACTATGCCTTCAGCTCCAGCTACCTCTTTAAGAGGAAATTGTTGGGCAGGTCGGGGAGGGCTAGTCATGGAATGAAACTGTAAGCCAGACAGGGTGTGAGGAGGGGAGGTGATAAAAGGATTATAGGGTCAGGGAGTGGAGGCTGAGGAAGAATTGGGACCTGGCTCGGCCTGGCAAGGAGCAGTCTGGGGAGGAGGGAAGAGGTCAGATGGGTCCGTAGAAAAGGAAAATTGAAAAGACTCAGCAATGCTTGGGGTTGGGACTGAAGGGACAGGAGGGAGGGAAAGAAGGAAGATTTGGGATGAGTCGCATTGGCAACAGAGACTAGGGAGGAGCCGACGTATAAAAGAATGCCTGGACATCAGGCACTTCAGACCATTTGCCCATTTTACGACAAGAATTATCTAGATCTTGTAGGATGGAGAAATTGAAAGTGCCATTTTCTAGCTATTTGGAGTCATTGTCAAGTTTGTATTGGGGTCAAGTGGTATTGTAGAAGAAAATAAGGCATTTAGGTTTTAGGTCAGGTGTGAGTTGAAGAGGTTTTAAGTTCTTGAGAACACAGGCTAAGGGAGAAGAAGGAGGAATGGAGGATGGAAGGTTGCCCATAGTGAAGGAGGCAAGCCCAGAGAAAAGAGAGGGTAGAGACACGGAGGGTGGGGGTACTTGCCCCCAGGGGAGGTGGTGCTTTCCACCAAGGTGAAGGATAAAGGCAGGCATCCCCACAGTGATCAGACACCTCTGAAATGTGGGTGAATAATCAAGCAGGCATCCCTGCAGTGATTAAACACCAAGGGAAGACTGTCTTCCAGAGTCGGTGACTGACGCCAGAGTTCACAGCTAAAATGTGTCTCCTCTGTCTCTACCAGAAATGGAAAGGAACTGAAATTAAGGGAAGGGAGAGATGGAAGGGTGGTGCCAAAATTGAAAGGAGAAAGAGGTTGAGGGATAGTGAGACAGGTTGGAGAAGAGAATAAAAAGAGGCTGCTTACCCGATTTAAAATTGGTGAGATGTTCCTTGGGCTGGTTGGTCTGAGGACCCGAGGTCGTAGGTGGATCTTTCTCATGGAGCAAAGAGCAGGAGGACAGGGGATTGATCTCCCAAGGGTGGTCCCCTGATCTGAGTCACCAAATGTCATGTGCGTTTGTGTGAAGAGACCACCAACAGGCTTTGTGTGAGGAATAAAGCTTTTTAATCATCTGGGTGCTGGTGGGTTGAGTCTGAAAAGAGAGTCAGTAAAGGGAGTTAGAGGTGGGACAGTTTTATAGGATTTGGGTAGCTTGGGCTCAGAGGCCTGACAAGGCCCAAGTTACAACAGTCCTTTCAGCTACTAATACTCCATTACAGACGGAGGAGGCAGCCCTGAGCTTACAAAATGATGGGTTTATATGGGGGAGAGAAACCCTGGGGTTGTTTGTTGGTTAACTCTGCCACATATCACCTTGTGATGTTTATGGTACTGGAGGGTGTAGGTAAAGTTTGTTTATGCTTTCCATGACCTCCCGCTGTGTGGTCCGGATGGTTTATAACCGGGGTTTGCTTTATAGCAGTAAGACGTGATAGGTAAAGTCTGCTGGCTTCACCGTGGTGCCTAGATAAGGGCTTAGAAATGTAAAAAGGCCTGTGGGGAGGGGATTGGTGTTGGCAATACCAAGAAGCTTTTTTTGGGGCAGTTTGTCTCTAACATTCCAGCCTTTTAATAGGTAATAGAAGAGGGACGCCATTGTCGTTTGGCTACTTCCTGCTGGGAAGGGGTGACGGTTATGGGGAAAGGCTGGACGGTAGGGACTGCTGTTCTTGGAGCTGTTGGTATTCCTGGAGCAGCATCATATTTTGTATTGTCCAGCGGGTGAAGGCTCTGATACGGTCCTGTAAAAACTGGGTTAGAAGTCATAGGAGACTTGAGCTGAATGCTGGAAAGAGAAGAATGGTTATGGCTGGGCCTAGGAGGGGCGTTAGCCATGGAAACCAGGTGCTAAAGGACCAGGAGGGCCACGCTGGCCACTGGGGGACATTTTTCTTAATTTTTTGTGTTCAGTCCTTTAGTCTTTTTACAGCATCTTGTACTAAGCCAGATTGATTAAGATAAAAGCAACACTGTTTATCTAGAAAAAGGTAGAATCCTCCTTTTTTGGCTGTGAGTAAGTTTAAGCCTCTGTGGTTTTGAAGAACTACCACTGCTAAAGAATCTATTTGTGATTGGAGAGTTGTAATGGATTTGGCTATGTCTGCCAAGTTATTTGTGAGGTCTTTGGAGAGGGATTGGTAATAGAAAACGGAGGTGGCTAATCTCGCAATCACAGTTCCAACTTCTGTAGTTATTCCAAGGGCTACTAACAGAGGTGTGAGTTATATAGCATGGCGGTGTCAGATAGGGGTATTAACTGGGATTGGTAGGGGCTGGTCTCCTGGGGCAGTGTTGATTTTTGGACTGAGGAAAACCAGGGTGCAGGTGCCTCTCCAGTTAGAGGAGAGGCAAATATAAGTTGAGGTACCACAGAGGAAAAGTCTGCCTTGGCTTGGTAGACAGAACTTGTTGCATATGCTGAAAAGATGTACTGTTTTGTTATTTTCATGCATCCATACTTCTAGGGTCCCGGCTAGGGCTGCTGCTGTAAGTGGTTGTAAAGGGGTGTTTGGTTTGGGCTGGGAGGCTTTTGGGCTGTTTTTTCCCAGTGTGAGAGGAAGCGTTTTGTGTTTACTAAGATTCATGTGGGAGTGTGGCTGGATGTTGGGATAAGGAGACAGTTGCGGGTGGTGGGTGCAGGGATGGTGCATGGAGAGGGGAGCCAAGGGAAGAGGGATAAACAGGGGAGACATTGGCCATTGCACTACTCTGAAGTTTTGTTAATGAGGTGGGAGGTGTTAAGGGCTGGGGGGCTGGAGAAAGGAAGCCTGTCTTTATTGTTGGCAGCTTTGAGAGTAGTATGTTTGCTGGAAGGTTTGAGTTGTAAGGTATAGTTTCACAGTTTGGAATTTAGGTGACTGAGGGGACTGCCAGAGGGTAGATGTCATTGGTCGCACAGTGATGCTGGATAAGATAAGATTGAGTGGGTTGTTATGGCTCCTAATACGGGTTTTATTACGGCTGTGGCAGGGGGATAGGTTGGGGATAGGTCGCGTAAGTAGGGATGTAAAGTTGTAACCACCGGACCAAACTCGCTAGCTAACTTGGGGGAGATTTTTGTTAATGCCTGTATGTTGAGTTTGAGGGGGCTGTTAATGAGGATTTTAGGATGGTAGGTTACTTGGGTGGAAGTTCAGTTATAGGCTGAGGCAGGGATTATATTGTATGTTGTGGAGTGGAGGGATACGCAGAACCAGAAGTCTCTTGCCAGGGAGGAACTGGAGTTTTTTAGTTTCTGTATAGGTGTTTAGGGGTTGTAGGTATTGGTTGGGCCGAAAGAAGGGTTGGAGTATTAATTATGGGACAGGTTAGAAAGGCAGAAAGTGAGCAGAAAAGTAAATAGTTTGATTTTGTCCGGAGTGAAGCCGTAGAGAGAGCCTTGGAGGAAAAGTTCGGTTATCCACTCGAAAAAGGCTTCCAGAGTGTTGTTCCATGGGTGGAACCAGGAAATATTCTGTGAGAGGCGTGAAGGAAGAGAGTGAAGTGGCAGGACAGACAGAAGCAGGGCATCTAGGGAGGATGGGGGAATGCTTGTTTGTTAGCGATTGTGATTTTTGCTATAAGGATAACGATTAGGCAGAAGGCTAAAGTGAGGGAGACTTTTTGGCTGGTATTCCAACTGGAAGGAGTTACACTATATAATTTTACTGTAAACAATAGGGTAAGTAGTATAATAGATGGGGAATGGAGACCTCCTTGAGAAGAGGCGGCAGAGCATATATGTCAGTTTGAAGTTACGTTTTTTAGTGAGGTGAATAGGTGAGGGGAGAAGAAATATGGGTGGAAGGGGAGATATGGGGGACGTGCATTAATATGGAAGGATTGGTGGAGAGATGTCAGGATTCTGTCGGTTTGGCACTGGGGTAGGACTAGCTTCTGGTCCTTAACTCTCCAGCCCCCCTGGAGGAAGGCTCCTTGTTGTAGTAATGAGGCGATTTCAGTGGGGGCGTATTGAGGTTGGATTGCAGGGGTAATGAGGAGGAGGGAGGCAGGAGCGGAAAAAAGGGAGGCTTCTTTTGCTGCTTTATCAGCCTTTCTGTTCCCTCTTGAGATTTTATCTGTTCCTGTTTGATGTCCCCGACAGTGCATAACTCCCACTTCAGTTAGGAGGTGTGCGGCCTGAAGGAGTTGGTAAATAAGGGGGCCGTTAGTGATGGGGGTCCCTTTGGCAGTAAGAAATCCTCTCTCATGCCAGATGGCGGTGTGGGAATGAAGAATGTGATATGCATATTTGGAGTCTGTGTAAATGTTGACTCGTTTGCCTTTGGAGAGGGTTAGGGCTCTGGTGAGAGCTATGAGTTCTGTTTTCTGAGAGGAGGTTCCTGGAGGTAGGGGCTTAGCTTCAATTACTCAGTTAAGGGAAACAACCGCATACCCAACAATTTTCGGAGGGCCAGTGGGCCCAGAAGAGGAGCCATCTATAAATAGCTGGTCATCGGGGTTGGTGAGAGGCTCGGAGGAAATGTTTGGAAAGTGTGGCTGCAGGTGATCTAGGATGTCAGGGTAAGAATGAGTAGGAGGGGAAGAAGACACAGGGAGTAAGGATGCTGCGTTGAGGGGAGCACTGTTGGCAAGACTGAATTTAGGATTTTTGATAAAGAGAGCATGGAGTAATTGTATTTGGGAAGGAGGAAGGGAGCCTAAAGCTCAGGGGGAGAGGAGATCCTGTATATTATGAGGACTGTAAACAGTGATATTTTGACTGCATATTAGTTTTTTGCTTTTTAGAGTTAAAGTGGCCGCTGCTGCTAGCCTTTTAAGACAGGTTGGCCGTCCTCCAACTGTGTTGTTTAATCGTTTGGAGAGGTAGGCTACAGGGAGCGAAGAAAGGGGGATTTCTTTTTTGTTGTCCTAAGACACCGAGGGCTGTTCCTCAGCTTTTGGCAGTACAGATAGTGAAAGGTTGGGAGATATCAGGTAAGGACAGAGCTGGTGTAGTGACAAGAGCGGTTTGGAGTTTGTGGAAGCTGGGGAGTATGTTATGTGAGGGATTTAGGGGTTTATTGAGAGGGCCTTTGGCCGCTTTATAGAGGGGGCGAACTAGGAAGCACAGTTGGGAATCCATATTTTAAAGAAGGCTGCTAATCCTAAGAAGGAAAGGATTTTGCTTTTGGAGGAGGGAGCGGGTAGATGATCTATTAATGCTGCTTGGGCTGGCCTCATAGCCCAGGCCTCAGGGGAAAGTTGAATTTCTAAGTAGGTCACCATGGAGGTGGAGAGTAGTGTGGAGTTTTGAAAGGATGTCTCTGCCTAGGAATGGAGTTGGGCATGAGGGCAGGACTAAGAAAGAGTGAGTGAAGGAAAAGGTGTGCAGGGAGCAGAAGGGTGGTGGGGGGCTCGGGGTTTGGAGACTTGTCCATCAATTCCTGTAACAGAGAGCTGGGAGGACTCAGTGGGTCCTGAAAAATTAGGTAAAGCAGAGTAGGTTGTCCCGGTATTAATTAGAAAAAACATACTCGCCTACCTGCCACCATCAGGGCTACCCTTGACTCGGATGAAGTGATGGTAGTTGCCAGGGTGTCTGTTCCAGGACACCATCAGTCTTCAGCGGCAAGGCCGATGAGATCCAAGTAGCAGGTTTTGGCCAGCTCAGGAAGGGATGGGGGCGGTCCTTGTGGGGGTTGCTCACAGTCCAACTTCCAGTGGGGTCCTTCACAGAGGGGGCACAGCCTGGTGGGCTTACCTGGGTTAGGGCATTGTCTGGACTAGCGGCCTTCACTGCCACACTTGAAACAGGTGCCAGGTGGAGGTGGATTGCTAGGAGGTTTCCGTGTGGAGCTGCGGCCCCATGGGCCTGCAGGGCCCCAGATGACAGAGGTAAGCATTTGAAACTCTGCCTGTTTTTGCCTTTTTTTCCTCATCATGATTGTTAAAGACTTTGAAGGCTAAATTAAGAAGGTGGGGTTTGAGGGCCATTGTCAACCTTCTGAATCTTGTGCTGAATATTGGTGGTTTTGGCTGGGGACTGCCTTTGCACCAGTAGGCTGGGCAGGAGCCTGGTGATATGGTATCAGCATGTGCCTGAGCTAGGGTCCAGATACAGTCCAGGTCTTCTGGGGTGGGGGTGGAAGAGAGGATAACATAGAGGTCATGCCAGGTTAGTTCATAAGACTGGGTAAGGTACTGAAACTCCCTAATATAAGAGGCAGAGTCCTCTGGAAATGAACTCCTTTGTTAATTAGAGAGAGATCAGTGAGGGAAAAGGGAGCATGAATTTTATCAATACCTTCAGCTCTTGCTACTTCCCAGAGAGGAAGCAAGGGAGCTGGTTGCCGAGCATGTTGGGCCTGAGAACGGGTGAGGGGCGGAGACGGAGAGGACTCAGAGTCAGAAGCGGGGTGGTTAGAGAGAGGGGGAGAGAGGGGGAGAGCTGGAGCGGGGACTTACGGTGGAGGGTTATGATGCTGTTGGGGAGGGGGAATATCGGTGGGGTCAAAGGAAGAGGAATCATCGGCTGGGGCTGTGGGAGTGGGGGCAGGAGGCGAGTCAGGTTTGGAGAGGGCAAGGAGAATTTGGAAAGCAGAACAGGACTGACGAGGGAAGGGCAGCTATGGAGGGTGAAGAAATCCTGAACATAAGGAATTTCAGACCATTTCCCATTGCAATGGCAAAAGTTGTCTAAGTTTTTGAGCACGTCGGAATAGAAAGTGCCATTTTCGGGACATTAGGAGCCACGGTCCAATTTGTATTGAGGCCATGCAGTATTACAGTAAAAAATAAGCCTTTTAGGGCGGATTTCTGAACGGAGGCCAAGAGCTTTGAGACTGCGGAGGAGACACCTAAGAAGGGTAGTCTTGGAAGGGGTAGACTGAGAGGCTCTCACAGTGAATGGAAGGGGGCTGGGGTAGAGGAAAAAGAGACTGCTGGTGACAAGGATGGCAGGAGAGGGCATCCCCTTTCCCGTGGAACTTGTCTGGAATAGAGGAGATAATCGCCAAGTCAGGCGTCCCTGAAACGGAGGAACCAGAGGCCCGGAGGCCAGAGGAAACCCTTGGCCCAGCGCTGGGTCTTTTGGAAACGGAGAGACGGACGGTCAAGGGTTCCGGGGAATGGTAACAGTCTCTTTTTCACTCACCCTGGCGGAGGCTTTGATGGTGGATGAGGTTGCCAGCAATGGGAGATTCTAGGAGAGTCTCTGGGTCTTCGGCAGGTTCAGGAAAGGGGAAGTTGGCTTGGAGAGGGGTGATAGGGGAGAGAGAGAGAGAAAGGGAGAAAGAGAGTCCCAGCCAGCATCTATCCCCTTCCCGGGTTTTGGCACCAGAATGTAAGGTCAGCCGAGAGAAAGGACAAGAGAGAGAGACCCAAGTTCAGGCGAGTAAGTTTATTGAACCTGCTGGCTGCTTCATTACAGACAGAGGAGGCAGCCCTGAGCTTACAAAATGAAGGATTTATATGGGGGAGAGAGACCCTGGGGTTGTTTGTTGGTCAACTCTGCCACATATCACCTTGTGACGTTTATGATACTAAGGGTGTAGGTAAAGTTTGTTTGTGCTTTCCGTGACCTCCCCTTGTGCAGTCTGGATGGTTTGTAATTGGGGTTTGCTTTATAGCAGTAAGGCCTGATAGGTAAAGTCTGCTGGCTTCACCGTGCTGCCTAGATAAGGGCTTAGAAATATAAAAAGGTTTGGGGGAAGGGGAGGGATGTTGGTGATACCAAGAAGCTTTTTTGGGGCGGCTTGTCTCTAACACCTCCCTAAATCATTTTATGAAGCCAGTATCACCCAAATACCAAAACCAGGAAAGGACATAACCAAAATAGAAAACTACAGACCAATATCCCTGATGAACATAGGTGCTAAAATCCTTAACAAAATACTAGCTAACTGAATCCAATAACATATCAAAAAGATAATCCACCATGATCAAGTGAGTTTCATACCAGGGATGCAGGGATGGTTTAACATATGCAAGTCAATAAATGTGATACATCACATAAACAGAATTAAAAACAAAAATCACATGATCATCTCAATAGAGGCAGAAAAAGCATTTGACAAAATCCAGCATTGCTTTATGATTAAAACTCTCAGCAAGGTCAGCATACAAGGGACATACGTCAACATAATAAAAGCCATCTATGACAGACCCACAGCTGACCTAATGCTGAATAGGAAAAAGTTGAAAGCATTCCCTCTGAGAACTGGCACAAGAAAAGGATGCCCACTCTCACCATTCCTTTTCAATATAGTACTGGAAGTCCTAGCCAGAGCAATCAGACAAGAGAAAGAAATAAAGGACATCCAAATTGGTAAAGAGGAAGTTAAACTATCGCTGTTTGCTGATGATATCATTGTTTACCTAGAAAACACTACAGACTCCTCCAGAAAGCTCCTAGAACTGATAAAAGAATTCAGCAAAGTTTCCAGATACAAAATTAATGTACGCAAATCAGTAGCTCTTCTGTACACCAATAGCTACCAAGCGGAGAATCAAATCAAGAACCCAACCCCTTTTACAATAGCTGTAAAAAAAAATTAAATGCTTAGGAATATACCTAACCAAGGAGGCAAAAGATCTCTACAAGGAAAACTGCAAAACACTGCTGAAAGAGATCACAGATGACACAAACAAATGGAAACACATCCCATGCTCATGGATGGGTAGAATCAATATTGTGAAAATGACTACTGCCAAAAGCAATCTACAAATTCAACGCAATTCCCATCAAAATACCATCACAGAATTCGAAAAATCAAGTACAAAATTCATATGGAACCAAAAAAGAGCCTGCATAGCCAAAGCAAGGCTAAGCAAAAAGAACAAATCTGGAGACATCACATTATCTGATTTCTTTTTTCTTTTTTTTTGTGATGGCATCTTGCTCTGTCACCCAGGCTGGAGTGCAGTGGTGTGATCTCGGCTCACCGCAACCTCTGCCTCCTGGGTTCAAGTGATTCTCCTGCCTCAGTCTCCCAAGTAGCTGGGACTACAGGCGCCCGCCACCATGCCAGGCTAATTTTTGTATTTTAGTAAAGATGGAGTTTCACCGTGTTTGTCAGGCTGGTCTCAAACTCCTGATCTCAGGTGATCTGCCTGCCTTGGCTTCCCAAAGTGCTGGGATTACAGGCGTGAGCCACAGCACCCGGCCTGATTTCAAACTATACTATAAGGCCATAGCTACCAAAACAGCCCTGACTGGTATAAAATAGACACATAGACCAATGGAACAGAATAGAGAACCCAGAAATAAACTCAAATACTTACAGCCAACTGATCTTCAAGAAAGCAAACAAAAACATAAAGTGGGGAAAGGACACCCTTTTCAACAAATGGTGCTGGGATAATTGGCTAGCCACATGTGGCAGAATGAAACTGCATCCTCATCTCTCACCTTCTACAAAAATCAACTCAAGATGGATTAAGGACTGAAATCTAAGACCTGAAACTATAAAAATTCTAGAAGATAACATTGGGAAAACCTTCTAGACGTTGGCTTAGGCAAGGATTTCATAACCAAGAACCCAAAAGCAAAGCAATGAAAACAAAGAGAAATAGCTAGGACTTAATTAAGCTAAAGAGCTTTTGCACGGCAAAAGGGATAGTCAGCAGAGTAAACAAGCAACCCATAGAGTGGGAAAAAATCTTCACAATCTATACATCTGACAAAGAACTAATATCCAGAATCTACAATGAACTCAAACAAATCAACAAGAAAAAAATAAACAATCCCATCAAAAAGTGGGCTAAGAATATGAATAGACATTATCAAAAGAAGATCTACAAATGGCCAACAGACATATGAAAAAATGCTCAACATCAGTAATGATCAGGGAAATGCAGATCAAAACCACAATGCAATACCACCTTACTCCAGCAAGAATGGTCATAATAAAAAAGTAATAGATGTTTGTGTGGATGCAGTGAACAGGGAACACTCCTACACTGCTGGTGGGAATGTAAATGAGTACAATCACTATGGAAAACAGTGTGAAGATTCCTTAAAGAACTAAAAATAGAACTACCATTTGATCCAGTAATCCCACTACTGGGTATCTACCCAGAGGAAAAGAAGTCATTATACGAAAAAGATGCTTGCACACGCATGTTTATAGCAGCACAATTCGCAATTGCAAAAACGTGGAACCAACCCAAATGCCCATCAATTAATGAAGGGATAAAGAAACTGTGGTGTATATATATGATGGAATATTACTCAGCTATAAAAAGGAATGAATTAATGGCATTCACAGCGACCTGGATGAGATTGGAGACTATTATTCTAAGCGAAGTAACTCAGGAATGGAAAACCAAACATCGTATGTTCTCAATCATAAGTGGGAGCTAAGTATGAGGATGCAAAGGCATAAGAATGACACAATGGGCCGGGCGCGGTGGCTCACACCTGTAATCCCAGCACTTTGGGAGCCTGAGGGGGACGGATCACCTGAGGTTGGGAGTTCAAGACCAGCCTGACCAACATGGAGAAACCCTGTCTCTACTAAAAATACAAAAATTAACTGGGCATGGTGGTGCATGCCTGTAATCCCAGCTA
The DNA here is from genome assembly GCF_000001405.40 of Homo sapiens. Lineage (NCBI taxonomy): Eukaryota > Metazoa > Chordata > Mammalia > Primates > Hominidae > Homo > Homo sapiens. Next base: position 141,705,785 of record NC_000003.12, read on the forward strand.
CTCAGGAGGCTGAGGCAGGAGAATCACTTGAACCCAGGAGGTAGAGGTTTCAGTAAGCCGAGATCGCACCATTGCACTCCAGCCTGGGCAACAAAAGCAAAACTCCATCTCAAAAAAAAAAAAAAAAAAGAATGACACAATGGACTTTGGAGACTTGGGGGAAAGGCTGGGAAGAGGGTGAGGGATAAAAGACTACAAATAGGGTTCGGTGTATACTGCTCAGGTGATGGGTGCAGCAAAATCTCACATATCACCACTAAATAACTTACTCATGTAACCAAACACCACCTTTTCCCCAATAATCTATGGAAATAAAAAAAATTTTTTTTCAAAGGAAAGACTTAGGTGAGGAAGGACTTAAGTGAGGAAGAAGGGCCTTAATGCACGCCATGAGCCTGCAGGTTTAGGTAGAACAAGAGGATGAGAGGAGGGCGGCCCTTGGCAAGACGGGAGGGTCATAGTAAGGAAGAATTTGCATGTCAGGTGGAAAGTTTGTACTTAACCTAGTAGACATTGGGAGCCATTAAAGTCTTTTGTTTCCCAAGGAATTCTTTGCCTCAAATCCTTTTGTATCTAATATTATACTTATTTTATAGCTTCCTTTCAGGGCAGACTAGTGTCATGCTTTCCAGAGTTTACAAAGCAAATTCAACAACAGCTTTCCACATTTGACAACTGTTTTTGCTATCATAAAGTGTTTGGGGGGTGAGTTTGATCTTTGGCAGAAGAGTTCTACTTGTTTCAAAGTAAAGATTCAGACTGATCTACATCAGCCTCCTGGGTGACAAGTCCACATGGTTTCCATTTGGCTCTAACTGGAAACAGTCAAACGATTTCCATGCCGGCCTCTTTGTGGACAAGAGGCTTTTGGCCTGCTGCTTGGAAAGTTGTCCCCACAATGCCATTGAGGCAAAACCTGCACTAGGAAACCTGTGCCTATTATTATTCCTCTCATTTGGAGTGATAAGAACATTTAGAGCAATACAAGAACTTGACAGCTTTACATTGAGCAACCATTTATAAGTTAATAAAGGAAGCAAAATACCTTCTTTCTATGTTTGCAGGAGTTAAAGATTTTTGTCCAAATCAGTCTTGCCTCAGTGTACCCCTGAAGATGAAGAGTTATTAAAACAAGGGTCCTCAAATTTGAGCAGCCTCAGAGGTACCCAGAGGGCTTGTTAAAACACAGATTGCTGGGCGCCACCCCTCAGGTTCTGAGTAAGTAGGTCTGAGTGAAGCTGGACAGTGTGCATTTCTATCCAGTTCCCAGGGTGCTGATGCTGCTGGTCCGAGGATCACACTTTGAGAATCACTGTTTTGGACTTGAAAAAATCAGACTGTCTGCTCCTGATTTATTTTGCACAATGAAGAAAATCAGAGAGCAGACCGAGGCTCTGAGATGCCTCTTCTCTGCCCTGAAAACCGCAGAACAGACAAGACTCAGTCCCATTTCCATTCTGGCTTCTCTGTCTTCTCCTATACTGTCTTCTATACTTTCTTCTTCTATATTCAGGGAAGCCACCTCTGAGCCCCATGGCTCTCTGTACCATGGGGATACAGGAACTAGGAATCGTGGGCCTGGAAGTTGATCGGTGCTCAAGTGGATGATGTCTGGCTTGGTCTATGCCTAGTCACAAACCTGCGAGGTCCACAAAGAGCCAAAAGATAGCTGAAGATTGGAAGTCACTGTAAGGTTGTCAGGAATAGCCACCCTCAGTTTAGATGGTTTCTCTGAGCCCTATTCAGCCAGTGCTGCCTTGTTGCCTCAAGGCCCCCAAAGTTCTTGAAAGACCCAGTGAGGACTTGGGGTATCCTGTGCCTGTTCATTCCCAGCCCAAGCCCCACAGACAACCTCCAGGGCTGTTTCAATTTTGGAGGATTTAGGACAGGGAGAGCCAGTAAGTGACTTAGGCATGTACATGGGGCAAAAATCCAACCATAAAATGGTATGTCCACAAACTTGGGATTGATCAGAACTTTACTACAGTACCATGCCACCCAAGTGGCAAATACACTTCCCCAAATAAGGCATTGTTGCTTATATCATAGCCACAGTCCACAGAAATACCAGTGGCATTAAGGAATGCAAAGACCAAGTTCAAAAGTCAAGATGTAATCTTCAAAACAGCTTTATTAGTTCCAAAACAGGAAGTTACCAGTTATAATCCTGCAATTATTTTATTTGGGGCTTCATCCTGGGGTGACAGCTAAACAATGGAAACCTTTATAGAAAGGTCCCAAGGCCCAAGGTGTGAATCATCAAACACTACATTTTGCCTTCTTAAGTCCTATAATCAAGCAAACAGTTTATGTTCTGGTTTATAAAACTAGGACTTACACAGGAAATTACACACGTTCCTTTTCGATGGAAAGAAGCTATTTTTAACAACTTGAAAAAATAATTCAACCACTAGGAGAAGGTCTACCAGGGCCTGGCATCCACAGATGAACATTTGAGTAGTGGTTAATCTGATGCCCCCCAGAATGTAGGATGCCCACCTGTTCTGGCGGTCCCAGAAGAGGCCAGCAAGCGAAGGATATGGAGAGCCTTTCTGGGGGATGCTGGTTCCATGAAAATTTACACCTGACCTTTGAGTACTGGCCCATTTAGGAAACAGGGCTCTCCTTGGAAGAAATGAGAAGAGGTTTGTCAGCTGTGTTAGGAGAGGAGGTTCCACGCAGTCAGACCACATGAAAAAAGGCTCACAGGAGGAAGGTGCCTGGCGTATTAGGCATCTGGAGGGGTGACTTTCGCCATAGAGCAGTCATTGGGAAAGAGGCTGGAAATGTGACTGAAGAGGCCAGTGGACCCACGTGACTGAAAGCCATGAATGCTGAGTTCAGGAGTTAGATTTTCTCCTGTGTGCAAAGGGGGAGACATGATGGTTTTGAAGCAGGACAGTAGCATAGTGAGAACAGGATTTTTGAAAAGCATCTTTGGCAGTTTTGCAGAATGTGCTTTAGAGAGAGGAATAGTTAGAGGATAGGAGACTAGTTATGGGCTTTTTTTTTTTTTTAAGTTTAAATGTATTTTATTTTTAGACAACCTATGTGACATGTTTTTTTTTTTTTTCTTAAAAAAACAAGGCCTTCACTCCACATAAATCACAGTCAAAATAAATGAAGGGCCCATTTGTCTTAAGACCTGGTGTTTTGTGGATGGCAAGCAGCAGCCATTTATGATGATAGGTGATATATTCAAAGTAATTGCCAAATCTGTTAATATTTACCCATTTCCAAACCATTGTTAAAGAAAATCATATACGGGGTCACACCATCCTCACGGTAGTTCAGTAGAGCAACCATGCCATCAGGATTCATATTTTCATCAAAAAAGAACTGGTAGTTTTTGAAATTAGCAAGGATGTGCTTGATGTATTCTGCAGTCCTACCATAAAAGGTTTTACTCTTTCTGATCTCTCTTCTTCAAGTTCGCCTTTCATTGATTTCGTGTCGTCTTTAATGTACTTCTTTTTTTTGTTTTCTTCTTGAGATAGGATCTCACTCTGTGGCCCAGGCTGGAGTGCAGTGGTGTGATCATGACTCACTGCAGCCTTGACCTCCTGGCCTCAAGCAATCCACCCACCTCAGCCTCCCAAGTAGTTGGGACCATAGATGTGACCACCATGGCCAGCTAATTTTTTTTTTGTACAGACCGGGTCTCTTCACGTTGCTCACACTGGTCTCAAACTGGTAGGCTTAAATGATCCTCTCACCTCAGCCTCCCAAAGTGCTGGAATTACAGGCGTGAACCACCTTGCCCCGCTGATGTACTTGTAGGCATCCTTTGTGAAGCTGGTTTCCTGCAAGTGATGGTTCATGACAATATCAACACCAATAGATGACTTTGGGTGCTTTGGATACCTTTGCCCTTGGGGCCTTCAGAGGAGGCATTTCCACCAATGAGCAAGTCATCAGTGTTACCCTCTGTCCTGGTGATTATCTTCTCCTCCACTGTCAGGCACAGTCTATCCACAATCTCCCAGTTCTCATCAATGTCAGAGGGCTTCTCATCGTGTCTGACGAGGTCCGCTGAAGGAAGAGGACAACTGCACTAGCTTAGCAGGATTCTGGAGTGGTGTCGGGAGTCAGGGATGAGAGGGGAGTGGTAGGAAAAGCAGGAAGCTTTTACACTGGTTCAGGCAAGAGAAGATAAAGTGAGGCTGCAGTGATAGAAAGATGGAGTCTCGATATATTTAGAAGGAAGAGAATTGACAGGACCTAGTAGCCAGTTCAAAGAGGGTGGTGAGAAAGATTCTCAAGTCCAGGACACCTGGGGAAGCTTGGCAATTGACCAAAGAGAAAATGAGAGGAAGCACAAGGCTGGGTGGGTCCATACTAGATCTGTGGAGTGGCTGCCAGGGAAGGTGTGCCATTGTCCTCCTGACCCTCAGGGAGACAGTGGTAGAAGGAAGGACCCTTGCACATGAAGTTTCTTCACCAGGTTGCTCCCATTTCAGTGTTTCAGTGACGTATGAAAGCCAGAGATAATGCTGGCAAGCGAGGCACTAAAACTGTGTCCTACGTGCCTCTACCACCACTATTTCACAATGCTTCCCAGCCGTCCTCACAATGCTTCTAAGAGATGGGTATTATGATCTCTATTTTGCCAGAGGAAATTTAGATTCAGAGAAGTCAAGTGACTTTCCAAGGAGTTTCATAGCATTTTCCGGAGAGGTTTTAAACCTGGAGATTCCGCACATCTCACTACACCACCCTGCCTCTTGGGCACAACCGGGCATAGCTATGCCACTGCTAAATTCTCCCAGACAGAGGGGATAAATTAAAATGGTCATTGTTAGTGAGCCTGTTTTTGTTTCAAAGTAAAGAAATGTAAGATTAGGTAAAAAAGGGTTACGGTGAATACAGCTGGGGTGTATCAAGTATTACCAAGGCCTGAGCACATACCCACCCTTACTCCAAGGAATTTGTTTTCAACCTAGGGAAAAGAATCCAGTTTTGCTTGAACTTTGGTTAAAGCCCTGGAGCAGGAAGTTCCTGTACTGAGCAATGCCAGCCTTCCTATTATCTAACAGGGCCACCGTAACTCATTAGAGGTCTAAATTCTGGAGAGTGGTTTTGACTAGCATTTTCCAAACTGGTTATTTTTCAGGCAGAGATGACATTGTGACCTCTCTTATCATCAGCTGGAGGGAGACTTTGATTGTTTTTCCCATGGGAGTACACATTAGACCAGGCCAATCACAGGCCTGGAAGTCTCTTCCTCTCCAAGGGCACACGTTTGTGCCACACTGGCTAAGTTAGGGATGTAGACTGGCTAAGATGACGTATTTCCTTGCAAAGCTGAGCAGCTGTAAAGGAATTTAGCTTTTGGCTTTCAGCCTCGGCCCTATTGGTCACCACTGCTTTCTATCATGCCAGAAGGAGACAAAAAGAAATGGATGCCACATGTGATCAGTATCCACATCATTCATCATTCTGGGCAGTCAACTTACGTTTTCAAATGCATTTTTCTCTGTGAAGAGATTTTACAAATAGAAAAATCATATTTCATCTTGTTCACGAGTGGTCTCAAGGCATTATTGCAAACACTGTACTTGGAAAAGCACTGAACAGTGAGATAAAGTTTCCATAACACGATTGCAGTTTACACTCTATTAGTCATTGATTCATTGATTCATTGAACAAACATTTATTAAATACCTACCATGTGCCAGATACTATTCTAGTGTGAATAATGTAGCACTGTTATATCATTCATGACAGCTGTCATTTGCTATCATTCCCATGCCTTACTTAGATGTAAGGATGAATGAGATTTAGACAAGTTAGGCTTACCCCTAATAAAACCAAAAGATGGGCCAGTGTTCATCCCTCCAACTGTGTTCTAAAGGAAAATAAATCCTTCCTATTTCCTTTTTTTTTTTTTTTCAAGACAGAGTCTTGCTCTGTCATCCAGGCTATGCAGTGGTGCAATCTCAGCTCACTGCAACGTTTGCCTCCCGGGTTCAAGCAATTCTCCTGCCTCAGCCTCCCAAGTAGCTGGAACTACAGGCACATGCCCCAACACCCGGCTAATTTTTGCATTTTTAGTAGAGATGGGTTTCACCATGTTGGCCAGGCTGGTCTCAAACTCCTGACCTCAAGTGATCTGCCCTTCTTGGCCTCCCAAAGTGCTGGGATTACAGGCGTGAGCCACCACGCCCAGCCAATCCTGTCTGTTTAATCCAACAACCCAGCAGATTAGATTCATGTCCAAAGAAACCAATCAAATCCTTTTTTTAATAGCATACTTTCTACTCTTTTTCCCCAACCGGCAACCTAGGAAGGCCTGATGTCCAAATTTATCTCCTTTTCCTGAAAAGCAAGTTTTCCCTCCAGGCTTGAAAACTTATGCTTGATTATCCTTGACTCTGTTCTCTTCCTTGCTCTAACCACGCTAGTTAACATTCACTTAATGTCGGCTTCATAAGGGGAGGGATTTTTGTCTCTTTTGTTCTCCGTTGGGTCCCTGGCACCTACACCACTGCCTGACACATAATAGGAGCTCGAAAATATTTGTTAAATGCTGAAGGAATTCAAGTCTTGTCTAGCTCCAGGGTTAGGCTCTCGATGGTGGACATTGTGGACAAAATTAGTGTATAGTTAAATGATCCTTTAAAATTCCGTAATTTGCCCACACATTACAATATCTAGGCATATTATCTCTAAGTCCCACACAGTTTCTTCCCCAGTTTTGGAACAGATCACTTGGTCTTTCTTCAGTTGGATCCAGATGAAGTAGTTGGTTAGTGTTTAGGGGGCACATATAACTCTAAACACTTGTAGGCCCCCAGAAAAAGTTTGAACGTGGGACTGCCAATTCCTATTTCCCATCTCATACTTACTGAGTGGATGAGCCCTCATTATGCCTGTGATTATTTCTTTTCCTCCATTCCCTTCCTGTATTTTTCTTTGCCAAACTCCTAAACTTGAACTGACATAAATTAAATGTGGACCTGATGCTGTTTCCCAGCACTGACAATAGACTCTACAAAAGCTGTGTCGACTGACAAGTGTGAACCAACCCCAGGAACCCTGAGCCCAGTCATGAATTCTACAAAGGCAGGATGGTTCTTTCTCCTTCAGATTTTCTCTTTTAAAGCTCAAAAAGGTAACAGCTTTTCAGGCTCCTTTAAAGGGCTGAATTCCTTCACAAGAACTATCACTTCCCCTAGATCAGTGGGCAACTCATTCATCTTCTTCCAGGAAATTTCTAGATACATCATTTTCCTCTTCAAAGTAAAGGCAACAATCTAAATCTTAGATGGAATTTCCTTTCATGCAGAGTAATTTTGGGCTTCTTGTTCTAAAGAAGGAAGGATGTACTGAGTATAAAACGAGGACTTTAAAAATTATATATACAGTATTTCCTTGACTATACTGCAAATGCATCTACTCACACAAGTCCAGTAAAGTACAAGCTAAAAGAATAAAGTCAGCTTAGCTGGTGACAAACAGGGGAACTATTGTCTAAAAATAATAAAATACTTTGATTTTCTTGTAGGAATCAAGAAGAAAATTGAAGGTCTGATGGAAAGTGGTCCTTGGTTAGTGAAGTTGCATTAGGCAGATAATGGCATAGATGGAAAAGGAAGAGAAGGAGAAAATGGTTTATTGGAATTCATTCAAACTTTAACATGGTAAGTAGCAAGTTAAGAGGCTTTATTTGTTCACCTTTTAAAACTAAGTGCTTGAATTAAATCATGGGGATAATTATTTAACTGCACCTTTTTAGCAGTTTCCGATGAGGTTTTTCAGCTCTGAGAGCCAAGCAGTGACCCATCTTGGTCTTGGTACCTAACGTGGCAAACAGTTGTGTGTGGACCATAAAGCAGTCTCAAAGACCTCACTAGAAGCCCCATTTTAAGAAGTTGGCAACTGAGGAAAAACAGGAAGTATGACCTCCCAATTTTTCTTTCTTAAAGTCAGGATATAATGTAAAATGTAATCAATGTGACCTGAGGAAGAAGGGCGGCCTACTCAGGAGTGAACACTCTTTTGTGTTTGATTACAAAGTTGTCCCAGCCTCCTCAGGCAGAAGGACACAGCTATTCTCAAAAGCTTCTCAAAAACAGGATATTTCCTTACCTTGTTTGTCTTGAGAATCTTAGGCATTTCCCTGTCCAGGCCTACTGAGTCCACATCCCCAGTGGGCCAAGTAGGATTTGCAGCTACTGTAGAAAAAGCTTGCTGGGTGGAAACGACTCCAAGATATATAGTTTCAGGTAGTCGATAGTGACAGCACCATGGGGACAGTCAAGGGCAACAGAACACAGCCAAGGCTTGAGGCTTGAGAGCTTGATGGATGGCTACTTAGTATTATTATTACTACTTTTATTTTTATTTTTGAGACACGGTCTTACTCTGTCGCCCAGGCTGGAGTGCAGTAGTGCAATCTCTGCTCACTGCAACCTCCACCTCCCTAGTTCAAGCAATTCTCCTGCGTCAGCCTCCTGAGTAGCTGGGACTACAGGCGTGCACCACCACACCCAGCTAATTTTTGTATTTTTAGTAGAGACAGAGTTTCACCATGTTGGCCAGGCTGGTCTCAAACTCCTGACCTCAAGTGATCTGCCCACCTCGGCCTCCCAAAGTGCTGAGATTACAGGTGTGAGCCACTGCACCCAGTCTACTTATTATTTTAGAAGAAAAATATTCCTTCTCTGTCTGGGCATGGTGGCTCACACCTGTAATCCCAGCACTTTGGGAGGCCGAGGTGGACAAATTACTTGAGGTCAGGAGTTTGAGACCAGCCTGCCCAACATGGTGAAACCGCATCTCTACTAAAATACAAAACAATTAGCTGGGCATGGTGGCAGACACCTGTAATCCCAGCTACTCAGGAGGCTGAGACAGGAGAATCACTTGAACCCAGGAGGCAGAGGTTGCAGTGAGCCAAGATCGTGTGCACTCCAGCCTGGGCAACAGAATGAGACTTCATCATGAAAGAAAGAAAGGGAAGGGAAGGGAAGGAGAGGGGAGAGGAGGGGAGGGGAGAGGAGGGGAGGGGAGGGGAGGGGAGGGGAAGGGAAGGGAATCTTCTCTAATATACTTATTCAGGAAGGCTGGGAAGATTTTCAACTTTAATAGCTTCTCTGCTTTTCTATAATAATCCTATTAATAACCTTCATTTCATTGCCCTTTTAACACAATGCTGATTTAATATATTGCTGATATATTATGCTTTTAGTATATTGCTAAAATTTTGTTAAGGATTTTTGCATCTATGCTCATGAAGCATATTAGTCTGTACTTTTCTTTTTTTTTTTTTTTTTTGAGATGGAGTCTCGCTCTGTTGCCTGGGCTGGAGTGCAACGGCATGATCCCGGCTCACTGCAACCTCTGTCTCCGGGTTCAAGGGATTCTCCCACCTCTGCCTCCCAAGTAACTGAGACTACAGGTGCGGATCACCATGCTTGGCTAATTTTTTGTATTTTTAGTAGAGGTGGGGTTTCACCATGTTCGCCAGTCTGGTCTTGAACTCATGATCTCAAGTCATCTGCCCAGCTAGGCGTGAGCTACCACACACAGCTGTACTTTTCTTTTCTCGTAATATCTTTGTCTGGCATTAAGATCAGGGTAATTCTGGCTTTACAGAATGAGCTAACAAGTGTGCCCCTCTCTTCTATTTTATGAAATAATTTGTGTAGCATTGGCATTATCTCACCCTTAAATATTCAGTAGAATTATCAGTGAAAACATCTGGACCTGGAGCTTTCTTTATGGGAAGGTTTTTAACAACAAATTCAATTTTTTTTTTTTTTTTTTTGAGATGGAGTCTCTCTCTGTCACCAGGCTGGAATGCAGCAGTGCAATCTCGGCTCACTGCAACCTCCACCTCCCGGGTTCAAGTAATTCTCCTGCCTCAGGCGTGAGCCACCATGCCTGGTCTAAATTCAATTTCCTTAATAGATATAAGGCTATTCTGGATATTTTATCTTGAGTAAAGCTTTAGTAGTTTGTGTCTTTCAAGAAATTTATTTCATCTAATTTGTCAGATTTATTGGCATAAAGTTCTTCATAATATTTTCTTACGATCCTTTTAATGTCTGTAGCATCTATAGTGATGTCTCCTTTTTCATTCTTGATATTGATTACTTGTGTTTTCTCTTTTCTGATTGATCTGGTTAGAAATTTATTAATTTTATTGATCTTCTCAAGGAACCACTCTTGATTTTCACTACTGTTTTTCTGTTTTTAACTTTATTGATTTCATCTCTTGTCTTTATTATTTCCTTTATTCTGCTTACCTTGGGTTTAATATGCTCTTCTCTTTCTCGATTATTAAAGTGAAAGCTTAAGTTATTGATTTTAAGTTTTAATTTTTCTAATATAAATGTTTATGTTAGCACTAAGCACTGCTTTTATTGTATCCTACAAATTTCGATATGTTATATTTTCATTTCATTCAGTTCAAAATATTTTCTAATGTTCCTTTTCATTTCTTCTCTAACCTATGGGTTATTTAGAACAGCTCTGTTTGGTTTCCACATATGTGTATATTTTTTCAGATATCATTCTGTTTTAATCAAGAGATTAAGAATCTCTTGATTCTTAATTAAGTTCTGCTGTGGTTGGAAAACATACCTGGTGCAATGGCATGATCTCGGCTCACTGCAACCTCCATCTCCCGGGTTCAAGCGATTCTCTCACCTCCGCCTCCCAAGTAACTGGGACTACAGGTCCCACGCCTGGTGTGGTCATGTAGTCCCAGCTACTTGAGAGGCTGAGGTGGGAGGATTGCTTGAGCTCAAGAGTTTGAGATCAGCCTGGGCAACATAGCAAGATCTCATCTCTAGCGGAAAAAAGGAACACACTTGTTTTATTTCTTTTATGGCCCAGATCTGATCTATCTTGGTAAATGTTCCATGTGCATGAGAAAAGAATGTGTATTCTGCTGTTACTGGATTGAATGTCCCATAAATGTCAATTAGGTCAAGTTGGTTGGCAGTGTTATTGAAGTCTTCTATATATGTACAAATTTTTACATGTTCTATCAATTATTGAGAGAGGGGAAAATTGTGATTTTGTTTATATCTCCTTGTAGTTTAATCAATTTTTGCCTCATGTATTTTGAAGCTCTGTTTTTAGGTACATAAACATTTTTGATTGTTGTGCCTCTTGATGAATTGACACTCGTCATTATGAAATGCTCTTCTTTATCCTTGGTAATGCTCCCTACTTTGATTGATATTAATATAGCCACTACAGGTTTTTTTAAATGAATATTTACATAATTTGTCTGTTTTCGTCCTTTGGTTTTAACCTATCTGTGTTTTTATATTGAAATTGGGTTTCTTATAGACAGCATACAGCTGAGAACTTCTTTTTTTATCCATTTGACAATCTTTGTCTTTTAATTGTTTAGACCATTATATTTAATGTGATTATCTTTATGGTTTGTTTGGTTTTTAATCTATCATCTTGCCATTTGTTTTCTATTTGTCTCATCTGTTCCTTGTTCCTTTTAAACTAGTTTTCTGTTGCTTTTTGGATTAAGTAATGTTTATAAGTCCATTTTTATATCTTTTATTGGCTCGTGAGCTATACCTCTTAGTCTTTTTTTTCCTAGTGGATGCTCTAGTGTTTACAGCCTTCACCTTTAACTTATTACAGTCTACCTTCAAATAACTTTATACTACTTCACTTATAGTATAAGAATCTTACAACAGTATACTTCCATTCTCTTCCTATCCTTTGTGTTTTTGTAGTCATATATTTTACCTTTACCAGTGTTATAAATCCAAGGATACATTATTATTATGTCTAGTTTAAGCAGTTGTTTTTTTAATAAGGGGGGAGTTTTTTATGTTTATTCACATATTTACCATTCTGGCATTCTTTAGTCCTTTGGCTATATTCACATTTCTATGTGATATCATATTCTTCTGTCTAAAGGACTTACTTTATACATGCCTTGTAATCCTGGTCTGCTGGTGATGAATTCCCTAAGCCTTTGTATATCTAACAAGTCTATGCTGCCTTCATTTATAAAGTTTTTTTTTTTTGGCCGGGTACAAAATATTTGATTGATAGTTAATACTTTTTTTTTTTGGAGATGGAGTCTCACTCCTGTCGCACAGGCTGGAGTGCAGTAGCGCAATCTCGGCTCACTACAACCTCCACCCCCTGGGTTCAAGTGATTCTCCTTCCTCAGCCTCCCGAGTAGCTGGGATTACAGGCGCCTGCCACCATACCTGGCCAATTTTTGTATTCTTGGTAGAGGCAGGGTTTCACCATGTTGGCCAGGCTGGTCTCAAACTCCTGACCTCAGGTGATCCACCTGTCTTGGCCTCCCAAAGTGCTAGGATTATAGGTGTGAGCCACCACTCCCAGCAGACAGTTAATACTTTTAAGATGTTGCTCCACTATCTTCTGCTCATATTGTTTCTGAAGAGACATCATTTTTATCTCTATTCTTTTGTATATAATTTGTTTTTATTCCTCTGTATGCTTTTTCTTCTTCTTCTTCTTCTTTTTTCAGACAGAGTCTCACTGTCACCCAGGCTGGAGTGCAGTGACGTGATCTTGGCTCACTGTAACCTCTGCCTCCCCGGTTCAAACAATTTTTGTGCCTCAGCCTCCCAAATACCTGGGACTACAGGCGTGCAACCAATATGCCCAGCTAAATTTTTTTTGTATTTTTAGTAGAGACAGAGTTTCGCCATGTTGCCCAAGCTAGTCTCAAGCCCCTGGCCTCAAGTGATCCGCCCATCTTAGCCTCCCAAAGTGCTAGGATTACAGGTGTGAGCCACCATGCCCAGCCTCTGGCTGCTTTTAAGACTTTCTTTTTATCACTGGTTTTCAGCAATTTAAGTATGACATGCTTAGTGTGACTTTCTTCTTGTTTTTTCAGATTGTAGTTTGTTGAACTTCTTAGATCTATGCGTTTGCAGTTTTCATCAAATTTAGAAAATTTTAGACCACTCCTTTTCAAGTATTTTTTTTCTATCACTCCTGTCTTTTATTCTTCTGAAACTCTAATTATATATAGGTTAGGCTACTTGATTTTGTCCCACAGCTAAATGATGTTGTGTTCTTTTTTTTTCGGTCTTTTTGTCCTCTGCATTTCACTTTGGGTAGTTTCTGTTGTTATGTCTTCACATATTGTCTACAATGTCTACTATGCTACAAAGTCCATCCAATGTGTTTTACTTATCTCAGACATTGTACTTTTTAATTTCTGAAAGTTCAATTTAAGTCTTTTTTTTTTTTTTTTTTTTTTGAGACAGAGTATCGCTGTGTCACCCAGGCTATAGTGCAGTGGTGTGATCTCAGCTCACTGCAATCTCCACCACCCAGGTTCAAGCAATTCTCCTGCCTCAGCCTTCCAAATAGCTGGGATTACACGCACTCGCCACCATGCCTGGCTAATTTTTGTATTTTTAGAGACGAGTTTTCACCATGTTAGCCAGGCTGGTCTTGAACTTGAAATATTTTGCACAGATGAATTACAAAGTCACCACCTCTGGCAAATGAATCAGAGGAAATTCCCCTTCCAGGTCCACGCTTTGGAGCCCAGCATTTGGCAAGCAGATCTCTGTTTGATTTCAGCCCCACTTACCCTCTTGGAAGGCACCTTGTGCAGGGCACAAGCACTTAACCATGTGGGTGGCCCTGGTCACAGCTGGCGTGTAGTGAATGCTCCATCAAACCTTAGCTCATGTGAGGCTGCATGGTGTAGTGGTGAGATCCAAAGCCTCTGGAGTCGACCTAGATGTAGAATCATTGAGTTATGAAGTTTGTCCTCCTCACTTCCTGACCTCCTTCTGTGGACCCTCTGTTCCGCCTCACATCCCTGCTGTCCACTCATTTTGTCTGAAGACAGTGCACACAACCAGGCAGTTCAGGAAGCCAAGGCTGGTCAAATCCTGACTAGGCCGACTGTTTCCTCAAGAGCAAGACCTTTGAGAGAGTCTGGCAGGACCATTCAGCTCTGGCCTTGCATTCCAGCTGCTGAATCAGTGGAAAATATATACAATGAGCGAGAAAGTAGACTCATATTCAATGTGGACCCTAACTGAAATTTCATACCTGCAGCCCATGGTAAGGGCTTGAAATTGCTTTATTGATAGTCATATAACTTCTTTCAGAGCAGAGGCCATGTGTCAAACCTCTCTTAATCCCTGCAGTGCTAGGTACATAATATGCATGTAATAAGTATGCACTCAATATACCATCAGCGGCATTGCATTTGCAAAATGCTTTCACAGAAATGACTTCATTCTGTTTTCACTACAACCTTACGAAACAGACAGAACAGCCTTTTTCAGGCCAGTTTTATAGATGAAGGAGGTGAGGGCACATAGCCTGCCGTCATCACATGATCTGACACGTGATTTGACAAGAGGTTGAAGCTGACCAGGAGTCCAGGCCTTTGCCCAGATTTCTTATTCACTCATGATGCCAGAGAGTCCCAAAGACCAGTCAGCAGTCCAGTGCAAGGCCTGCACTTTAAGAAATTTCCCGTGGTGGCACATGCCTGAATTCTAGCTACTTGGGAGGCTGAGGCACAAGAATTGCTTAAATTGGAAGATGGAGGTTGCAGTGAGCCAAGATTATGCCACTTCTCCCCAGCCTGGGTGACACAGCGAGACTCTGTCTCAAAAAACATTTTTTTTCAATAGTCCTCAAAGAAATTACAAACGTAATGACAGTACAGTTTACTTTTCATAAAACTAAAGTTATTTGATTTAAAGAGCTACCCTTTGTTTTCAGACTATGCCCTTACTAATTTGATGTAAAAATGTTTGCTCGTTTACGGTGTGGATAGTTGTTATTTCTTGACATACTAAAAGTTGCCAAACCTTTGTCTGTCGCTCTAAACTTTTGGACATTTGCTGGTATGTAAAATCTAAACCAGGAAGTCCTGCATTACGTTATATCATACCATATCTTTTGAGTAAATAAACGAATTAAGGATTTAAAGCAACCAAAAATCCTTATTCTACCAACTTACCTAGGAGAAGTATCCAAACTAGAGAGAGTAGATTGGTAAAAATTGGTTTCGGGGTGTCTTTGGTCTCACATTGGGCCAATGCATCATCTTGGGTTTGGGGTTGGGGGAGGGGTTTAAAAAGAGAGATCATTCTCCAAAATAACTGGATTGAGGTTCTTTGAGTAACAATGCTTGACACGATGCCTGTGTGTGTGTGTGTGTGTGTGTGTGTGTGTGTGTGTGTGTGTGTGATTTTCTTTTGACAGCCTGATCAAATACTCTGCCTACTTAAGGGAAATTGACCTTGGAAACAATGTTCTGGGAGAAATGGCTGCTGCTAACATACTTGAAGCGCTGAGAGCCAGAAAGACAGGTAGAGTGTTTTCAGATTATGTGTTTCCCCTCCACCTGCCCACAGCCACTCACTCCTAAACGCTGTACTACTCACAACTTGCTCCGCTTTTTTCATTTAAGTAACTGGCCCGAACTATGCAATGACCAGGAACACTGTCACAGGCCAGCCATCATTGTGTCAATTTTCCCGGTGATTTGCACAGAGTTCAAGAATTTCTAGGATGTCATATGTAGCCTTCAATCTAAGTAATGCATGTTTTTAAAGGGAAATTTTCTCTATTGCTTTTTTTCTCTCTTGATCCTCTCATCCTTGCCTGTTCTCGAAGAAATGCTTCTCCCACTCTCCATTCTCCTCTCAGCCCAATCTGCAAAGAGGTCTCCAGATATCAGTTGGAAAACTCAAGTAACACCCCCCCGTAAGATTTTGATGTGCTTTCTGGATCATCAAACGATGATTAAATTGTGATTGGCATAGGGAGAGCAGTAAGTCTTCTATGATCCTGCAATCCTTTGAAAAGGAGAGAATCACATGTGGAAGGAGTTGGTTCCAATGGCCACTCCTGCCCTCTCCATCGCCAGCATGCATGACTGGAATTAATGACGGCTGCTTGCCCTGCTAATGCAGAGGAGGTGAAGAAATGTCATTTTAAATGAAGCTCAATGGAAGACTTCATAAACAGATTTGAAAATGCAAATTCAACCTTAAGGAAAGTAGAAAGAACTCTTGGTATGTTACTGGGCAGGTCAAGCGGAGAGAATTAAGCAGTCCAAGCATCTGTCTCTACCATTTCCTCAGAATGGTCTTAGAGGCATAGCATAATCATAGATTGCATTTTTCTTTTAATGCTCTAGAGTTTTAGATAGAAGAATTATAATGATATTACTGTATATTGTATTGACATTTTTAAAACTAAAACTCCTACATTTTTAACAGCCAATCAAGTGATTCCATGATGTTTAAGTTATCCCTTTATTTTAGAGAAACAGAATATCTACTTTCTATTCCATTAGAGTTGAATTCAATTTCAGCAGAATTACTCTGTTAAATTTAGTTCAAATATAGCTTTAAGCTTGATAAACTGAAGGCAGGTTAATGCTTTCATTTGTTTTTCCTGGCACCGTAGTAACTTTTTCATTGTACATTGAGGGAGAAGATGTTACAAGTCTGCAGGCAGTCTCATGACCATGACTATAGTGAATGCTAATGACAATCAGTCTCAGATGACTTGATGGAAAGTGATTATCTCTGAGTATGTATTTGGAGCTGGAAAACATCATGCTTTGCTTAGTAAATGTTTTAATTTGCATAAATGAGAAGATAATTATGAAATATCCACCTGAAAATACAAATACGCATTTAGAAGGCATTAAAAAGTAATTTATAGTTCAAGAAATCTTTTTTTCAAATATAGTAATATGTATCATGAGTAGCCTTAATGCATCCCTCTCTTGAGCTGAAATAATTATGGTGTTTCTGATGGAATACTTCAATTGGATTGTTAGTTTGAACACCAAGAAGATTCCTCAAAACAGGGTTAACTGGTTGGGTTTTATAGGAAAAATCTCTTCCCATTCAGCCCTAATGGCATCATTTTAAACATTAAAAGCAATTAATAGTATTACTGATTATAGAGCTAATGTTCTTCAATTGATTGTTTCTTAACATTTGCAAGTTAACAAGCTAATTTCTAATTCTAATTCTAATTCGTTCATGAAATCCAAATTAACAGCCTGAGGTCACTTACTTGGCTATCAAGGAGATCTTAATGACCTGCCTTTAATGATGGACGAGGCCCAGTGAAATCTTCCTCAGAAACATTAGCAAGCTCATTTCATTAAAAAAAAAATAGCTAGTGAAACAATAAGCTGTTATCCTGTCTTACTGCTTTTTCACTAATAAGAAAACAGAGTACTGAAGGAACATTTCATTTATTCATTCTTATTTCTTTCAATATATATTTGTTAAATGCCTATCATGTACCAGGCCCTGTTCTGGGCCTGGTAGGAGGAGAGTCATGAATTCCTGCCTTCATGAGGCATATATATGATTGTATATCTGATGGGGATCATACTTAGAGGAAAAATAAAGCAAATGAGGGGGTAAAGTGTGTGTCAGGGCATGGGGGTTGCCATCTTAGGGTAGCTAGGGAAGGCTTTGCTGAGAAGGGACACTTAAGTAAAGACCTAAAGTAGTGATGGAGCAGGCCATGTGAATATCTGAGAGATGAGCATTCTGGCTAGAAGGAACAGCAAGTGCCAAGGCCTTAAGGTAGGAGCCTCCTGGTGTGTTCAGTAAAGCAGCCAGCATGGCTGAATGGAGTGAGCTAGAATGGGAGAGTCAGAGGACAAACAATTTGAGATGCAAGTATGCAGAGCAGAAAGCCTTCTAGACCCTTGTGAGGACTTTTGGGTGTAACTGTTGACAAGGAAAGGCTTTTGAGAATGATAAACCTAGAAGTAACCTGATGTAACCCACATTTTAACAGGATTGCTTCAGCTCTATGTTAAAAATAGACTATAGGGGAGGCAAGGGCAGAACAAGGATTCTAGTTAGGGAGTTTTCTCTGGGAAAACTACACAGAGCCTTTCAGCAGACCCAGAACACCCAGCAAGGTGGAAAATGTGGGTTGGGGAGAAGCTACAAAGATGAGAATTAAGGAAAGTTGTACATATTGAGCAGTTGAAACTCAGTCCTTACTACCACCCTAGGCTTGTCTGCCCTGCTTCCAGAAGGCTGACAGCCATGTAGAAGATTGGGGTATTACTTGAGAAATTGAATAGCCCTAGAAAAAGAAATTCTAGATGCTGACAGCTGGCCATCTCCTCACCATTCAAAGAAGCCTAGCAGGTCAGCAAGCCCTGAACATACATGACAGCTGCCCATCAGCCTTTGTATGTCTTATGCTTCATTGTGAACAAGATACCTGAGAACCTCCAGACACTTGAGGCAAGTCTCCAACACGAGAGACCAACTCTGAAACAGAGGGAATGAAGGAACCCTGAAGATATAGAAACAATGCAGAAAACTAAAGAAAAACCAAAAAAAAGCTGTAACATTATAGCATTCTGAATGGAAGAAAGGATAAGGCATCCATAAAAAGGGAATGGGGTACTATGAAAAAAGAACAATTAGAAAATAAGAAAAAGTTTTTGGACAGTAAAAAAGATAGACAAAATAAAATATTCTGGGGGGAAAAAAAGGTAGACAGATAAAATCAAGAGAGTCAGCCCTCTGCTCCTCCAGTTTGAGAGACAGCTGCATTTTCTCATGCAGCACCAGCTGCGCCCCTCAGACACCAGGGTGAAGGTGAAGGCCAGAATAAACAGATGTATCCACAGTGGGCCTTGGTCACCAGGGCTGCTTTTAACTCTGGCAAAGTGGATGTTGTCACCATCAATGACCCCTTCATTGACCACAACTACATGGCCTACATGTTCTAGTATGAGCATGTTCCAGTATGAACAAGGCCAAGTTCCACATAACCTCCAAGGAGTAAGACCCCTGAACCACCAGTCAGAGCAAAGAGGATGAGAGAGGCCCTCAGCTGCTGGGGAGTCCCTGCTGCACTCAGTCCCCCACCACACTGAGAATCCCCCCTGAAGAGGGAAGGTCTGGGGAACTCTGCTTTGTTGTGTACCATCAACAAAGTCACCTGTACTCAGCCCCCACCCCACCCCCCAAAAAAGAAAGAAAGCTTCAGAAGTGAAACAAAAGATAAGGAGATGAAAAATTGGTGAGAAAGTATAAGAGACAGAGGATCAACCTACGAACATCAGTGTCTAACTAAGAGTTTTCAGAAAGAGAAAGCAGAGAAAAGTGAAGACAGGGAATTATCAAAGGAATAAATAAAGAACTTTCCCAGAGCCAAGGAACATAAATCTGCACGTTGAAAGAGCCCATTGGGTGTCCAGCACAGGGAAATACAAAAAGTATATCATGATGGCATTCAGAGCACTAGGAATAAAAAGGGGATCCTAACAGCTAACTAAAAGAAAACAATTTGCATCCAAAGGACTGGGAATTAGAATGACATCAGACTTCGTAACTAGAAGCTAGGGGCAACAAAGTGCTACTGTGACAATTCTATGAGAAGTCTATACCTTCCCAACTTCTAACCATGTATGAGGCCAAAATAAAGATGTTTTCAACATGCAAACATTCCAAACATTTGCCTCCTCTGAGTCTATTCTTAAGAAACTTCCAAAGAACATGCTTGAGCAAAATGAGAAAATAAACCAGGAAGACAAGCCAGGCGCAGTGGCTCATGCCTGTAATCCCTGCACTTTGGGAGGCTGAGGCAGGCAGATCACTTGAGGTCAGGAGTTCGAGACCAGCCTGGCCAACTTGGCGAAACCCCCCTCTCTATTAAAAATACAAAATTAGCCAGGCATGGTGGTAAACACCTGTAAGCCCAGCTACTCAGGAGGCTGAGGCAGGAGAATCACTTGAACCGAGGAGGCGGAGGTTGCAATGGGCCGAGATCGCACCACTGCACTCCAGCCTGGGCAATAGAATGAGACTGTCTCAAAAAAATAAATAAATAAAAATAAAATAAAATAAACCACAAAAACAAAGAACGCCAAGTTCAGAAATCGGAAGGCCCAATATAGGACAGTAAAAAAGGGAGTCCCAGATGATGGTTGAGGTAAATCCAAATTGGAGCAGAAAAGTAGAAGACTTTGTAAAGGAGAAAGACTTGGTTAAAAACTGAACTTATAGAGCATGTGAAATACTTAAGTATTTTGTCAACTGAGGTCAGGAGTTCAAGACCAGCCTGGCCAACATGATGAAACCCGCATCTCTACTAAAAATACAAAAATAAAAAATAGATACTTAGGTGTTTTGAAAGAAATATTGATAAGTATATTTGAAATGACAGAAACCTGTGGGAAAATATTTAGAATAAGTACACAGAAAACTCTGCAAATGACAAAACAGGCAATTATTAACTTAGACAAAAGACAGATATACAATGAAATATGTACAAAAATATACCAATGAATACACCAAGTGTTGATTTAACTAAAAATTGTGATATATCTTTATTGGGAGGCTTGGTGAGAGGAAGTTACAAAAGTCAATATGTAAAATTTTAAATGGAAATATCAAGAAATAATATAATAAGCACTTTGTTTAAAATCAGGCAGTAAATATCATGAAAAACTGCTGAATAAGTTGAAAGTGGCTGCCTCTGCAGAAGAGAACTTGGGGCCACGTGCAGTGGCCTACACCTGTAATCCCAGCACTTTGGGAGGCCAAGGTGGGAGGATCACTTGAGCCCAGGAGTTCGATACCAGCCTGGGCAACCTAGGGAGACCCCATCTCTACAAGAAGAAGAACAAGAGGAAGAGGAAGAAGAAGAAGAAGAAGAAGAAGAGAGGGAGGGGGAGGGGAGGGGAGGGGGAGGGGGAAAGAAGGAAGGAAGGAAAGAGAAGAGAGAATGAGAGAGAGAAAGAAAGAAAGGAAGGAGGGAGGGAAGGAAGGAAGGAGGGAAGGAAGGAAAGAAGAAGAAAGAAAGAAAAAAAAGAAAGAAAAGAAAAGAAGAAAAGAAAAGAAAAGAAAGAAAATAAATTGGTCTGTTGCCCAGGCTGGAGTCCAGTGGCATGATCTTAGCTCACTGTATCCTTGAACTTCTGGGCTCAAGTGATCGTCCTACCTCAGCCTCCCAAGTAGTTAGGACTACAGGCATGTGCCACCATGCCTGGCTAATTTTAAATTTTTTGTAGAGGTTAGGTCTTGCCATTTTTCCCAGGCTGGTCTTGAACTCCTGAAACCCAAAGTGCTAGGATTGCAGGCATAAGCCACTAGCCACTGCACCCAGCCAAAAATATTTTTAAAGAGAGAATTGAAAAGTGCCTAGCTTTCTCACCATGTAATTTGTTGTTATATAACTCCAGGTCAATACCTAATGCTGGCTTAAATCATCTTAGTTTCCTCAAAAGAAGAGGAAGTCTCAAACACTTGGGATATGCTTCATTGAAGAATGAGTAGAATTTTATAAGTGGAAAATAAGTAGAAAGGATGACCGAAAGTGTGGCATCCAGGAAACATAACAGTCTTTTGTGAGCTTAGGCGACACATGAATCCTCTGAGGTCTCAGCTGGTCTCCATTCCACACTCCTGGCCCCATTTCAAATGGTCTGTAGCATATGAAACACCTCACAGCCTGCGCCGTGCATCCCACACTCCCTCCTTGCCTCAGTGGTCAAGACTTTGACCTTTGTTTTCCTACTGAAGACTTTGCCTTCCCCTGCTTTGGACCTGTCCTCTATATTTCTAACTCCGAGCTTTGTTTTTCTCCTTGGCCAGGATTTATACCTGTTTCCGATTAAATACTGCATCATATAGAGATAGTGTTTGGCTACAGGTAACAGAACCAGCTACAGTGCCCTACACAGGTGGAAGACGACTGGGCAGGTACAGCTACTGCACCACATCATCAACGTCCCAGATTCCTTCTCTCCTTCTCCACCATCACCTCAGCAAGTGGCCCTTATCCTCATGGCTGCAAGGTGGCTCCCACACCTGTGACCTCTCCTCTCCATTCCAGACCAGAAGAAGGAGAAGAAAGGACAAGGAGGAAGTGCTAGTATCTGATTTCTGGCTCATTCTTTTTTTTTTTTTTTTTTTTTTTTGAGACAGTTTCGTTCTTGTTGCCCAAGCTGGAGTGCAATGGTGTGATCTTGGCTCACTGCAACCTCCGCCTCCTGGGTTCAAGCAATTCTCCTGCCTCCCAAATAGCTGGGATCACAGGCATGCACCACCATGCCTGGCTAATTTTGTATTTTTAGTAGAGACGGGGTTTCTCCACATTGGTGAGGCTGGTCTCAAACTCCCAACCACAGGTGATCCGCCCACCTCGGCCTCCCAAAGTGCTGGGATTACTGCGCCCGGCCTCAAGTTGTGACATTCTAAACCACATTGTCTTACACCTCCAGGTTCCTTTCCATATTCATCCACCTTGCCTTCCACTGCTCTTTCCTGTGCCCAGCCTGATTTGACCTCATACTTGTACAAGCATTTTCATACTTCAACCTCAATTTACCCTCTGGAGCTGAAATTCAGTACTATTTTCTAAAGTTCTTGTTTTTCCTCTCAACTGTATTTCTTGTTTTCCCTTCTGCTTTTGGCCTCTCCCTGGAGAAGCCTGGCCTCCAGAAACTGTAGTGTTAGGCACCTCCGGCCTTATAAGCAGGACCTAGCTGTATGGCTAAATGAGAAGCAGGAAGGAGGAGAAGGGAGAGTTCCATGGGAAAGAATATGGAGGAGGGGTTGACACAGGCTCTGTAATAACACATTAGGGATTTGAGTCTTTATTTTATAGGAAAATCAGTGAGAACTCTGGGTTTCAAGTGATACAAAACCGATTCAAACTGACTTAAGTACAAAAGCAAATCTGTTGACTCCTGTAAGTCCAGGGTGGTTCTAGCTTAAAGTCCAGCTGAAATCAAGGGTTCACATAACGCCGCCCACCTCCATCTCCTGGGAGTTCTGCTGCTGTGTTGACTTTACTCTCAGGCAGGCTCTTTCCCACATGGGGGCAAGTTGAGCAGCATTAGCCAGAGGGTTACATTCTGCCTGGTTAATAATCTCAAGAAGGAGCTCTTCTTTGGACTTTCACTGGAGGACCATGAGTCACATGCACACCTGTTAACCAATCACTGTGCCAGGGAGATGAAATACACTAGACATCCCTGGGCTACGTGCATACCCTGGAGGGCAGGGGAGTGGAACCCTAAAACAAACTCAAAGTGCTGTTGCAGAAAGAAGCTGAAATGGAAGCTGGGTAGGCGGAAACAAGAGATGTCTACTAAAGAAAGAGGGCCAGTAATGGTATTAGAGCTGGTAATGAGAAGATCAGAATGTTGCTTTCAGATGATTAATCTGGAAGCAGGGTCCAGGATGGGCTTGGGGTTGGGGAAGTTTGGGATTAGGAAAACTGGTTAGGAGGCTACTCTATCATCCAGGTAAAAGACATGACAGTGAGAATGGGAAAGACAGGACAAGTGTAAGAAGTTACTTCAGAGGTAAATTAATTGTCAGCATCACTCGCACCAAGAAGGTATAAGGAAGAGGTATGAGGTCAGAGGAAAGTCACTCGGCTAATAAGAATGTGGGAGAATGCCTCTCTCAGAAGCCTAAGACCCACTCCCTCTAATGTAGTTGTGAGATATCCTACCTATTTATGATTATGTTCTTTCCCCGTGCAGGTAAACTACCGGTCTTAAAAATTACAGTCACTCCCCAGATCTCTTCAGATACCTTCAGATCAATTTGGAAAAATAGCAAGAAGTCTAACACTATGCATAAAAAGAAGAAAAAGGTAAGTTCTTGGACGTCTGTGTCAGTGAGGAGCAGCCACCAGGGAGTGCTGTGTGGAGCCTGGGCCCTTGGGGCAGACAGCACCATCAGCTGCAGGTTTTGCATTTGATTATATGAGAATTTAGGTTCTAGGTCACGCTCCCCTAAACCATCATTCCAATCTGATGGATGATGATTGAACCAAGAGACAAGTAAGTAAGAGAACAACAGTTTCCTCAAAGATTGGCACAGACTGGGCCTCCCCTCTTTAATTCCCACCCCTACCCAAATCCTAGTTGCTGCTAGCCTATTGTGGATCTGAAAAGATAAATTTACTTTTAAATTTACCTAAACTCTTTATGAAGGCTGTGCTACCTCTTAGGAGGTAATGCTTTATATATGTTTATTCTCTACTGTAAGAAGTTGAACTCCCTTTTTTCTATAATTTATGATTGCCTGTTTATTATTTCACAGACTAAAAACTGAATATAGGTGCTATATTTCCATATGGATGTCATCTATTTCCATGGCCAAGCAGATACACCCGGATAGATATTGCTTATTCTATAGTAATATTTTTCACTGTAACCAAGTCCCTTTGAAGTTCTCAAATTTGATGATTATTGTATGAAAGTTTAAAGTCATGTGATAATCCTGTCTTGTGATGATCCCATCACACTTGTCATTTTCTAAAATGTGGGTTTCACAAGTAGGCCTTAGTAAAAAAAGACGCAATTCTCTGAGGCTTCATCTCTCCTGCATATGAAATTTATAAGTTGAAGGAAATCATACTTTTATCTAAAAAAGAAAGAATCCTCTTTCATAAATATACCTATAGTTGGGAACAATAAGAATGCTTGGAAATAATAACCACTTCCTAAAAGACACCATCCCTAAAAATGAGGATCCTCCCTAAATGAGGAAACTTTTTTTTTTTTAAGACAGGGTCTTGCTCTGTTGCCCAGGCTGGAGTGCAGTGGCGCAGTCTTGGCTCACTGCAACCTCTGCCTCCTAGGTTCAAGTGATTCTCCTGCCTCAGCCTTCTGAGTAGCTGGGATTATAGGCGCGCACCACCATGCCCAGCTGATTTTTTGTATTATTAGTAGAGACAGGGTTTCACCATGTTGGCCAGGCTGGTGTCGAACTCCTGACCTCAGGTGATCCACCTGCCTTGGCCTCCCAAAGTGCTGGGATTACAGGCGTGAGCCACAGCTCCCAGCCAAATGAGGAAACTTTTAATTCCTCTGCCCCACCCTGAAGATGCCACATAGCCCCGTGAGAAATGGAAGAGGTGTGGTTGATTGATATACAGATGACAGTGGGTGAGTTGAGTTTTATATGCCACAACAATTATGGTGCAGGATGAAGAGCATGGCCTAGGCAGTTAGATGAACCAGAAGTCTCTATGGAGGAACTGCCGCTTTCCAGGTACTGAGCCTGGGCAAGTCAGTTCACCTCATGCTCCTCAGTTTCCTCTTATGTAAGACATAGTTAAGAGTAGCAGGGCTGGGTGCAATGGCTCATGCCTGTAATCCCAGCAATTTGGGAGGCTGAGACAAAAGGATCGCTTGAAGCCAGGACTTCAAGACCAGCCTGAGCAACATAGTGAGACCCCCTATCTCTACAAAAAATTTAAAAATTAGCCAGCTGTGGTGGCATGTGCCCGTAGGCCTCGCTATTTGAGAGGCTGAGGCAGGAGGATTGCTTAAGCCCAGGAGGATAACACTTCAGTGAGCTATAATTGCACCACTGCACTCCAGTCTGGGTGAGGAAGTGAGACCCTATCTCAAAAAAAAAAAAAAAAAGAGTAGCGCCTATCTCAATTGGTGAGCATTGAATGAGACCACACATGTCAAGCATTTTAGAACAATGAGAACAATGCCTTGTTCATATTATACACTCAAAAATAAATATGAGTGGCTCTTATTATTGCTGCTGTTATTGTGGATGTTAGAATTGAGTGGTGCCAGTTATTTCATCTATGACAACCACACAAGAAACATAGGAAAGAAATGAAAAAAAGAAGACTGAAGACCTCTTCACTTTGAAGTAAAAATAAAAAACGAAAACTTCATTCATTCTATCTACAAATTTAACAAGTGCTAGCAAGTTTCTGGAATCAAACTAACTGTAGGGTAAGAATGGTATAGTAAATTAGCTCCACTCTCCAGGGTCTTAGGATCTAGCTAAGAAGACAAGATCTTCGGCCAGGCACGGTGGCTCACGCCTGTAATCCCAGCATTTTGGGAGGCCGAGGCGGGTGGATCACCTGAGGTCAAGAGTTCAACACCATCCTGGCCAACATGGTGAATCCCTGTCCCTACTAATAATACAAAAATTAGCCAGGCGTGGTGGCACATGCCTGTAATACCAGCTACTCGGGAGGCTTAGGCAGGAGAATCACTTGAACCCGGGAGGCGGAAGTTGCAGTGAGCTGAGATCACGCCATTGCACTCCAGCCTGGGTGACTATAGCAAAACTCCGTCTCCAAAAAAAAAAAAAAAAAAGACAAGATTTTCTTGCATTAAAAGTGAACAACAATAAAGTATATGACTTGGAAAAATATGTGTCATTAAGCAGGATAAGAAAGGCCATAGAGTAACAAGATCAATGTAACAAATTTACCAGAACTGATGTATCCAATATGTGAGAGCTCCTGAGAACTGTTCCTGCTTAAAAGAAATGAAAATAGACTGGGTGGGCACCGTGGCTCACGCCTGTAATCCCAGCACTTTGGGAGGCCGAGGTGGGCCGATCACGAGGTCAGGAGATCGAGACCATCTTGGCCAACATGGTGAAACCCCATCTCTACTAAAAATACAAAAACTAGCTGGTCGTGGTGGCCCATGCCTGTAATCTCAGCTACTCAGGAGGCTGAGGCAGGAGAACAGCTTGAACCAGGGAGTTGGAAGTTGCAGTGAGCTGAGATCATGCCACTGCACTCCAGCCTGGCAAAAGAGTGAGACTCCGTCAAAAAAAAAAAAAAAAATGAAAATAAAAGTCAAAAAGACCTTTTTTGAAATTTGCCACACGTATCCACTGGGTAGGAGTGTAAAATCAGAATACCCCTTTAGCGGGTCTTTTGGCAGTGTTTATTAAAATGAAAAATACATAGCTTTTGACTCGGCCATTCTACTTTTAGAAATTTGTTTACTGTCACATGTGTGCAAGGAAATATGTATGAGGATGTTCACTGCAGCACTCTTTATTTTACGTGGGAAATAACTAAATTTTTCTCAAAGAGTTTCAGGGGAATAAATCACAGTAAATGTGTGTGGTAGAATACTATGCAGTCATTGAAAGAATAATGTGGATACATAAGTGCTTATATGGAAAAGTATCCAAGTAACACCATTTTTAAAAACAGGTGAGAGAATAGTATATGTGAAAAATTCATACAAAAATGAATTGACATAGTATAATCCAGCAATTTCACTTGTGTGTATACATCTAAAAGAATTGAATGTAGCGTCATTAAGAGATATTTGAACACCATGTTCAAAGCAGCATCATTTACAATAAATCAAAGGTGGAAGTAACCCAAATGTCCATGGAGAGATGACTGGATAAATTAAATGTGATATATACATAAAATGGAATATTACTCGGCCTTAAAAACGAAGGAAATTCTGACACATGCTACGACATGGATAAACCTTTAAGGATATTATGCTAAGTGAATAAGTCAGTCACAAAAAGACAAATACTGCATGCCTCCACTTAGATACTTACAGTAGTCAAAATCAGAGACAGAAAGTAGAATGGTGGTTGGGAGTACGTGTGAGGAGGGAGTTATTGTTTAATAGGTACAGAGTTTCAGTTTTGCAAGATGAAAAAGTTCTGGAGATTGTTTGCACAACACTGTGAACATACTAAACACTCCTGAACTGTACACTTAAAATGGTTAAGATGGTAAGTGTTACGCAAATTTTACCACAATTTAAAAAAATTTTAAATTGATGCATTGTGTGTCTGCTTGTGCATATACAGGAATTTCTGGAGAGTCTATTAATGGTACTTGGGTTTTTATTGTATTCCTGTTTCACTGTTTTTATCATTTGTGAGCTGTCAATTTTTAAAAACTTAAAATTGTTCAATAAATTATGATGAGCTTGTTAAACATCTGTAACAGCGCCCTTTGCTTGCTGTGTGACCTGGTGCCAAAAGTGTAGAAGAAGCACAGTAAATGCTGTGATTTCCTGGGAGGACATGAATATGTGGTGGCAAAGAGTGGCCAGTGAGAACAGAAAGATGAGTACATTTTTTCTAAGCACAGAGGGCAATCCAGCTGAAGAAGGTAGGGGAAGTTCTATCCAATTTCAGAGATGTTAACATGTGAGGAAAAGACCATCCATGGTACACTTGGATGACTGTGCAGACCAGTCTCACGAGGATCCTGCAGAGGGGTGCCGGGGATGGCCTTGACAGGTAGGTTGGGGCCATATTGTGGTGGGACTTAAATGAACAATCAGGACATTTAGATTTTGTTCTGATGATAATGTGGAGCTTTGGAACATTTTGAGCAGGAGAGTGTCAGGAGGTAGGAAAATTAACCAGGCATGTTAGATTGAATGGCAGTTAGACTGGGGAGGAAAGGCAGGGAAGAAGTCAATACACTGTAATCCAGAAGCAGGGTGATGAGGTTAAGCTCCACAATAGGAAATGGAAAGTTTGGTTGATTCTAGAAATTTCTAAAGAAAGAATGAACAGATAATTACGTATGAAGGGCGAGGAAGGGAAAGAGTCAACAGTGACCGTGGTTTCAGACCAGGACAGTTATACCTACGAGAGAATTACATCTCAGGCAGAGAAAGGGAATTGTTGAAAGAAAGCTAAATTTTGCAAGAAAGGAAATGAACTCCCTTTCACCTGTCAAGTTTGAAGCAACAATGAGCCATTCAAGCCGATGTCACCAATATCTAATAGAAAAAACTCAGCAAATTTCAAAAAAGAGACAAAAGCATACACACAGTGCTATACTCATCCGCACCTGCAGCTCAAGAAGATTCAATGTGGAGCAATTTTAGACAAATGGATTAAAATCAATCCCCAAAACTCTACTTTCTCAGGAAAGTCACCAGGTTTCTAAAGAAGGCATCATGAGATTTAGGCATGGGTTTTTCTATTTCATTTTTCATCTATTCTGAAATATTCTACATCACTTCTTTTTTTACATCCGAAATTGATTTACGTCACACAATTGATGATTGATGTCTACAATTAATGAAATATAATGTTGGGAGGATTTAAGGAATTCTCCAACAAAGGCTGATTGCCTTGGTCACATGTACGCTTTCAGTATGGGGTGTGTGTGTGTGTGTGTGTGTGTTGGGGGAGTGGGGTGGCAGGACTAATGATTTCCGGCCATAGCACCTTCACCTAAGACCAAGAGAGGCAAATGAACTGGAGGGTTCCATGTGACCAAAGAAGACCAGAAAATGCTCAGGGACCTATGGACATAAACACAATTATTTCCAAGAAAAAAGATGAGCCATAACTCTTGTCTGACAAGTGTGATGGAGAGCAGACTTGCTTAGAAGGACATTCCCAGGAGGAGGCAGCTTATACATTTCGGGCTAGCTTTGATCTCTAGCCTCTAGGAACAATTTTCTTGCTTTGTCATTATGGTTCCAAACATTGGTCCTTTTGGGGAAACTACTCCAGCTCAACAAGCAAATGTCATCAGGTTTGTTTTTGTTTTTATTTCTTTCCCTAGTACAGGAAAGAAGTCCAGAATATGCCACTATAGCATAAGGATTATTTTGAGCTAAAGGCATTTGAGAATCAGTGGATGCAGGAAGAGTTGTTTTATTTTATTTTAATTTTTTCCCTGAACTTACTTGCCTCTCAAAAGAATTCAACTGTCTTAAATTCCTTCCCAGCAATTTCAAAACCAGGGAAGATTGACCCTATCTTTAGAAACAGGAAGTTGGTACTGGGATAATAAATCACCTAATAGACTTTGTCACAAAACTATCATATCTCCCATCTATTCTCCCAAAGGCCTGTTTATCTTTTCTGAAAGTTTTTTCCCAGAAGTGCCCTTTCTCCTTCTCCCTTTCCTTTATTTAGACAGTATATAAGCCCCAAATTCTAATTGCTCCTTGAGTCATAATTTTCTGTGAACTCTGACTGCTTCAGTGAATAAAAATCTATCTTTTCTCCTGCTAAGCTGTGTTTTGTTGGTTTAATTTGCAATCCCCCGAATACTGAACCTAAGAGGGTAGAGTGAAAGTTTTACCTCCCTGGCAACAGGAAAACTTATTTTGTTAAAGATGAATGGCATAGAAGGGGGAAATGATGGTTGGAGTGAGGACCAAAGAAATAACAAAAATGTCCACTTGTACTGAGACAAGTTTTTCCTAAATATTTATTAGTTAGTCCTCAAATATTTTGCTTAAGAGAAGTCCTCAAAATGAAAGAAACTACGTCTTCAATGTACTGAGCAGAAGGAAAGGAGACTGTGCAGCTGAGGAAGCCAGGCCTGAAAAATAAGTGTGGGTTGTGTCACCACACACCAAGGACTGGTGAGAGGAACAATGCACAGTGGTGGAGTGGGAACTGAGCAGGCCATGAGAAGGACAGATATTTGTTTTGCTGCATTCAAGGCCACCTATAGTTCCTGCCCTTTGGGTGCTCATGATGGCAGACAAGCCCTCATGAAGGTGAACCAAAGGAAGGTAATCACAGGGGACCCGTTGGCCCCACCACGCCTGAACAGCTGCTGCAGCCTGAACTTTCTGCCTCACTCCTGCTTTCCTTTCTCCCCATGCATGCTTGCTTGTTGCACTGAACTCTGGCGCATCACTCATTCCTGTTCTTTTTGTCAGGAGAAAAAGTTCTCCTGACATGCAGTGTGTCAAAACTGTACTCATCTCCTCCACCTGCCTTCCCACTTCCCGCCCCTATGCTCCCTCCTGGCTTCTATTTTAAATTTCATTGCAGCAGACACCTCTCTCCAGATTTCATGCCTCAGCAAGGGCACATACCATTCCTCCAGCGAAACCATTCTTTTCCTTTTCACCATTTCATCCTTTTGACTTTCAAACTTCTCACCAACTGGGTGCGTTTTATCCTCCTCTGGTGCCAGCCTTCCTTCTTTGTTAGATACCTAGCATTTACAGCCATCTCTAGGCAGATGTGTGGTCGTTCAGTAAGAAGAGAACACATGTTTTGTGTGCTCACTCCAATGGGTGTCTGGCTTATAAAGTAGGTGTGGTCCAATTCCTGTCTGCTGCCACCATTGTGCCCTGCTCTGGCCAACAGCTCAGAGAGGTTTGCTCTCTCCACTGGCCCTGAAGACCTCCCATGTTCCCCCAGTTCAAACTTCACCTCTCTCATGAGGCTTTCCCTCACTGCATCCTCTACCTCTCTCATGAGGCTTTCCCTCACTGCATCCTCTACTCTCTCATGAGGCTTTCCCTCACTGCATCCTCTACCTCTCTCATGAGGCTTTCCCTCACTGCATCCTGTACCCTCACAGCCCTTAACACACCACTCAACAAATACGCATTTGCATCTAACCAAATGTGACCCTGTGTCCATATTTATGTTTCTGTATATTAATGCATTCTTGTTTCCCCTGCCAGGCTCCATTAGTCTGGTTAGCTTTTGCCCAGGTATCAGGAAATGAGGGGATGGGGAGAGGCTCAGAATCCAAACTTGACAGAGTAGCTGTCCACCACTAGGTGATGGTGGGGTCAGGCATCTCCTTAGGCTGGCTGTGCTTCTGTTTTCTTTTCAATGGAGATACCGGCTTTCTTGGAAACACATGTGATGGTGGGCTAGCCGTAGAAGCACTACTATAATAACGATGTGATCTTTGTCATTTCACTTCTTCAGACCTCATTAGTCCTACATATAAAAAGAGGAAGTTAAACTAGCTCAAATGTACTGAGCAGAAGGAATGGAGACTGTGCAGCTGAGGGAGCGGGGCCTGAAAAATAAGTGTGGGTTGTGTCGCCACACACCGGGACTCCTGGGATCCCGACCTCTTTTAGCGGTCAAAAGAGGGCAAACTAGTTGCCTAACAATATTTAGAGCTATTTCTCTCTTTTCACTCTCATTCTACGAGTGTACACCGGAGTTTCTAGCAACTACATGGTATGTGAAGTCATCCCTCTAATGATAACCTGTAATGAGGTTACTACTGTGATTTTTAATGAATACATTTTAAAATGTTTTAATTTCTTCAAAAGCAAACATTAATCTCTACATATGTGTGTATACATATACAGGAAATGTATGTATATATGAATATACATATATTCATTGTATATGTGTATATATATTCATACATAATATGTGTGTGTGTATATATATATATATTTACACATTTCCTACATAAATAAAAGTTCTTTAAGGTCCTAATAATTTTTAAGTGAAAAGGAGTCCTGGGACCAAAAAGTTTTGAGAATCACTGAACCAGATTTCTAGATCTTTAAGATCATTTATTCACTCAACAAATAATTGTGCCTCCTGTGGCCAGGCATTTTGCAGATACGGAGGATAATGTGGTGATAGCAACATGTTTCCTGCTCTGATAGAGTTTTACATTTGGGAGGGAAGAGACAAACGAATAAATTAACAAGATAATTTCTGAGAGCAGTAGGTTTAATGAAGCCGTAAAGCAGGACACATATCCCTGCACAATCTGTGCGCCTGCTCAGACGTAACACCCCGCAGCGCAGCAGGCAGATTCAGCGGCGTCGCCCCATAAGGGCCCGAGCCCTCTCAGTTGGCCTAGGACGGCGAGGGCGGGGCCTGCCCGCCCCCCTGGCGCTGGCGTCAGGTGACGTCACTGTGCCGCGCCAGCCAATCGTGGGCAGCCGGGGTCTAGGCACCACGGTGGCTGGCGGCCTGCGGGCGGCGCTGTGGCCCGTCGGGCGGCTCCACAGAGCCGCCCTAGCCTTCCGCCTTCCCCAAGCCAACGTCTCCGCCGTCGGCTCCGCGGCGCCGCCATGGCCGACGTGGAAGACGGAGAGGAAACCTGCGCCCTGGCCTCTCACTCCGGGAGCTCAGGCTCCAAGTCGGGAGGCGACAAGATGTTCTCCCTCAAGAAGTGGAACGCGGTGGCCATGTGGAGCTGGGACGTGGAGTGCGATACGTGCGCCATCTGCAGGGTCCAGGTGATGGGTAAGCGCTGCACGCGAGTCCAGGGCCGCCCTGCGGCCTCCGGGAGCCGACCTCGGGGTTGGGAAGGGACGGGCGTCCGTCAGAAGCCTCGGAAAGTGCCCTGCCTGGGAGAGTGGGTGGAGGTCGCCCTGCCCCGGCGCCGGAGGAACGCGGAGCCACGCTCCTGCTGCGGCTCCTGAGGGCTGCGGCCGCCGCCTGGGGCTGCGGGGTTGTGCAACAGGCGCCCTGCGCCGGGTGGTTGGTGTTCTAGGGAGAGAGACGGGCAATAAACGGAGTTAAACAAGGTAATTTCAGGTAGTGATGGGTGTGACCAAGAAAGTAAAACCGGGTGATTGTTGGGAACTAGCAGGAAACACTTCGGTTTGTGTGTCCAGCCCCAGCCCCACCTCTAAAAGCTCAACACAAGGTGGTCAGGGTAAAGGCCGTGATTCAGCAGTGAACTTTAATAGTCTTGGTCACCACCAAAGTGATGCTCCAGAGTCATCTTCCACAAAACGACACCCTTAGTTCTCCTCGAGGGACGCAGGAAAGTGTTCATAGCCATTGCATTTCCGGATTAGCTTACCGCCGCTCTTCGAATGGCTTTTAAATCTGGATTGATTTAAGACGGGTCAGATAGCACTAGCGTGGCTTGAAGGGAACAGTGTGGTTCAAGAATATCTAAGTTTCATGGAAGCTGAAGAATTGTAAGCCCTTTTTTCAGAAACGTAAAACTTCACCTCCATCACACCCCCCTCTCCATATTGGATGCCATTTCCTGGAGAAGATACTGTGCTGCTCTGAGTCATGCCTTTGTGGAGAACCCTCTTACAAATATGTCTTCTTTCTGTGATATTTTGAGTTAAAATATTAGACCAAGTGAAACTTTTCAGAACAGCTTAATCTTGTTATATTTTATATGGTTCTAAGAACTCAGACCACTTTGAAAAGCAGGTGCTATTTAAATGCAAGTTGTATTTTCAGATAGGGCATTTAAAATTACTATGAGACCCTCTTCAGTGGAATTCTTTATTGAGGGTAGTTAAAGAAAACGGACATTTCTATCGTTTGAAAACTGTGACTTGTCTTGAAAAATGAGAGAATTGGAGAACATACAGAGAATTGCTCACCTTAAGGGGGGTGAGACTGTAAACATACCAGAATCAAGAGATTTCGCAGTTTATGCTCTTTTGTCTTTTATTCCTAAGGGCTTGTTTCAAAGAGGATTTACAACAATTGGATTCAGATATTTTTATCTTTCTCTTTTGAAAGACCTTGATATTAGACATGACCCACTTATTTTACATGGATCACTTGAGCCCAGGAGTTTGAGACCAGCCTAGGCAACATCGCAGGACCCTGTCTGTACAATTAAAAATTAAAATAAAAAGCTGACCAGGCATGGTGGCCTCCAGCTACTCTGGAGGCTGAGGTGGGAGGATCCCTTGAGCCCAGGAGGTCGAGGCTACAGTGAGCCTTGTTCCTGCCACTGCCACTGCCACTATACTCCAGCTTGGGTGACAGAATGAGACCCTGTCTCAGCAACAAACAAACAAAACATATGAGGCTTTAAAAGTATCTAGTTTATTTGCCAGCAATACAGCTGCCCCTACCCCCACTTAGGAATCATAATTTCTAGTTTGGGAAGCATTTTTAACTGATCCAGGAGACTCTTTTTTTTTTTTTTTAAGACAAGTTTCGCTAAACATTTTATCTCCTAAATAAATTTCCTTTAGTTTAAAGGAAACTAAGCTTTCACTTAGTTCCTTTCCAGTTTAAAAATAATGTTCCCAAAGGGTATTTTCAAAAGATTTGTCTCCCAAAAAGCTATTTCCTCCCCAAAGGAAAAACATTTAAAGAGTAAGTGGAAATGTATAACCTGAAATAATGATTGAAACTTTGCAACAAATAAACTTTACTGAGAGATTTTAATGTAGGTCAAAGTATAGACTATAAATGACACATTTCATCATAAACTTTCTAATTATAGCAAGTATTCTGCTACTACAGGATCAGTCTTGCATATTTACAACAGCTGTACTTTGGGTTCAGGAAATTATTCTAGGCTAGACCTTTGTATTTTGTTTATGAGGTGTTAAAACCCACTTAGAGGTCAGGTGACAGCAGAAGGAAATTTTTTTTCCAGACTTCCTAGTCCTTACCCTAGCATCATTCTAAAAGGTGTTATTGTACTCCTTAGAAATGTGCTGTTTTAGATTCTAGGAAGATCATTAAAGCAATTTTTTATCTTTTATCTGAAACTTTAGGAATTTGTGTAGATTTGGGTCAGTTTTGATAATCTACATCAGAGCTATAAGTGTAATTTAGAGATTCCTAAATTCAGCAACAAGAACCCACTTAGTTCCCTTTCCTTAGTATTTGGAATTTGTCTCACACACTTGTGATTTATTATACTTTCTGCTCCCAAGACTTGCCTGTCAGCCCATTCTGATATGGATAACACTCTCTTCGTTTCCACTCTCCTCCCTTCATTCAGAAAGGAGTGATGATTACACAGTGAGCAAGTGCTGATGAAAAGGGGAATAGGTTTGCTAGTACAGCCAGTTATAATAGCCAGAGTAACCCTTCATGACTGTATCACCTTGGATATTTCACATAACTTTTTGGAGCCTT
Source organism: Homo sapiens (assembly GCF_000001405.40). NCBI lineage: Eukaryota > Metazoa > Chordata > Mammalia > Primates > Hominidae > Homo > Homo sapiens. The sequence continues at coordinate 141,741,130 of NC_000003.12, forward strand.
ATTTTCCTAATTTGTAAAGAGGCAGTTGGGATCACCAACCTTAATATTAAAATTCTGTGATTGCACAGAACTAGCGCCAGATTCAGGTAGGATGTCTTCACTGTTATATCACAACCCTCATGATATTTAGGTGTTTGTCTACGTCCCCATTTGCTCCTGAGCCCCTTGAGACCCAGCCTTGGTCATTTTGGTGTCCCCAGTGCATAACTCCTTGCACAGAGGAGATAGTAATTGTGGGATTGAAGAAAACCTCAGGAGGCAGTGGTTGTTTTTAATCCACACTGAAGAGACTAGGGCAGTGGTGTTTTTTTAAGGGTAAGAGCATGTGGAAAGGAGCAAACAAATGCCTGAGCAGAATCCAGTGTAAGAAGAGAAGCAGGCTTCAACTTAACCGTGTTTCTATTTTTACAGAATTATTTTTCTCCTATTTATGTTAAAAACTATTTTCTGTTGGTTCAAACTTCCTTTTACCCAACTCTGACTCCTCTTCCAGCTAGTGAATGAGTCCATTTTTGCTCCCTAAAATATTCTATATTACTTTTTTCATTAAGCTGATAGTATTCCAGATTGAATTTTGAAAACTTCTAGTACAGCCTTTAGGATCTCATTTTTAGTATTTACACCTACTCCACTATATTAGAAGTTACTATAAGCTCACTGGGCATGCTCATGGGCAGTTTATTTTCAAGGCACCCTTTTAAATAACCCATACATATAATGTTAGTATTTGTTTATATATACATCAAGAAATTCTAGAAGGATACCCAAGAAACCAGTAATAAAGTAATTTATTAAAAGACTTTACCATTGTTGGGTAAATACTTTGGGCTCAGACTTATCTGTATTTTCTTTCTTTCTTTTTTTTTTTAAAAAAACTTTTAGGTTCAGGGCTACAAGTACAGGGTTGTTACATAGATAAACTTGTGTCACAAGGGTTTGTTGCACAGATTATTTCATCACCCAGGTATTGAGCCTAGTACCCATTAGTTATTTTTCCTGATCCTCTCCACCTTCCACCCTCCAAAAGGCCCCAGTGTGTGTTGTTCCCTGCTATGTGGCCATGTGTTCTCATCATTTAGCTCTCAAGCATTTTCTTTTTTTTTTTTTTTTTTTTTGAGACGGAGTCTCGCTCTTTCGCCCAGGCTGGAGTGCAGTGGCGCTATCTCGGCTCACTGCAAGCTCTGCCTCCTGGGTTCACGCCATTCTCCTGCCTCAGCCTCCCGAGTAGCTGGGACTACAGGCGCCCACCACCACGCCCGGCTAATTTTTTGTATTTTTAGTAGAGACGGGGTTTCACCATGTTAGCCAGGATGGTCTCCATCTCCTGACCTCGTGATCCGCCCGCCTCAGCCTCCCAAAGTGCTGGGATTACAGGCGAGCATTTTCTTACAAAGAAAAAACCTTAGTGTTTAGGGATATCTAGTATTTACTTATTTTATCTGTAAAATTCTCACCAGTTTGTATCATCCCCACTTAATATATAAATACCTCACAGTATTGTCCCTTTTTTACAGATGAGGGAATTGGAGTTCGTAATTGGTCCGAGGCCCTGAACCTAATAAATGCCAGTGAAATGGGATTTGACTGTAGATCTGGCTCCACAGCCCTCGCTGTCCCCTCTGTCTCACTGGCTTCTCACCAGCCTTGTCTGGATGACCATCGGTAGCAACCTATTGGAAGCATACAAAGCAGTTTATTTTAGAGGAACTCTCAAGTGTCTTAGGGTAGAAAGTAAAAAGTTGCTTCTTATGAGTTGCTAAAGGAAGGCTTCTGTGTCAGTAAGTATGGATGACTTTAAAAAACTTGTTTATGAAGCAATTTTTTAATTTAATTTTTTATAAGTTATATATTCATATAGTTCAGAAATTGAGGAAGTTATGTATATTACCTGGAAGAGTGAAAACTCTCCTTCCCATTCCAAACCCTCCCAGTAAACTTTATTATTGGTTCCTTGGGTATCCTAGTGTTTCTTGATGTATGTATAAACAAATGCTAACATATATATATGGTTTATTTAAAGGGTGTCTTGAAAATAAACTGTCCATGAGCATGCCCAGTAAGCGTATGGTAACTTTGAATATAGTGGAGTATGGCATATTTTTCTCTAGTAGTTTTCTCTCTTGGCACCGTCAGGACATCTTTTCATCAGAGCTTATAAAAATAGAGGATTTGTTAACCCTTGTGAAATTGCTCCTGGTTATAATTAGTAGAATGCCTTGTACTTTATTCCTCTTTAAGTAGTTATGTTCAGATGAGAAATTAATAGTATGAGTCTTTATTGCCATCCCTAACCCTTAGGGCTTTTGACTTTGAAGTGTCTGGTTTTTAAAAATTGCATTCTGAGCATCAGAATGAGAATCGCTATTTGTTTACTTTTAGATGCCTGTCTTAGATGTCAAGCTGAAAACAAACAAGAGGACTGTGTTGGTATGTTGTAATTTTGTTCTCTTGCTTTTTCAACTGAAGGTTTTCTCTCAGTAGGGATGTTTGAATTTGAAATTAAGATTGACTTTATCAATACACAAAAATAAACTGTAAAGCAGTGATCCATTGTTAATATAAAATATGTTGGTTCTCAAAAGAGTTTAATGGAATGAACCTGCAAGTCCTTTTATTGCCATAATTAAGAAGAATTGGTTATATATTCCAGACATGGTCATAATAAACATTTTGGTAATCAAAAATTAAATATTTTCTATTAAGAAAATTATAAAATCAGAAATTTGTCAAAACATTATTTGAATTTTGGCTATGTTATAGGTCACTTTTGGTTCTAATAAGGCATTTCACTTTTCAATACTCTTATAATACAGTATTTAACTTTAAAACCAGAGTAGAAAAATTCTAAGTCTCAAGTATATTTTTGGAATGTGGTTTGTGTATCAAATTTTCTTTAGAGTCTTAGACTACAAAAGTTGTCGTAGGCTAAATATTTTAGGCAGTTCAAAGATTTTTATGCCCTAGTTCTTGAGGTGATCAAGTCTAGATTGCTATATAAACATGTTTATAGATTTTCTTAGAATAAAAGATTGGCTTTGTATTTTGTGTTTGCATGGTGTACGTAGAACACAAATACATGGTGTACATAGAACTTCTTAATATTGATTCTTGCAGTTTTGATCCAGTTCTTCCTCCTGAAACGCTTAGAATGTTTCACCCTTGCTTCCTACCCCCTGTAGCCAATTTTCATAGGCATTTTTTTCTTTTTTTCTGCCTTATTTCTTTCATTTAATCTTTTTCTCTGCCTTATTTCTTTCATTTAATCTTTTTCTCTTGTCATATAGCTCAGTTGATCAAGCAAGGGACAGATGAATCCCAAATTCGAGATTGCATTCTAGATTGTGGATGATTTCCCTTGTTTTAAAGTTTTTCTTTCATGCTGCTTGTTTAAAAAGTATTAATTTGGGAATTGTGAGGGGCAGGCCACTTTCTTTGATCACAGAGAGACCTCTCTCTCCAGCCAGCCACTTTGAAAATTTCATCGTCACATGAGGAATTGCACTGCTTATGGGTGACTTAACACAATTCATCACTTCTAGAAAACAGCTCAGCTCAGATGCACAACTGAATGTTTAGAAGCATGTTATTTATAATAGCCTACTGCATACTAAAAACATTTACAACTCATTCTGTCTTGGTAAATAAAAATTGGAAGGACATTTTCCCATAAAATAAAGCCCAGAAGATCTCTAAGGTCAGTGCATGACTGAGAAGGTCAGATCTAAGGAAGGTTCAAGAACATTCATCTAACTTCAAGAAGACAGCATGTGGAGCTGTGTAGGAACTAGGGGTCATCACATCACCCATAGATTCTAGAACAGTGATGGAAAGGCTCTCAAACAGTGACTTATGTCTCTGTGTAACTTACACATTTAAGTTTCTGTTTCTTTATAGATAGAAAAACATTATTTTGGCCAATTAACTATCTTTTTTCAAGATTATTATTTGTAATATAAAATAAGCTATAATTTTGAGTTCAGTGTTTAAATTGAAATATGTAATGTCAACTCTTCTTTTTCTTTCTTTCAGTGGTCTGGGGAGAATGTAATCATTCCTTCCACAACTGCTGCATGTCCCTGTGGGTGAAACAGAACAATCGCTGCCCTCTCTGCCAGCAGGACTGGGTGGTCCAAAGAATCGGCAAATGAGAGTGGTTAGAAGGCTTCTTAGCGCAGTTGTTCAGAGCCCTGGTGGATCTTGTAATCCAGTGCCCTACAAAGGCTAGAACACTACAGGGGATGAATTCTTCAAATAGGAGCCGATGGATCTGTGGTCCTTTGGGACTCATCAAAGCCTTGGTTTAGCATTTTGTCAGTTTTATCTTCAGAAATTCTCTGCGATTAAGAAGATAATTTATTAAAGGTGGTCCTTCCTACCTCTGTGGTGTGTGTCGCGCACACAGCTTAGAAGTGCTATAAAAAAGGAAAGAGCTCCAAATTGAATCACCTTTATAATTTACCCATTTCTATACAACAGGCAGTGGAAGCAGTTTCAGAGAACTTTTTGCATGCTTATGGTTGATCAGTTAAAAAAGAATGTTACAGTAACAAATAAAGTGCAGTTTAAAACCCAACTCTTACTCTTAATTTGTTCCTAATACGTATTTTTGGCAGGGAGAGGGAACGGTCCATGAAATCTTTATGTGATATAAGGATTTTAAGTTTGGGCCAGTGAACAGGGTAAATAAAATTTAACTTTTGAGCATATGGAATTTTGATTGCCTTTAAAGTTACTATTCTGTATCATTGATTCATCAAGAAAACCTAGATCTGCACTCACCTCACTGTTCAATCATTGAGTGGTAAAGGACAGAAGTATTTTCTAGTTCTGGTCAGATGATATAATTTTTTTTTTTTTTTTTTGTGGGGGTGAAGTCTTGCTCTGCCACCCAGGCTGGAGTGCAGTGGCATGATGTCAACTCACTGCAACCTCCGCCTCCCGGGTTCAAGTGATTCTCCTGCCTCAGCCTCCCGAGTAGCTGGGATTACAGGTGTGTGCCACCACACCCGGCTAATTTTTGTATTTTTAGTAGAGACGGGATTTCCCCATGTTGGCCAGGCTGGTCTCAAACTCCTGACCTCAGGTGATTCGCCCACCTCAGCCTCCCAAAGTGCTGGGATTACAGGTGTGGGCCACTGCACCTGGCCCAGATGATATAATTTAACTGTGTTTTAGGTAACATGTTAATGAGGGAAAATGTTTACCAGTGTAGCATTGGATCAAAAAGTTTATCACACAGTGTTTTAATAAATGGTTTATTCTGCTTACCTTATTTGAATTGTCATTATAATTTTATATGCAACCTTAATTTGTCAAGTAAATACTTTCATTTAATTTGAAAGAATTCATATTCATTTGCTCTTTCATTTGACAATAATAAAATTTAAGGTTTATTACCTGGAAAGAGTGCAAGAAAATACTAAACAACTTTATCAAACTGATTCACACTGAGGGGAGGTTATTTTGTAACAAATAATGGACCACAAGTTCATTTTGTATTCTTCTGTAGTAGAGGCTACTGATATGAATTTAAGAAAAAACCTTAGAATCTTAACTTTTCACATCTGCAGATGCAGTGTGCCATTCTGAATTTTTCAATCTAAGGGATGTGGATACATAGAATGTTTAAAAAGATAACAATTAGAATGAAAAATTAAAATTATGTATGCTTTTATATGGGTTACTTTTTATTGATCACATTTCTCTGGAAATTTTTCTTTATATTTTTTCACAGTTGTCTTTCTAGCTACTGAAAAAATTATACAAATATCTTTGGCCATTTAAATGTTTATCATTGTGCAGTGAACTGTTTTAGTAACTTTCTGTTTGACCTTTTTAGAAGGTTGCATCCTTAAAATGTGAACCAGATACATGGCTTTGCATTGAAGAGGAAAGCAGTAGAATGTCAGGTTACTTTAGGCAGTGTGACAGTATATAAATGAAATGTGGAGGATGGTGGTAACAATTTGATTTTCCACACAGCAAAACCACAGTCCCGCCACCTAACAAAGCCCTGTTTATGCCACACACCAGCATCTGAGGGAAGAGGAGGCACTGTGACAAAGCAGCGCTGATGCTGCTCAGCCTGCGATGATTACAGCTCATCTGCACAGCCATCTGAAAGTTTAATACATACTCATCAGAGGGAACATGCCGGGACAATTTTGGGTTCCAATACAAAAGTTAAGCATCAAACAGGTTTTTCTTTCCATTTGATTAAATGTGCTGATTTTATTTTACTGTTGCATTAGAAACAAACAAGTTATCTTTCGCTATTTAATTTTCCCTCTATGCAAATTGTGTTATTACAGCTGACCGCTATCAGTAAATCTTAATTCTGTCAGTCCCATTGCTTCCTTTTTTATAAAAATACTGTGTCCCCCTTTACTGTCATGAAGTGAAATTCATAAATATATTTCCTACACATATAATTTAAATGTATGTAATTGTTATATGACAGAACTAAAAAGAACTTGTAATTCAGTTGTATTTCAATATAGAAATGCTTGGACATGGATGGGCACGTTGGCTCACGCTGTAATCCAAGCACTTTGGGAGGCCAAGGTGGGTGGATTGCCTGAGGTCAGGTGTTCGAGACCAGCCTAGCCAACACGGTGAAGTCCTGTCTCTAACAAAAATTGGCCGGGTGTGGTAGCAGGTGCCTGTAATCCCAGCTACTCGGGAGGCTGAGGCAGTAGAATCGCTTGAACCCACGAGGCAGAGATTGCAGTGAGCCGAGATCGCACCACTGCACTCCAGCCTGGGCAATGAGCGAAACTCTGTCTCAAAAAAAAAAAAAGAAATACGAAAAAGCAGCACTTTGCTGCTTTTTAAGTTATTGCCATGGAGCCAGGCATGGTGGTGCACACACTAGTCTCAGCTACTCTGAAGGCTGAGGCGGGAGGATTGCTTGAGCCTAGAAGTTTGAGGCTGCAGTATACAGATCATGCCTGTAAATAGCCACCACACTTCAACCTGGGCAACATGGCAAGACCCTGTCTCCAAAATAAATAAATAAGTAAAAGTTATTGCCACGGGTAGTTTGGAGTAATGAACGTTTTATGCTCTGCAATGAAAAGGAGAAAATTTCAGTGTTTAGTAAGCCCTTGTTTGTATTTATTGTTTTTTCGAGACAGAGTTTCACTCTTGTTGCCCAGGCTGGAATGCAGTGGCGCAATCTTGGCTCACTGCAACCTCCACCTCCCGGGTTCAAGAGATTCTCCTGCCTCAGCCTCCTGAGTAGCTGGGATTACAGGCATGCACCACCATGCCCAGCTAATTTTTTGTATTTAGTAGAGACAGGGTTTCACCCTATTGGTTAGGCTGGTTTTGAACTCCTGACCTCAGGTAATCCACCTGCCTCAGCCTCCCAAAGTGCTAGAATTACAGGCGTGAGCCATCACACTGGGCCAGCCCTTGTTTTTTAAAAAAGCATTTAAAGAATAAAATATTACTGATTTGGCTATAAGGAAAATTAGAATTAAAGTACAAATATATTTTAAATTTTAATCTATTTTGTATTGAACATTTGAATAGTACAACAAAATACTGAAAAATGTTTGCATGGAAGTTCCTGTTTTCCATCTTTAAGTCATTCCATTTCTGCCATCATTAGGTTTTGTTCAGCAAAATATATCTTACAGGGAAAGTATTTTCTTTGCATTTTAATACTCTCACTTAGTGGCAGTACAGCCAGGATACCTGGATTTGAATCCTAGCTCCACCATTTATTTGTGTGATTTTAGGCAAGTTACTTCACCTCTCCATACCTCAATTTCTTCATGTGCAAGGTAGATAATAATAACAATATAATAATTCTTGGCCAGGCGTGGTGGCTCATGCCTGTAATCCCAGCACTTTGGGAGGCCAAGGCAGGAGGATTGCTTGAGCCCAGGAGTTTGAGACCAGCCTGGGCAACATAGTGAGACCTCGTCTCTACAGAAAATAAAAACAAAATTAGTGGAATGGTGGTGTGCACCTGTAATTCTAGCTACTCAGAAGGCTGAGGTGGGAGGATCGCTTAAGCCCAGGAGGTCAAGGCTGCAGTGAGCCGTGATCACACCACTGTACTCCATCCTGGGTGACAGAGCAAGACCCTGTCTCAAATAATAATACTTACTTCTTTAGTTTTTTGGGGGGATTGAGGACTAACTATATAAATTTAGAACAGTATCTAGCACATGGTTAAGTGCAACTGTTATTGTTTCATTGTAGTCATTTTTAGAAGCATTTTTAATAGAAGTGTTACTTTAAAAATAATGTTTTCAGTTATGAAATAAAACACTCCTATTCTCAATAAAAATTGTACAAGAAAAAGTTAATTGTGAACGTGATTAGATTACTTGTAGCACTGTGAGTTTTTGTGAATAATGGTAGTAAGGCCTCAATAACTTGCCTGTTATGTTTTTCTAATCACTCAACATTATTTTCAGATTTTATTTTTAAATTTTTATTTTATATTTTTTATGACAGGGTCTCTCTCTGTCTCCAAAGTTGGGGTGCAATGGCATGATCACAGCTCACTGCAGCCTCAACTTCCCAGGCTCAAGCAATCCTCCCACCTCAGCCTCCCGAGTAGCTGGGACCACAGTTGCACACTACTACACCCAGCTAATTTTTTATTTTTTTTGTAGAGATGGGGTTTCCCTGTGTTGCCCAGGCTGGAGTTGAACTCCTGAGTCCTCAAGCGATTTTCCCGCCTCGGCCTCCTGAAGTGCTGGGATTACAGGCATGAGCCACCATACCCAGCCAAGATTTTATATTAAGAAAAGGTTTTGGTGAGGTCTCATTTTAATTTTAGGTTTTCCATCTTGGTAGAAATATCTTGCAGTGAGCCGAGATCGCGCCACTGCACTCCAGCCTGGGCGACAGAGCGAGACTCCGTCTCAAAAAAAAAAAAAGAAATATGAATATAAAAATAAATTTTTTGCCTAGTTGATTTTGGGAATCTTCATATGCTTAGAAAATTAACCTTTTTCTATTAGGCTGGTGCAAAAGTAATTGCGGTTTTTTTGCCATTAAAAGTAATGGCATAAACCATTACTTCTATTAATAAAACCCTCAATTTTCATTTTCATAGCCTTTCAGAATGGGAGTAAGCTTTGCAATCAACCTGCTCCTTCATCTTATCTGTACACTTGATAAATCTGATTCAGTGGTTGGAACGGAATCTGCTTTTCCTGTATTGGTTACAAGCAAGCACTTTGCCTGGGTGAGTGTAGCTGCAGTATAGCATAGAATTAAGACTACAGTTTCATAGTCAGCGCAGCTTGAAATGTTGGCTCTATCATTTACTAGCTGTGTGATCTTGCACAAAATCCTTAACTTCTCTGTGCCTGTTTCCTCAACTAAAATGGTATAACATTGTTATCTACCTCATGGAGTTGTTATGAAGATTAAATAAATGCATTTTAACTGCAAGAACAGTGCTTGACACAGTAAGCACTCAACAAATGTCAGCCATTATTATTGATCACTACTGATGCTGGTAATCTCTTTGCCTTAATTATAGAATTGCTTTTAAGAAAGGAATATTGTTTGCAGAGATACTTCTTGTAAGACTTATGATGTGTGTGTGCAGCTACAACCTGTAAAAAAATTGCCAGCATGAGTCTTCAGGAGAGTGGTTTATAACCTTTTTTTTTTTTTTTTAACTACCCTAACACATTCCCATCAGCAACAATAGGTTCTCCCACAGTGGTTCCCAAAGAAGTGTGTGTGTACCAAGCAGGGCAGGGAATAGAGTTAGAGAAAACTGCTCAAGGGAGTGCAGTGGCACACACCTGCAGTCTCAGCTATTTGGGAGGCTGAGGCAGGAGGATTGCTTGAGGCCAGGAGTTTAAGGCTGTAGTGTGTGATGGCCATGCCTGTGAATAGCTACTGCACTCCAGGCTGGGCAACACAGCGAGACTCCATCTCAAAACAAAACAAAAAGAAAAAACTGCCCAGATGAAAATCTTGCTCAAAAACTCTTTAAACTATTTCAGCACAGGTGAAATGTTCTATGCCATTTGCATTTTATCTGAGCCTCTAAGGAGATGCCTACCAACTATGTAAATTTATTGGGACTTAAACTCTATAGTAGTCATTCTTATACCTTCATTGTAAATTAACCTCTGCCATACTAACTCTAGCTCTGCTTTTTCTACTTTTACAGAAACTATACATTTTTAATATTATATATTTATAATAAAAGTTTATTGCATGCCTGCTATATATGGGGCTTCACCATTATGACAAAGAATTTTAATAAAAAGTCTTCTCTCTTCAGAGACTACAGGGTCTGTTAGGGAATATTAGCTTTACAACAGAATTGTAAAGTTTAAAGTGTTGAACCTTCTAAGAGAAGTAGAAGAGAGAAACCATATTCTACTACAGCATTACACCATATGTGACTACAAGAACCATTTCTCATGTGGATTATAAAAATCTGTTTCTATTGTATGTAACAACATGTGGTAAGTGGTATGTGTGGGGTATGGGGGGTCTGCCCACTGACAAAAAGACCCTATTAAGGAAGAAAATAACATAATCATTTATTTATGTGTATAGATCTGTGTTGTCTAATAGTATAGCTACTAGCCACATGTAGCTATGTAAAATTTAATTAATTACAATGAAATTTAAAATTCAGTCCCATGGTTATACTAGCCACATTTCAAAGGCTCAGTAGTCACATATGGATAGTGGCTTCCATATTGGATATTACAGAACAGAATATTCCCTTCAGTGAAGAAAATTCTATTGGACAGCACAATGTCGATGATCCATTCTATTTTCTCAGAATTTCAGAATCATGGACACCTCAGTGATATATCAAAATCTGTTTTAAGTGACCTTCTGCATACCTTCAAAAGATTATCTTAAAACTAGGATGTTGAACATGTGCCTTACTTTACTAACTACATCTTATCCTTAACAAAAAGGAAAGTAGTATATGTTTTTAAATCTTTAGCTGCCAAATTCACTGGACCTGGAGAAAAAAAATACAAAGATTCCAAATTATATGAAAAACCTCAGTGTTTACTATAAAAAGGGATTGTTGACATAGTTTCCCATTCTTTAGGTTTTGTAAGAATTTCTTAAGTTTGCAAAATGACAATATTTTAAGCTATAAATTCATGTAGCTGCTTTTGTGTCTTTAATAGATGTATAGCATTGGTTCTCAACCAGGGGTGATTTTACCTCACAGAGGACATTTGGCGATGTCTGGAGACATTTGTGGATGTCCACAACGTAGTGGAGGTGCTACCAGGATCTAGTGGGTAGAGGCCAGGGATGCTGCTAAACGTCCACAAGGCATAGGACAGCCCCACAACAAAGAACTGTCAGGCCCCAAAATGTCATCAGCAGTGAGGTTGAGAAGTCCTGATTAATAATAACTTATATACATTTTGATAATATTTTGGGGAAGTTAGAATTCCCTACTAGAAATTTGCTAAAATATGGCCATTGATAATAATCAAACTTGTATAGCCCTTATTATGCATCAAACTCTTTTCTAAGAGCTTTATGTATATTAACTCACTTAATCTTTGCAAAAACCCTTCCTATTATTATCAACTCTTTCTACAGGTAAAGCAATGTAGGCACCAAGAGGTTACATAACCTGCTGCCATGGACCAAATTGTGTCTTCCCAAAACTCAGATGTCAAAGTCCTAACCCCCAATGTGATTATATTTTGAGGCAGTTGGTGGCTTTATAGGAAGAGGATGAGAGGGATATCTCTCTTTTCATGAATGTACCCAAGAAAACTATGTAGGGACACAGTGAGAAGGCAGCTATCTGCCATCCCAGGAGAGAGCACTCCCCAGCCATCAACCCTGCTGGCACCTTGATGTTAGACTTGCCAGCCTCCCAAATTGTGAGAAAATACATTTCTGTTGTTTCAGCCACAAAACCCAGTCTATGGCATTTTGTTTGGCAGCCCAAGCTGACTAATACCTGCCTAAGATGACACTGGTGGAAGGAAAATGGTCCGAATGCAGGCAGTCTGGCTCTGGAATCCACATTCTTCACTACTTGCTTAACACTGTCTCAGTAAAATACCTTCTCTGAACCTATTTTCCTCCAAAATTGCTTTTTTAAAGTTTGTTCACATATTTTGGTTTTTAGTTCTGTAAAGCTACAAACAAACTTCATTTATAGAGATATTTTAGAGCTGTATATTCTGTTTTCAACTCTTGGCCAAACCATTTCGTGGTGTTCTATACAATTTTATGGTGTTTTAGTACAGTGGTTCCCCAATTTTTTTGGCACCAGGGACAGATTTCATGGAAGACAATTTTTCCACAGTGGGGTGGAAGATGGTTTTGGGATGAAACTGTTCCACCTCAGATCCTCAGGCATTAGTTAGATTCTCATAAGGAGCGCCCAACCTAGATCCCTCACATGCACAGTTCACAATAGGGTTGGCGCTCCCATGAGAATCTCATGCTGCTGCTGACCTGACAGGAGGCAGAGCTCAGGCAGTACTGCTTGCTCGCTGCTCCCCTCCTGCTGTGCAGCCCAGTTCCTAACAGGCCAGGGACTGGTACTAGTCCATGGCCCAGGCACTGGGGACCCCTGTTTTATTATACTGCTGTCATATCTGATCTAAATGCAAATGTTCATATGCTAAAAAGGGAATTTATGTTTGTTTTAAAACACTAAGAGCATATGAAGATATCATTGGTAAAAAATACTATATTAACATAATTGGTACAGTTTTCATAAATGCTAAAACAATATTGGAGCAGATTATTACTAACATTTATCAATAGTTTCAAATTTGGTTCCAAGAACAGATAATGTGGTGAAAGTGTTAAGCCCTTCTGCTCATGCAGAAGTATAATGATGTCTCAATACTGGGGTTCCTTGAAAAATCAATTATGTCTTTGATAAAGCCAGGTTTAATAAAGAGATAATGGTGCATAATATAAGCAGTTAATTTTGTGTTTAGTATGGTATCTTCTTTCAAACACTAGTGAATCAGCTGGCAATACACTTGGCAACAAATATCAGAAAACTGCTGCTGCTTAAACAGATAAGGGTGTCACTGTCCTGCACAATAAGAAGTCCAGGGGTAGGAAGTCCAGGGCTGGTACAGCAGGTCAGTGGTGCCATCAGAAACTAGGCTTTCTGCTGTCTGCTCTTGACCATGTCAGAGTGATGGCTCATTCTCCTGCCCTCTCTCTCATGTTCCCAAGATGAATGCTGTATTTTCAGACAGGCCTCATATTTATGTTCTTGGGAAAAAGGATTTTTTTTTTCTTTAGCAAGACATTGACTTGTACTCGGTGAAGGGCTCCCCTCACCACTGTCTTTTTTTTTTTTTTTTTTTTGAGACAGGGTCTCACTCTGTCACCCAGGCAGGAGTGCAGTGGTGCAATCTCTGCTCACTGCAACCTCCACCTCTACCTCCTGGGTTCGAGCGATTCTTGTGCCTCAGCCTCCTGAATAACTGGGATTACAGGTGCATGCCTCCCCGGTGTCTTTAGTCTGTAGTTCACTGGCCAGAATTATGTCACCTGGGAAAAATCAGAGATGAAGCTTTTGGTTTTCCAGCTTTCACAGTAAAGGAAGAAAAGGAAAAGAACAATTGGGAATGGATGTTGAATGACTCAACATAGATTATCAGCCACAATTGATATTAACAATTAACAATTGCTGATACTTGGGTAGTTGCTGCTACATATACTTTCTTTTCAGAGCCTCTTAGAATTGGAATCTTAGAGATTATTTTATCTCTGATATGACATCTTCATGTTTATATTTTTTAATATGCCAACTTATAAAGCAAAGTTTTTTTAAATAGGCTTTTAAATGGACATATCCTTTATGACACAAATTTGGATAGTCCTTAAATAAAAGTATACATCTCAAAATATAACTACGTATGGAAAAAATATGATGTTACATAAGCTGTAACACCACTTTCAGGTATTTTCTAAACTCGAATTTTATGCCAAGGTTCTAGAGAGTACCTGTTCTCTGTATTTTGAAACTCTGAATAGAAATAGCATGTGGTGGCTTTTACAAATAAAATGGTTGCTTCTATACTTGTCCTGACAAATTTAAACTGTTTGGAAAGCTCTAAATCCAATGTTCTTAGCCAGGTGTGGTGGCTTACACCTATAATCCTAGCTACTCAGGAGGCTCTGGTGGAAGGATCACTTGAGGCCAGGAGTTTGAGACAAGCCTGGGCAACATAGGGAGACCCTGTCCCCACCTCTAAAAATGAATGAATGAATGAATGAATCTAATGCTCTTACCCAGCAATTTTATTTCTATGACTGCTGCCTCAATGTCTCTACAACATTTAGCTTCTCTTAAGAATGTGGTCGGTCAACAGAATACTGCCTGAGAGGGCCATATCCTCAACAAGATTTATTAAAGAGGTGGATATTGGGCAAAAGAATTGAAAAGATGTTTCACAAAAGAAGAAGTCTAAATAGTCAGTTGGCACCTGAAAATGTGCCCATTATGCCTCATCAGAAAATCAAATTAAAATCACAATGAAACACCACTATATACCACCCTAGAATAGCTCAAATTAAATAGACTGATAACACTAAGTCTTGATGAACATGTAGAGGAATTGGAACTCTTTCATTCATTGCTAGCAGGAATGAAATATGGAATAACCACTTTGGAAAACAGGCAGTTATTTTTAAAAGTTAAATATATACTTACCCTATGATCTCTTCTACCCTATCATCTAAGGTATTTGCTCAAGAAAAATGAAAATATGCATCCACACAAAGACTTACAAAACAATATTCAAAGCTGCTTTTTAAAATGTTCATATTTATAATAATATCCCCAACCTGGAAACAACCCAAATGTTCATCAACAGAATAATGATATATTCATAGAATGGAACACTACTCAGCAGTTTAAAAAAAAAAAAAAAAAAGATGGCAAGCACAGTGGCTCACACCTGTAATCCCAAGCACTTTGCGAGGCCGAGGTGAGCAGATCACTTGAGGTCAGGGGTTCAAGACCAGCCCAGCTAACGTGGTAAAACCTCGTCTGTACTAAAAATACAAAAATTAGCCAGGTGTGGTGGTGCATGCCTGTGATCCTAGCTACTCAGGAGGCTAAGGCAAGAGAATCGCTTGAACCCAGGAGGTGGAGGTTGCAGTGAGCTGAGATCGTGCTACTGCACTCCAGCCTGGGCGACAGAGTAAGACTCCATCTCAAAAAGAAAAAAAAAGGTGGGGGGGTGAAAACAACTGATGCAGGCGACAGCCTGGCTGAATCTTTATAATCTTTAGATTATGTTGAGCAAAAGAATTCAGGCACAAAAGACTACTTAACTGTATGATTCTGCTGTCATGAAGTTTGAGAACAGGTAAAATCTATAGGGATCAAAATCAGAATGATTGTCTCTCAGCGAGGGGTATTGACTGGAAAAGGGCATGGGAAACTTTCAGCAGTGAGGGAAATGTTCCCTCTCTTGATCTGAGTGATGATTACCTGAAAGTATACATTTTATAAAACTCATTAACTGCACATGTAGGATGTATACATTTTACTCTATGTAAAACCTGAATTTTTTTTAAAAAAGAAAGAGATGGCTATTATTATTGAAGACCATAACCAACACCCTTTTACATTTGCTACTAAATGGAAAATAAAAGAAAATGCATTAATGGTGTTCCATTTGTCTTATTGTTCAACTCTTCAAGAAATCATTCAAATCAAAATAATTGTTTTTCTCATCTTGTTCTGGTCCCCTGTGGAGGTAACCTGAGAAAGCTCCTTGGAGTTCATTAGAAGGGCCACACTTTCAAGAAGTTTCTCAAAACTCAGAAGAAAAAAGTAATGGAAGAAGTGATTTTTTTAAGGGAAAATGTTTTATTAATTCCATCTCTCTTCTAGAATATTTTTCAGGGTTTTAAATGTGCAAAATCTTGGAGCTACCCCCAATTATAAGACGAAAATTTTAGTGTAGCCTGAAATTCCTCACTGAACTCTGAACTCCCACTTTTCTGACAATACGCTTAGATCTTCTTCTTTTTTTTTTTTTTTTTCTTTTTTTTTTTTTTATTATACTTTAAGTTTTAGGGTACATGTGCACATTGCGCAGGTTAGTTACATATGTATACATGTGCCATGCTGGTGCGCTGCACCCACTAACTCGTCATGTAGCCTTAGGTATATCTATCTCCCAATGCTATCCCTCCCCGCTCCCCCCACCCCACCACAGTCCCCAGAGTGTGATATTCCCCTTCATGTGTCCATGTGATCTCATTGTTCAATTCCCACCTATGAGTGAGAATATGCGGTGTTTGGTTTTTTGTTCTTGCGATAGTTTACTGAGAATGATGATTTCCAATTTCATCCATGTCCCTACAAAGGACATGAACTCATCATTTTTTATGGCTGCATAGTATTCCATGGTGTATATGTGCCACATTTTCTTAATCCAGTCTATCATTGTTGGACATTTGGGTTGGTTCCAAGTCTTTGCTATTGTGAATAATGCCGCAATAAACATACGTGTGCATGTGTCTTTATAGCAGCATGATTTATAGTCATTTGGGTGTATACCCAGTAATGGGATGGCTGGGTCAAATGGTATTTCTAGTTCTAGATCCCTGAGGAATCGCCACACTGACTTCCACAATGGTTGAACTAGTTTACAGTCCCACCAACAGTGTAAAAGTGTTCCTATTTCTCCACATCCTCTCCAGCACCTGTTGTTTCCTGACTTTTTAATGATTGCCATTCTAACTGGTGTGAGATGATATCTCATAGTGGTTTTGATTTGCATTTCTCTGATGGCCAGTGATGATGAGCATTTTTTCATGTGTTTTTTGGCTGCATAAATGTCTTCTTTTGAGAAGTGTCTGTTCATATCCTTCGCCCACTTTTTGATGGGGTTGTTTGTTTTTTTCTTGTAAATTTGTTTGAGTTCATTGTAGATTCTGGATATTAGCCCTTTGTCAGATGAGTAGGTTGCGAAAATTTTCTCCCATGTTGTAGGTTGCCTGTTCACTCTGATAGTAGTTTCTTTTGCTGTGCAGAAGCTCTTTAGTTTAATTAGATCCCATTTGTCAATTTTGGCTTTTGTTGCCATTGCTTTTGGTGTTTTGGACATGAAGTCCTTGCCCATGCCTATGTCCTGAATGGTAATGCCTAGGTTTTCTTCTAGGGTTTTTATGGTTTTAGGTCTAACGTTTAAATCTTTAATCCATCTTGAATTGATTTTTGTATAAGGTGTAAGGAAGGGATCCAGTTTCAGCTTTCTACATATGGCTAGCCAGTTTTCCCAGCACCATTTATTAAATAGGGAATCCTTTCCCCATTGCTTGTTTTTCTCAGGTTTGTCAAAGTTCAGATAGTTGTAGGTATGCGGCGTTATTTCTGAGGGCTCTGTTCTGTTCCATTGATCTATATCTCTGTTTTGGTACCAGTACCATGCTGTTTTGGTTACTGTAGCCTTGTAGTATAGTTTGAAGTCAGGTAGTGTGATGCCTCCAGCTTTGTTCTTTTGGCTTAGGATTGACTTGGCGATGCGGGCTCTTTTTTGGTTCCATATGAACTTTAAAGTAGTTTTTTCCAATTCTGTGAAGAAAGTCATTGGTAGCTTGATGGGGATGGCATTGAATCTGTAAATTACCTTGGGCAGTATGGCCATTTTCACGATATTGATTCTTCCAACCCATGAGCATGGAATGTTCTTCCATTTGTTTGTATCCTCTTTTATTTCCTTGAGCAGTGGTTTGTAATTCTCCTTGAAGAGGTCCTTCACATCCCTTGTAAGTTGGATTCCTAAGTATTTTATTCTCTTTGAAGCAATTGTGAATGGGAGTTCACTCATGATTTGGCTCTCTGTTTGTCTGTTGTTGGTGTATAAGAATGCTTGTGATTTTTGTACATTGATTTTGTATCCTGAGACTTTGCTGAAGTTGCTTATCAGCTTAAGGAGATTTTGGGCTGAGACAATGGGGTTTTCTAGATAAACAATCATGTCGTCTGCAAACAGGGACAATTTGACTTCCTCTTTTCCTAACTGAATACCCTTTATTTCCTTCTCCTGCCTGATTGCCCTGGCCAGAACTTCCAACACTATGTTGAATAGGAGCGGTGAGAGAGGGCATCCCTGTCTTGTGCCAGTTTTCAAAGGGAATGCTTCCAGTTTTTGCCCATTCAGTATGATATTGGCTGTGGGTCTGTCATAGACAGCTCTTATTATTTTGAAATACGTCCCATCAATACCTAATTTATTGAGAGTTTTTAGCATGAAGGGTTGTTGAATTTTGTCAAAGGCTTTTTCTGCATCTATTGAGATAATCATGTGGTTTTTGTCTTTGGCTCTGTTTATATGCTGGATTACATTTATTGATTTGCGTATATTGAACCATCCTTGCATCCCAGGGATGAAGCCCACTTGATCATGGTGGATAAGCTTTTTGATGTGCTGCTGGATTTGGTTTGCCAGTATTTTATTGAGGATTTTTGCATCAATGTTCATCAAGGATATTGGTCTAAAATTCTCTTTTTTGGTTGTGTCTCTGCCCGGCTTTGGTATCAGAATGATGCTGGCCTCATAAAATGAGTTAGGGAGGGTTCCCTCTTTTTCTATTGATTGGAATAGTTTCAGAAGGAATGGTACCAGTTCCTCCTTGTACCTCTGGTAGAATTCGGCTGTGAATCCATCTGGTCCTGGACTCTTTTTGGTTGGTAAACTATTGATTATTGCCCCAATTTCAGCTCCTGTTATTGGTCTATTCAGAGATTCAACTTCTTCCTGGTTTAGTCTTGGGAGAGTGTATGTGTCGAGGAATGTATCCATTTCTTCTAGATTTTCTAGTTTATTTGCGTAGAGGTGTTTGTAGTATTCTCTGATGGTAGTTTGTATTTCTGTGGGATCAGTGGTGATATCCCCTTTATCATTTTTTATTGTGTCTATTTGATTCTTCTCTCTTTTTTTCTTTATTAGTCTTGCTAGCGGTCTATCAATTTTGTTGATCCTTTCAAAAAACCAGCTCCTGGATTCATTGATTTTTTGAAGGGTTATTTCTTGCCTTCTGCTAGCTTTTGAATGTGTTTGCTCTTGCTTTTCTAGTTCTTTTAATTGTGATGTTAGGGTGTCAATTTTGGATCTTTCCTGCTTTCTCTTGTGGGCATTTAGTGCTATAAATTTCCCTCTACACACTGCTTTGAATGCGTCCCAGAGATTCTGGTATGTTGTGTCTTTGTTCTCGTTGGTTTCAAAGAACATCTTTATTTCTGCCTTCATTTCGTTATGTACCCAGTAGTCATTCAGGAGCCGGTTGTTCAGTTTCCATGTAGTTGAGCGGCTTTGAGTGAGATTCTTAATCCTGAGTTCTAGTTTGATTGCACTGTGGTCTGAGAGATAGTTTGTTATAATTTCTGTTCTTTTACATTTGCTGAGGAGAGCTTTACTTCCAACTATGTGGTCAATTTTGGAATAGGTGTGGTGTGGTGCTGAAAAAAATGTATATTCTGTTGATTTGGGGTGGAGAGTTCTGTAGATGTCTATCAGGTCTGCTTGGTACAGAGCTGAGTTCAATTCCTGGGTATCCTTGTTGACTTTCTGTCTCGTTGATCTGTCTAATGTTGACAGTGGGGTGTTAAAGTCTCCCATTATTAATGTGTGGCAGTCTAAGTCTCTTTGTAGGTCACTCAGGACTTGCTTTATGAATCTGGGTGCTCCTGTATTGGGTGCATATATATTTAGGATAGTTAGCTCCTCTTGTTGAATTGATCCCTTTACCATTATGTAATGGCCTTCTTTGTCTCTTTTGATCTTTGTTGGTTTAAAGTCTGTTTTATCAGAGACTAGGATTGCAACCCCTGCCTTTTTTTGTTTTCCATTTGCTTGGTAGATCTTCCTCCATCCTTTTATTTTGAGCCTATGTGTGTCTCTGCATGTGAGATGGGTTTCCTGAATACAGCACACTGATGGGTCTTGACTCTTTATCCAACTTGCCAGTCTGTGTCTTTTAATTGGAGCATTTAGTCCATTTACATTTAAAGTTAATATTGTTATGTGTGAATTTGATCCTGTCATTATGATGTTAGCTGGTGATTTTGCTCGTTAGTTGATGCAGTTTCTTCCTAGTCTCGATGGTCTTTACATTTTGGCATGATTTTGCAGCGGCTGGTACCGGTTGTTCCTTTCCATGTTTAGCGCTTCCTTCAGGAGCTCTTTTAGGGCAGGCCTGGTGGTGACAAAATCTCTCAGCATTTGCTTGTCTGTAAAGTATTTTATTTCTCCTTCACTTATGAAGCTTAGTTTGGCTGGATATGAAATTCTGGGTTGAAAATTCTTTTCTTTAAGAATGTTGAATATTGGCCCCCACTCTCTTCTGGCTTGTAGGGTTTCTGCCGAGAGATCCACTGTTAGTCTGATGGGCTTCCCTTTGAGGGTAACCCGACCTTTCTCTCTGGCTGCCCTTAACATTTTTTCCTTCATTTCAACTTTGGTGAATCTGACAATTATGTGTCTTGGAGTTGCTCTTCTCGAGGAGTATCTTTGTGGTGTTCTCTGTATTTCCTGAATCTGAACGTTGGCCTGCCTTGCTAGACTGGGGAAGTTCTCCTGGATAATATCCTGTAGAGTGTTTTCCAACTTGGTTCCATTCTCCGCATCACTTTCAGGTACACCAATCAGACGTAGATTTGGTCTTTTCACATAGTCCCATATTTCTTGGAGGCTTTGCTCATTTCTTTTTATTCTTTTTTCTCTAACCTTCCCTTCTCGCTTCATTTCATTCATTTCATCTTCCATTGCTGATACCCTTTCTTCCAGTTGATCGCATTGGCTCCTGAGGCTTCTGCATTCTTCACGTAGTTCTCGAGCCTTGGTTTTCAGCTCCATCAGCTCCTTTAAGCACTTCTCTGTATTGGTTATTCTAGTTATACATTCTTCTAAATTTTTTTCAAAGTTTTCAACTTCTTTGCCTTTGGTTTGAATGTCCTCCCGTAGCTCAGAGTAATTTGATTGTCTGAAGCCTTCTTCTCTCAACTCGTCAAAGTCATTCTCCATCCAGCTTTGTTCCATTGCTGGTGAGGAACTGCGTTCCTTTGGAGGAGGAGAGGCGCTCTGCGTTTTAGAGTTTCCAGTTTTTCTGTTCTGTTTTATCCCCATCTTTGTGGTTTTATCTACTTTTGGTCTTGATGATGGTGATGTACAGATGGGTTTTCGGTGTGGATGTCCTTTCTGTTTGTTAGTTTTCCTTCTAACAGACAGGACCCTCAGCTGCAGGTCTGTTGGAATACCCTGCCGTGTGAGGTGTCAGTGTGCCCCTGCTGGGGGGTGCCTCCCAGTTAGGCTGCTCGGGGGTCAGGGGTCAGGGACCCACTTGAGGAGGCAGTCTGCCCGTTCTCAGATCTCCAGCTGCCTGCTGGGAGAACCACTGCTCTCTTCAAAGCTGTCAGACAGGGACATTTAAGTCTGCAGAGGTTACTGCTGTCTTTTTGTTTGTCTGTGCCCTGCCCCCAGAGCTGGAGCCTACGGAGGCAGGCAGGCCTCCTTGAGCTGTGGTGGGCTCCACCCAGTTGGAGCTTCCCGGCTGCTTTGTTTACCTAAGCAAGCCTGGGCAATGGCGGGCGCCCCTCCCCCAGCCTCGCTGCCGCCTTGCAGTTTGATCTCAGACTGCTGTGCTAGCAATCAGCGAGATTCCGTGGGGAGATTCCGTGGGGTAGGACCCTCCGAGCCAGGTGAGGGATATAATCTCGTGGTGTGCCGTTCTTTAAGCCGGTCTGAAAAGCGCAATATTCGGGTGGGAGTGACCCGATTTTCCAGGTGCGTCCGTCACTCCTTTCTTTGACTTGGAAAGGGAACTCCCTGACCCCTTGCGCTTCCCAGGTGAGGCAATGCCTCGCCCTGCTTCGGCTCGCGCCCGGTGCGCGCACCCACTGGCCTGCGCCCACTGTCTGGCACTCCCTAGTGAGATGAACCCAGTACCTCAGATGGAAATGCAGAAATCACCCGTCTTCTGTGTCGCTCACGCTGGGAGCTGTAGACCGGAGCTGTTCCTATTCGGCCATCTTGGCTCCTCCTCCAGATCTTCTTAAGGATGAAAAATATGGGCTTGGATTCTTCCCATACCTCATGCTTCAAATAGCCGTTGATGACCCTGAAGCCATAGTGCTGTGTTTCGGTCAAACAACAGCCCAGAACTGAAGTTTTGTGAGGGCATAAGGCACCTAATAAAGCATAGGAGCTCTGGAGTCCTCCCAACTTCACCATTCCTTGCTGTTAGGTCCTTAAGGTGAATGCAAAGTGAAAGGAGCAACTTTCAAAGTTCTTGCTGTAGCTTCCACCCTTAGCTCTCAAACCCACTAACTAACCCAGCAAAGTCTGGGGGGCCTCAGATCAGCCCAACCCTCTGCCAGCTCCACCTTCACAGACGAGGAACCAGGGCCCCAGTGCTGTGCCTAAGACCTCCTTCAACTTAGCAGTAGCCCAGTGGAAGCTGCAGGATCCCGGATCCAGATCCAGTGTGCGTGGCAAGGCCAGCACCCCTCCCTGCCCCCAACACTGTCCACCACCATCTGCTTTGAGTCCAGCAATCTCATCCTGCCCTTTATCCTAGTTAGATACCTCAACACAAGAAACCCAGTTTTCCAGCTCAACTCACATTCTCCTAACTCTAATTCCAAGTAGTTCTTTACATTCCCTTTTATTCCTGCAACTCCCACCCCTTCCTGACTTCTGAAACTTGTCCTCTGTGCCCTCCAATATTTACACCAACAAAATTTCCTCCGTCCTCTTCCCTTCCCTACAAATTCCCTCCATTTTGTTTTCCCTAAAACCTGGTTCTCCCCCAAGGACACTGTTTCTTCTGCAACACTTCTGCTCCCCTCATCCAACTGGACCTGGCAACATGCAAGACGTCTTCATTTCTCTTCATTGCTGCTCTCCTTCCTTCCCTAAAAACACCCAGCTTTGAGTCTCATGTGACTGGACTCCAGCAGTCACTGTGTCTTCTTGCAGCCCCACAAATCACTCGCTGAGTTGCTAGCTCCCAGCTCTCCATCACTACTCTTGATAATTCTTGGTGATTTCAATACCCACATGGCTGATGCTTCTCATACCCTGGCCTCTCCATCCCCTGATCTCATCTCTTCCAGTGATGTGCTCTCCACCCCTGCCTTGACTGCCACTCACTCCAGTGGTCACACCCTTAAGCAAGACTCCTCAAGAGTAGCTTACACTAGCTGCCTCCAATTCATTGATTCTCTGTTGAACTGACTCTCATAAGGTTTTCATCCCACTACTTCATAGAAACTGCTCTTGTCAAGCATCTGCGTGACCTCCAAGTTGTTAAATTCACTGACCAATTCTCAGTCCTTATCCCACTGACCTCTCAGCAGCATTTGCCGTAGTAATCACTGTTTTCTCCTTGACACTCTTTCTTCCCTTGATATCCAGGATCCACATTCTGTCTCTCCTAATACCCCACTGCCCTCACCTCCTCAAACTCTAGGGCTCAGTCCTTAGATTTCTCTGCCCTCACCCCAGAGTGATCACACCCAGTCCTGTGGCTCTAAAGGCCATTTATATCTGGGGTGACTCCCAGTGAGTATCTCCAGCCCAGCCCTCTCCTGTGGGTTCCAGACCCATAGATCTTGTAGACTACTCAAGACCTCAGTTTGGCTGTCTCCCTGGCAGGTCAAATTTAACAGGTACAAGACTGAGCTCTTGATCTTCCCCACACCCTGCTCCTCCAGAGGATTTCCCACCCTGTTTACCAGAAATTCATCCTTCCAGTTACTCAGGCCCAAAACCTTGGAATCACCCTTGCTCCTTTTCTGTCACACCCACAATCCATCCATAAGCAAACTATCTTCCCCCTCCCCTGATTTCTCACCAGGGTTACTGCAGCAGCCTCCAGACTGGTTTTTCTGTTTTAACCCTTGCCCCTTCTGTCTGTGATCCTGTTAAAATGTCCATCTGATTGTTGAAAACTTCCAGTGGCTTTCCATCTCACTCAGAAGGAAAACCTAAGTTCTTGCAGTGATCAGTACTGCCTCACTGGTCTGCTCTGTTTCCTCTCTGAGGACATTTCCTGCTGCGGGCCCCTCACTCTGGGCCACCCACACTGACTTTCTTGCTGTTTCTCAAGCTCACCAGGATTTGAGCCAGCTGTTCCTTCTCCCTGAAGTGCTCTACCCTCAGGCAGTCACATGGCTCACGCCCTTACCTTCAGGAGGTCTTGACTCTCATCATTTTCTCAATTCAGTCTTGCCTGACCACCCTATTTAAAAGTGAAGCCTTCTCCCTGGTGTATCTCAGCACTTCCCTTCTCCTTCCCTGCTTGATTTTTCTTCACAGCACTTACCACCATCTGTGGTGGGTTGGAAAACATGGCCACAGTATTTTACAGCTACTCCTATCAACCTGGGCTAGGCTTGTGACCAGTAGAATGTGGCAGAAGTTAACGGTGTATCAGCTCCAGAGCCTGGAACTGAAGAGATCTTGCAGCTTCTGCCTTCACCCTTTTGGAAAACTGCTCTGAGGCCATCATGCTTTGAGGAAGCCCAGGAGGAAACACTGCAGAGAGGCTCAACCACCCCAGCTCTCCCAGCTGAGCTCAGCCACCCACCGATCCCCCAGCTGAATGCAACCATAAGAGTGAGTCCAGGTGAGACCAGCAAAGAGCTGCCCAATCAAAGCAAATCTGTATATTTGTGGGATAAGTGCATAGAATGAATAGACAAATGAAACATAGGCCAGAGCTTTGTGTGGATTTTAGTTAATATGACTTAGTACTCAGTACTACTTACGAATTCTCTTTTATACATCAAAGTCTTCACTTGCAATGTGCTATCAGGTAAGAGGTGTTTAAGTGTCACCAGCTGAATCTGGTGTTCCATTTTCTTTACCATAGCGTATATCAAGGGTCAGGCCCACACTGTATATGGAAATAAGGCTTTCATCTCAGTTGCAAATGACTCTAATGTTACTATTGTTTATAAAAGTTGGGGTGTTTAAATATTTTAAAGTATTCTTTAACATAACTCCCTCTACCCCACCAGTGGACATTTAACATTTACACGCTTAACTTAATTTTTTCTTTTTTTTTTTGAGATGGAGTCTCACTCTGTCGTCCAGGCTGGAGTGCAGTGGCGCGATCTCAGCTCACAGCAAGCTCTGCCTCACGGGTTCACGCCATTCTCCTGCCTCAGCCTCCCGAGTAGCTGGGACTACAGGCACCCGCCACCACGCCCAGCTAGTTTTTTGTATTTTTAGTAGAGATAGGGTTTCACCGTGTTAGCCAGGATGGTCTCGATCTCCTGACCTCGTGATCCACCCGCCTCGGCCTCCCAAAGTGTTGGGATTACAGGCGTGAGCCAACGCACCTAGCCAGTTTTTTCTTATAACTTCCTTATTCTCTCCACTCTCGATTACTTTTATTCGCCACCAAATGTGAAAAAAAAAAGTCTTTAAAGCAGACTCACCGAAATTTCTAATAAATACTTACTACTTCTTCATTCCAGAATACAAAGTCTTTTATGTCCTACTAAAAATAACTTTGACTTTTATGCCCTTGTTTCATTCATTATTATAACCGTAACACTTTTTTTCAAATAATTCCCACATATTCGCCACATATCAAATCTATGTTTTGTGGAATTTCTTTTGCTTTTTGTTTGCTAACATTGTATTGTTTGGTCTTCTCTAATAATCTATGTCTTCTAATAAAATCTCGTACTTTCCAGAGAGTTGCTTAGCAGATTTTTAAAATCTTATTGTGTGAACACATACAGTTCATTTGCATATCTGCCATAATTCATTTCCAAATGGAATCTCTATCAGGAAGTATTTTCTATTTCCTTCAGATATACCAATTACTTCATTTTCTCTCTTAGCTACTGTGACTCCTTGTTTAAGAAGAATATCCTCTGTTATGAGAATGCAGTCATTATTAAAACAATTAGAGTCTTGTTTAGAGAGGAAGATGTTTATGTTATGCCAGATTATAGCCTAAGATTCAATATTTATGGACTTAATTTATTATAGAAATGAGGAGTTTTAAGCAAGCATACAGATTCTTTCACCCCTATGAAAGCATGTGCAACTTCTCCTATCTTAAGTAGCCTCAAAAGCAAAAATTTTCACCATCTATTCTTGGTATGACATGTAAGGAAGGTCAGGCTTCCTGTTGATAAAAAGATTTCTCTTTCAGATACACAATGATTGTTTCATTATCAATTGGAACAGAGCTGAACTGAATGCTTGGTTTTATACTATGATACCATGCAAGCCTTATAACTAAAAATCTGTTGGTTTTGTGTTTTGTTTTTTGTTTTTTTTTTTTGAGACAGGGTCTCCTTCGCACTGTCACCCAGGCTGGAGTGCAGTAGCGTGATCTCAGCTCACTCCAGCCTCCAGCCCCCAGCTCAACCAATCCTCCTACCTCAGCCTCCTGATTAGCTGGGACTATAGGCATGTGCCACCATGCCCAGATTTTTTTTGTATTTTTAGTAGAGACGGGGTTTTGCTGTGTTGCCCAGACTAGTCTCAAACTCCTGACCTCAGGCGATCCATCCACCTTGGCCTCCCAAAGTACTGGGATTACAGGCGTGAGCCACCATGCCCAGCAGAAAAGTCTGCTATTTTAAAGGGAAACAGAGGACAAGAATCATTTGTAAATATCTCAGCTTTCTCCTTTGTGTGTCACACTAGATTCTTTTACCCCCAAGCTTCTCTATGCCACAGGGACAATGCTAAGTGAAAAGTACCCTGGAATGGACTATGAGACCCTAAGTTCCTAGTCTAAACCCAGCATTTAAGTTTTTTCTGGTCTGTTTTCTTCATGTACAGGAAGAGCTTAGACTAGGTACACACTATGATAACATGCATTCTATTTAACTCTGTGATTATTGGATAATTGGAGTTAATAGGAAAGTGAGTGGTTTTCAACTGACATTTCCTGAAAGTTAGAAAATGAATTGTTCATTCCTCTATGTTCCCCTTGGATTTGGTGCCTACCTGTGGAGCGGCCTCTAACCACACTGTGTCACGGTTATCATGGTAAATGGGGCCACCACACATAGACCCCTTGCAACAGACCCACACTCCTGTGCTGTCTGGAGAGCTGCCCTTCGTCCTAAGGCCAATCCTTCCCCTTATATTTTAACCTCGCCCTCTAACCTGGATCCTTCCTGTCAGCCTTTTTTTTTTTTTTTTGAGACGGAGTCTCGCTCTCTTCCCCAGGAGTGCAGTGGTGCAATCTTGGCTCACTGCAGACTCCGCCTCAGCCTCCGCCTCCCGGGTTCCAGTGATTCTCCAGCCTCAGCCTCCCAGGTAGCTGGGATTACAGGCACCCACCACCACACCTGGCTAATTTTTTTGTATTTTTAGTAGAGATGGGGTTTCACCATGTTGGCCGGGCTGGTCTCGAACTCCTGACCTCAGGTGATCCACCCGCCTTGGCCTCCCAAAATGCTAGGATTACAGGCATGAGCCACCGCCCCTGGTCCTTGTTAGCTTTTAACAAGCACAAGACACTACCATTAATTTTTTCTCCCATCTCTCGCAACCCCTCCAGCTCCCCATCATATGTCTCTCCCTTTTCATGGCCAAAGTTCTGTGGCTGCAACCTTCACTTCTCCACCTTCCTTCCCTCCTCAATCCTCTCCAGTCAGGCTGAGAGTCCTACTCCAGGAGCCAGTGGTTTCCATCCATCCTCCTTTCTTTCTCCTCATCATCTCAGCCTCTCAGCAGCATTCGATGCAGTTGGCCACTCTCTACTTGGCTTTTGCGGCACCACACTTTCCTGCTTCTCTCCAGCTTCCCTTCTCATTCCTTCTCAGCCTCCCTTACAGGCTCATCCTCTGAATGATAAATGTTGAATGACCTCAAGGCTCAGTCCTTGTCCATCTTCCAGTCTCACTCCCTTCTCTCTCCCCAGGTGGGTTCTTCAATGCCTACATCAATTATCACCTACTCCCCTATGACTCCCAAACATGCCTTTCCCTCCAGACCTCTCCTCTGAACTCCAGACCCTTCTATCCCACTGCCCACCTAACATCACCACTGGGACATCTCCCAGGCACCCCAAATTCTGCATGTTCCAAACTGAACACCTTCTTCCAGGTTTTCCCTGTCTTGGTGAATGACATAACCATCCTCCAGCTCTCCTAAGCCTGGATTCACCCCTTCATCTCCTTCTACCTCACCCTCCATAATCATCAACTCCTGACTATTTTGCCTTCTGAATAGCTTAAGATTCCTTCTGCTTTGTTCCATCTTGACAGCCAGCATCATGACTCACTAGGCTGCTGCAGTAACCTCTCATCTGGGCTTTCTGCACCCACTCTATTCATAAAGCAGCAGCCAGCGGTGTCTTTGAAACACAAATATATCCACATCGTATGGCTAAACACTCTAGTGGTCTCCCATTGTTCCTAAGAGAGAGGTCAAATCCTTAAAAGGATGGCTTAACTGATAATGGTACAGGAGTTGGTCATCATCCTGTTTGTTCTCAGACACTTTCTCTGACTTTGGCCTTCTCTGATCTGTATCTGCAGGGACTCACCCCATGCAAGCTCTGCAAGTGACATTTCCCAGCCTCCCTTGCCCTCTGGCTTCTGGCCAGGCTCTGCTAATGAGGAAAGACACCAGGGCATCTCTCCCCATCTCACTCGGCCTCGTGTGTGACCTCTGGGAGTGGCTGCATCTCCGATCTTTCAGCTCCCACGTGACAGCCTCTCCTGCAGTCCCAGCTCCTACCAGACAGCCCCTGTATTACTCTCCTGTGGCTGCCATAATGAATTATCACAAAGTATTTTTGAAAAACCAACAAGGTTTTGTTTGTTTGTTTGTTTGTTTTGAGACAGAGCCTTGCCCTGTCGCCCAGGCTGGAGTGCAGTGGCGCAATCTCGGCCCACTGCAACCTCTGCCTCCTGGGTTCAAGCCATTCTCCTGCCTCAGCCTCCCAAGTAGCTGGGATTACAACCGCCCGCTACCATGCCCAGCTAATTTTTGTATTTTTAGTAAAGACGGGGTTTCACCACGTTGGCCAGGCTGATCTCAAGTGATCTGCCTGCCTTGGCCTCCCAAAGTGCTGGAATTACAGCGTGGTTAAAGGCTGTTCTAGAGGTAGGTATCAAATCCAAGGGGCACATAGAGGAGGGAACAATTCATTTTCCAGCTTTCAGGAAATATCAGTTGAAAACCACTCACTTTCCTATTAACTCCAATTATCCAATAATCACAGAGTTTATAAAATGTGTGTTACCTTAGTGTTTACCTAATCTAAACTATGACTGTACATGAAGGAAACAGACCAGAAAAAAAGTAAGTGCTAGATTTCAACTAGGAGCCACCTAGTGAGCCACTACACCTGGCCAACAAGGTATTTTTGATTACTTCAAATTATTAAAAGTGGGGCCAGCTGTTGCTGGGAGGGTAAAGACCCTTTTGCTATACTTTCCAGTAGAGGGCTTTTACTGAAAGAAAAAAGAAAAAAAAAAAAGACACCTTTGCTGTGGAAGGATTCAAATCAGACGTTGCCAAAAGAAGACATATAAATGGCCAACAAGCATATAAAAAATACTCATCACCACTAATGATCAGAGAAATGCAGATTACAGAATGAGATACCACCTCACACCAGTCAGAACAGCTACTGTTAAAAAGTCAAAAAACAACAAACGTTGGTGAGGATGTTGAGAAAGGGAATGCTTATACACTTTTGAGGAGAATGTAAATTAGTACAAACTATATGGAAAACAGTATGGAGACCAGGCATGGTGCTCACACCTGTAATCTCAGCACTTTGGGAGGCTGAGGTGGGAGGATCACTTGAAACCAAAGGGGTCAAGGCTGGCTGCACTAAGCCGTGATCACACCACTGCACTCCGGCCTGGGTGACTGAGTGATACCCAGTCTCAAAAAAAAAAAAAAAAAAAAAAGTCAAAACCAGTATGGAGAACTGCCATTTGGTCCAGCAATCCCACTATTGGGTATCTCCTCAAAGGAAATCATTATATTAAAAAGATAACTGCACACATATGTTTATCACAGCACTATTCACAATAGCAAAGATATGGAATCAACCTAAGTATTCACCAATGGGTGACTGGGTAAAGAAAATGTATGTGTGTGTGCACGTGTGTGTGTGTGTGTGTACACATATCCATACATGGAATACTACTCAGCCATAAAAAAGAATGGAATCATGTCTTTTTCATCAATGTGGATGGAACTGGAGGCCATTATTATCTAAGTGAAACATCTCAGAAAGAGAAAGTCAAATACAGCATGTACTCTCTCAATAATCAGTAACTAAATAATGTGTACATATGTACTTAGAGAGTAGAATAATAAACACTAAAGTCTAGGAAGGATGGGAGGGTAAGAAGGTGGGAGCAGGGGTAAGGGATAAGAAATTACTTAGAGAGTAGAATAATAAACACTAAAGTCTGGGAAGGATGGGAGGGTAAGAAGGTGGGAGCAGGGGTAAGGGATAACAAATTACTTAATGTGTACAATGTACATTATTCAAGTGATGGCTACACTAAACGCCTAGACTTCATCATTATGTAATATAGCCATATAACAAAACTGTGCTTGTACCTCCCAAATCTATTTTTTTTTTGAGACTGAGTGTTGCTTTGTCACCCAGGCTGGAGAGCAGTGGCGCAATCTAGGCTCACTGTAACCTCTGCCTCCTGGGTTCAAGCAATTCTTCTGTCTCAGCCTCCCAAGTAGCTGGGATTACAGGCACCCACCACCATGCCCGGCTAATTTTTGTATTTTTAGTAGACACAGGGTTTCACCATATTGGTCAGGCTGGTCTCAAACTCCTGACCTCAGGTGATCCACCCGTCTCAGCCTCCCAAAAGTGCTGGGATTACAGGTGTGAGCCACTGCACCCAACCCGTAAATCTATTTTTAAACAACAACAACAACAAAAGTTGTTGAACAATCAACAACTTGAAGCTAAAGAACAACCTGGGTTCTTTGGGTATTTTGTTTTATTTTATTTAATTAATTAATTTATTTTTCCTGAGACAGAATCTTGCTGTCACCCAGGGTAGAGTGCAGTGGGACTATCTCAGCTCACTGCAACCTCCACCTCCCAGGTTCAAGCAATTCTCCTGCCTCAGCCTCCCAAGTATCTGGGATTACAGGCATGCGCCACCATGCGCGGCTAATTTTTGTATTTTTAGTAGAGATGAGGTTTCACCATATTGGCCAGGCTGGTCTCAAACTCCTGACCTCATGATCCGCCCACCTTAGCCTCCCAAAGTGCTGGGATTACAGGCGTGAGCCACTGTGTCCGGCCTTTTTGGGTATTTTAATGCTAATGTATTAGTCTGCTTCAGAACTTACACTGCTCAAAATAGCTTCTCTGTGTTTCTAAGACCATATAGCACTGCACTATATTACTTCCTAATTCTTGATCTTCAAATAGATATGCTATTGGACCATGCAGAGAATTGGGCATTTTAAAGGATGGTGAGTTTCTTACTAGAAACTTAGCTTTACTATTTTCCTTAAACAGTTAATCTTAGGATGTATTTTCAGAGAGAAAACTTTAAAATTGAGAACATGTACACCATTAATAATGCTTTAAATGATGCAAAGGGTAATGAAAGACCTGGGCAAGAGCATTTTTTTCTTTTCTCTAGGTTACAAAATGGGTCCTAAAAATACTAAAATATTTAAATTGCTTTCTACTATCATAAAAGTTATGATTTTTCATTCAAAATGAAACATCCCTTAATCTAAAATAAAAGTTGAGGCCGGGCGCAGTGGCTCATGCCTGTAATCCCAGCACTTTGGGAGGCTGAGGCGGGCAGATCACTTGAGGTTAGGAGGAGTTCAAGACCAGCCTAGCCAACAAGGTGAGACCCCATCTCTACTAAAAATACAAAAATTAGCTGGGTGCATTGGCATATGCCTGTAATCCCAGCTACTTGGGAGGCTGATGTACGAGAATTGCTTGAACCTGGGAGGCGGAGGTTGCAGTGAACTGAGATCATGCCACTGCACTCCAGCCTGGCCAACAGAGCGAGACTTTGTCTCAAAAAAAAAAAAAAAAAGTTGAAAAAATAAAATAAAAATAAAGAAATATATCCTCTTTTCATATGACAGAGGTTAGTCTTCTTTTTGTGGTGGAATATAGTAAATTGTTGAGTTACAATAGTGTGTTAGAAATCTTGCATGATATTTAATAAATCTGACCTCCCTGTCTTCTAGCTGCATGGGGCATCACAGTTTTCCGAGGTCATGTGCAAATGCTGAATTGGCTGCTCTATACTAGATGTGCATGGGACACAGGAACCCATCTTCTTCTACATCGCTTAGGCCTTTCTCCCCTCGAATCTGCATATTAGAAAAGCAGAATTTTGGACTAAATTTTGATGATTGATGGTCATGATTTATTATGATGATTATTATTTATTGTTATTATTTTTTTGAGACGGAGTCTTGCTCTGTCGCCCAGGCTGGAGTGCAGTGGCACTATCTCGGCTCACTGCAAGCTCCACCTCCCGGGGTTTCACCGTGTTAGCCAGGATGGTCTCGATCTCCTGACCTTGTGATCTGCCCACCTTGGCCTCCCAAAGTGCTGGGATTACAGGCATGAGCCACCGCGCCCGGCCTGATGGTCGTGATTTAAAAGCTAATACTTTTTGATCACTTCTTTGTGCCAGGCATTTGGCATTTAATTCTCTCAAAGCTTACCCAAGAATCAACATTTATTACCTGTTTTATAAATGATGAAACTAAGGCTCAGAGAAGTTAAGTAACTTGCTGAAAGTCACACAGCTAGGACTTGCTAAAGCCAGGATTCAGATTTCCCAAGCAGTGCTGGACTTAGTGCTCTTAACTGTTGGGCCACATCCCCAACCCCAGGTTTCTGGTACGTTTCCCCACTTGGCGCAAGGGATGCTGACTGTGCCCAGCACTTTTGGCAAAGTGTGTGCTCTGCTTCTAATATAAGAATTCAATGCTGTTCTTTAATTGAACCTATAATTACTGTTTCATTAAGTTGGGAAAATCTCTGGATCCTATTGTTAGCAATCACAGAAAGTGTTCCAGCCGGGCATGGTAGCTCATACCTGTAATCTCAGCACTTTCAGAAGCCGAAGCAGATGGATTACATGAGGCCAGGAGTTCGAGACCAGCCTGGGCAACATGTCTCCACTAAAAATACAAAAATTAGCCAGGTGTGATGGTGCACAACTGTAGTCCCAGCAAATCGGGAGGCTGAGGTAGGAGGATCCCTTGAGCCCAGGAGGTTGAGGCTGCAGTGAACTGAGATTGAGCCACTGCACATTAGCCTGGGCAACAGAGTGAGACCCTGTCTCAAAAAAGAAAAAAAAGAAAAAAGAAAGAAAAAGAAAATGTTTCATTTTAAATAGACCTTCAAGAAGTTCATAGCATACATGTTCACCAGTGAAAGCATGTTTTTCCCCAGTGATAAGCTTAAATATCTCTGTGATATCAATGCTACCATTTTCTCAAGGTTCTACCCTGCTAGGCTGCCACCACATTCCTAAGAACCACGGGAAAAGGCATTTGCTCCTCCGAAGAAATTCTCAGACTGATTTTTCACTGTATTGTCAGGTGAGCAAAACTTTAAAAATAATGGTAGGTACCATATTATCATTTTATAACTTCTATATTTTGTGTCAAATATTATTTAAACTTGTTGTCACCAGTCAGATTATTATTATTATTATTATTATTATTATTATTATTAATTATTATTATATGTTTTGAGACAGAGTCTCACTCTGTCGATCTCGGTTCACTGCAGCTTCCGCCTCCTGGGTTCAGGCGATTCTCCTGCCTCAGCCTCTCAAGTAGCTGGGGCTACAGGAGTCCGCCACCATGCCCAGCTTATTTTTGTGTTTTTAGCAGAGACGGGGTTTCGCCATGTTGCCAGGCTGATCTCAAACTCCTGGCTTCCAGTGATCCACCCGCCTCAGCCTCCCACAGTGCTGGGATTACAGGCAGGAGCCACTGCACCCAGCCAGATTATTTTTAATTAATAAGAAAGTGAACCAGGCACAGTGGCTCACGCCTGTAATTTAGCACTTTGGGAGGCCAAGGAGGGCGGATCACTTGAGGTCAGGAGTTCAGAACCAGCCTGGGCAACATGGTGAAACCCCATGTCTACTAAAAATATGAAGATTAGCTGGGCCTGGTGGCAGGTGCCTGTAGTCTCAGCTACTTGGGAGACTCGCTTGAGCCCAGGAGGCAGAGGTTGCAGTGAGCTAAGATCACGCCACTGCACCCTAGCCTGGGCGACGACAGAGTGACAGAGTGAGACCCTGTCTAAAAAAAAAGAAAAGAAAAGAAAGTGAGTTATTTATTCAGATCTATTTTTATTGATTAGAAAACAGATGATAAGAAAAACTCCCTCTTTTTAAGAATGACAAAGTTACATAAATAAAGGTAAGTCTGTGCTCTCCAATAAGTAGCCACATGTGGCTACTTATTTCAAATACTAAGTAGAACATGTGGCTACTTAGCATTTGAAATTTGCCTGGTTTGAATTGAAATGTGTTGTAAGTGTAATGTACAAACCAGATTCTGCGAACTCAGGACACATACACAAAAAAGAATGTAAAATATCCCATTGGCAACTTTTACATCAATTACATGTTGAAATGATAATATTTTGGATATACTGAGCTAACTAAAATATAACTATTAAAGTTAATTTCGCCTGTTTTTTTTTTATCATATTAATGTAGTTGCTAGAAAATTTTTAATTACATATGTGGCTTCATATTTTCTACTGGGCAGTATTGGGTTAAGTGATTACTTAGGGATAAAAGAAAGTATTAGCATGAGTGGAATCAAGCAGTTCATAGCATACGTGTTTACCAGTGAAAGCATTTTTTTTCCCCAGTGATAAGCTTAAATATCTCTGTGATATCGGCCAGGCACGGTGGCTCACATCTGTAATCCCAGCACTTTGGGAGGCCGAGACGGGCAGATCATGAGGTCAGGAGATCGAGACCATCATGGCTATCACAGTGAAACCCCATCTCTACTAAACAAAATACAAAAAATTAGCCGGGCGCGGTGGCGGGCACCTGTAGTCCTAGCTACTTGGGAGGCTGAGGCAGGAGAATGGCGTGAACCCAGGAGGCGGAGTTTGCAGTGAGCCGAGATCACGCCACTGCACTCCAGCCTGGGTGATAGAGCGAGACTCCGTCTCAAAATAAAAATTAAAAAAAATAAAAAATATATATAAATATGTATATATCTGTGATATCAATGCTACCGTTTTCTCAAGGTTCTACCTTGCTAGGCTGCCACTACATTCCTAAGAACCACGGGAAAAGGCATTTGCTCCTCCGAAGAAATTATCAGACCAATTTCTCACTACTGAACAATGTGGACCGGGGTAACATATAAAGAACAGAAAAGTATCCAACATTTCCCGTGTTGGTTTCAAAGCAGACAGCATGGTTCAGAGCAGCGGGCACCGGTGCAGATCGCCCATCTCCACGGCAGAGGTGATCGTTTCCAGCGCAGCGGTGCAAAGCCAAAGGGCACCCACGAGTTCATTACATAATTCCTGGTAGCATGAGGCCAAGTGTGTATGTGCTCTAGGGGAACAGTCGGAGGCTCTGACAGGCAGAGCAAGGCGATCATGACTATGTTTTCACAAAGTGTATGCTAGCAGTTGTTTGGAAAAAGACTGACCAGCTTTTTTCCCCCTCCTTCTCCCTCTCTCTTTTTTTTGCTTGTAAACACTTTGGCATAATACTGAATGACTTGTTTTTAAGCTGCCTTAGCCTTGCTTTGTGAAGAAAAAGCCTGAGTATCCTTTCCCTGTGGGGCACAGGTTGTTATTTTTGGAGCAGAAGTTCTTAGCCTGATCTCTGTCTAGATCAATTTCTGTCTTGATGAGGCCGAGGTCTGTGACAGCTCCGAGCGTCCTCCGTGGAAGGAAGCTTCCTCGCTTGGTGGGGCGCATGGGCAAAGATGTTGAGGGGCCACGTCTGAAACTTCACTGCTCTTGGCTCCACGCGAAGGCTCCTTGGCATTCAGAGTCTGCTCGTTAGATTGTGCCCTTGGAACAGTCGCGACCGCATGCCGTGAGTGGCGTGCTTTCTGTCTTTGGGATCATGGAAAATTCTTGTCTCATTCAGAGCCCAGACACTCCAGGCCAAGTCCCTTCATTTCAGGAATATGGCTTTTTCTGCTTATACTGCTTCATGGTATGTTTTGGGTGGAGATGGCCCCTCTTTTTTTTTTTTTTTTTTTTGAGACGGAGTCTCGCTCTGTGGCCCAGACGGGAGTGCAGTGGCGCAATCTCGGCTCACTGCAAGCTCCGCCTCCCGGGTTCACGCCAT
The DNA here is from genome assembly GCF_000001405.40 of Homo sapiens. Taxonomy (NCBI): domain Eukaryota; kingdom Metazoa; phylum Chordata; class Mammalia; order Primates; family Hominidae; genus Homo; species Homo sapiens. Next base: position 141,777,431 of record NC_000003.12, read on the forward strand.
TCTCCTGCCTCAGCCTCCCGAGTAGCTGGGACTACAGGCGCCCGCCATCAAGCCCGGCTAATTTTTTTTTTTTTTTGTATTTTTTTTAGTAGAGACGGGGTTTCACCGTGTTAGCCAGGATGGTCTCGATCTCCTGACCTCGTGATCCGCCCGGAGATGGCCCCTCTTTTAACCCAAGGTACTCCAGGTCACAGACTCCTCAGAGCTAAGACAGCTGCAGGATTTCTGCAAGCTATTCAGGGTGCATCTGCCCTGGCCAACACTGGAGTCCTTAGGGCCTCTGGGAACACATCTCGGGACTCAAAGCTCACAACATCCCCTCTGTAACCTGCTCTTCGTGTCAGGCTGCTAGAACCTGGGAGGAAACTGCTCTGACTTCTCACAGTTCCTCTGCCTGACCTGCTATTCCTAGGAGTTTACATAGCTTGAGGCTGATAGGAAACAAGTAAAATTAGAAACAGATTAAACTACTGCATCAGCAACAAATTAGATGACAACGGTATGATCACTTCCTTGGAACACAGTTCTAGCTAGATATTCAGGGTACAGGGCTATGTGGAGAAAGACCCTAAGATGAAGGGACCAGTGGGGGAGGTGGCCCCGGCAGGTGTCCCAGCAGCTTTCGCCTTGGCAGGTGGGAGCATGACCTATCGTGTGCAGTTCCTGGCGGGCTATACATAGCCAGTCAAAGCTTCTTACAAGAGAAACCTCTTTCACACCCTCCACGGGTCCCACCCACAGGCCACAGGACTCACTGTAAATCCCTTGGACGTTGTCTCACCCGGGAAGGGAAAGCAGCCAGCAGCCCTCCAGCCCTCTTGTGCTTTCCCTGGGAGTGCGCCCCGTGCTCAGCCATGGTGGACATGGGGGCCCTGGACAACCTGATCGCCAACACCGCCTACCTGCAGGCCCGGAAGCCCTCGGACTGCGACAGCAAAGAGCTGCAGCGGCGGCGGCGTAGCCTGGCCCTGCCCGGGCTGCAGGGCTGCGCGGAGCTCCGCCAGAAGCTGTCCCTGAACTTCCACAGCCTGTGTGAGCAGCAGCCCATCGGTCGCCGCCTCTTCCGTGACTTCCTAGCCACAGTGCCCACGTTCCGCAAGGCGGCAACCTTCCTAGAGGACGTGCAGAACTGGGAGCTGGCCGAGGAGGGACCCACCAAAGACAGCGCGCTGCAGGGGCTGGTGGCCACTTGTGCGAGTGCCCCTGCCCCGGGGAACCCGCAACCCTTCCTCAGCCAGGCCGTGGCCACCAAGTGCCAAGCAGCCACCACTGAGGAAGAGCGAGTGGCTGCAGTGACGCTGGCCAAGGCTGAGGCCATGGCTTTCTTGCAAGAGCAGCCCTTTAAGGATTTCGTGACCAGCGCCTTCTACGACAAGTTTCTGCAGTGGAAACTCTTCGAGATGCAACCAGTGTCAGACAAGTACTTCACTGAGTTCAGAGTGCTGGGGAAAGGTGGTTTTGGGGAGGTAAGTGTCTCCCAGTAGCCAGGCTAGAAGGTGAAGCATAGAGCATGAAAGGGGGTAATGTTGCCTTTCTTTTTTTAAATCTCAGTTACTTAGAACTAATTTCAGCACCATATGTGGAGGATTTCTAGCCCCGTCTCCCCAGCCCCCTTCTTTGTGTGTGCCATGGTGTGAAATAAAACACAAATGGCATGAGAGAGACAAGCAAAATTTATACTTGGCCAAGACTCTGTCATGGGTCTCCATTAGGAACGTGCTGAGATGCCTGGACACTTCAGAGAATGATAGCAATGTGTGACAGAAGATCTCCGTTTCCCCTAAATTGTGATAATGAAGGCACTTCAAGAAAAATGGATATTTAAGAAAATACTCTAACTAGCTGGGTGTGGTGACATGCCTGTAATCCCAGCTACTTGGGAGGCTGAAGCAGGAGAATCACTTGAGCCTGGGAGGTGGAGGTTGCAGTGAGCCAAGATCGTGCCACTGCACTCCAGCCTGGGTGACAGAGCAAGACTCAAAAAAAAAAAAAAAAAGAAAGAAAGAAAAGAAAGAAAACACTTATCTTGAAGTAAGGTTGAGAACCTGTTTTGTACCACTGTTGTGCCCAGCTTTCTGTTTTTAAGTAATAAAAAATATTTCAGGTAAAATTTGCTTGATATAAAACTAACCATTAACTGTTTTAAAATGTACAATGCAGTGGCACTTCGCACAAATGCAATGTTGGGTAAGCAACACCTCAATCTGGATCCAAGACACTCTCATCACCCCTGTGCCCATTAATAGTGCCTCCCCATCCCTCTCCTCCTCCAGCCCTGACAACCACTAGTCCGCTTTCTGTCTCTAGGGATTTGCCTATTCTGGGTGTTTCACACAATATGTGACCTTTTGTGTCTGGCTTCTTTCACTCATTAGAATGTTTTTGGGGTTCATTCACACTGTAGCATGTGTCAATACTCCATTCCTTTTTATGGCTGTATAATATTCCATTGTATGGATGTACTACATTTCATGTAGCCATTCATCTGTTGATGGACACTTGGGCTGTTTTCACCTTTTGGCTATTGTGTATGGTGCTGCTATTCATGCACAAGTATTTGTTTGAATCCTTGTTTTCATTTCTCTTGGATTTATGCCCAGGAGTGGAATTGCTAGGGCATATGGTGATACTATGTTTAACTTTTCAAGGAGCCACCAAACTTTCCACATTTTTTATTCCCACCAGCAATGCTTAAAGGTTTCGATTTCTCCACATCCTTGCCAACACTTGATATTTTCCTGTATTTTTTTATGAAGGCCTGCCTAGTGAGGTGAAGGAGTATCGCACTGTAGTCCCCACTTTTTCTTGAGAACACTTCTTATTTACAGCTACTCCTTTCTCCAATGCCTAACATCTTTCCACCCACCTCCTCCTTTATCATCTCCACCTCTCTGCAGTACCATCTACTTCTACCTCTTTCTCTTCTTTTCTTTCTCCTTTAAGGTATGTGCCGTCCAGGTGAAAAACACTGGGAAGATGTATGCCTGTAAGAAACTGGACAAGAAGCGGCTGAAGAAGAAAGGTGGCGAGAAGATGGCTCTCTTGGAAAAGGAAATCTTGGAGAAGGTCAGCAGCCCTTTCATTGTCTCTCTGGCCTATGCCTTTGAGAGCAAGACCCATCTCTGCCTTGTCATGAGCCTGATGAATGGGGGAGACCTCAAGTTCCACATCTACAACGTGGGCACGCGTGGCCTGGACATGAGCCGGGTGATCTTTTACTCGGCCCAGATAGCCTGTGGGATGCTGCACCTCCATGAACTCGGCATCGTCTATCGGGACATGAAGCCTGAGAATGTGCTTCTGGATGACCTCGGCAACTGCAGGTTATCTGACCTGGGGCTGGCCGTGGAGATGAAGGGTGGCAAGCCCATCACCCAGAGGGTGAGTGACTCTCCACCTGCCCCAAGTGCGGGGCACAGAGTTGGAAAGGAGGGGAGAGGGCTTTTCTATTCCCAGGGCAAATAGAGCCTTGGACTTAATTCTTTTGGTTTTTTTTCCTAAAGCGCTTACGTTGTCATCTTGCCTTAAGATGAGTGGTGTAAGAGGATTAGATTCATTGGCTATTTGAGGGCTACTTTGCTCTCCTCTCACAGGGGATGGGGGAGCCTCCTTTGTGAGTTGGGGATGGCCTGTGCTTTTGTGATGAGATGGAAAAAGCTGAATCCATAGTCATGGTCCGGGTGTGTCAATAACCACCTCTATGGTGCTGTGTTCCTGAGCCAATAGAGCCTTGGGTTCCTTTTCTGGAAAATGAAGGGGCTGGACCCTAAAATTCCATGATCCTAGGAGGTAAACTTTAATCAGATAAGAAAAAGAATGATCCGGCTGGGTGTGATGGCTCACGCCTGTAATCCCAGCACTTTGGGGAGGCCGAGGCGGGTGGATCTGCTGAGGTCAGGAGTTTGAGACCAGCCTGGCCAACATGGTGAAACCCCATCTCTAGTAAAAATACAAAAATTAGCCAGGCATGGTGACAGGCGCCTGTAATCCCAGCTACTCGGGAGGTTGAGGCAGGAGAATCGCTTGAACCCAGGAGGCGGAAGTTGTAGTGAGCCGAGATCATGCCACTGCACTCCAGCCTGCTCGACAGAGCAAGACTCTGTCTCAAAAAAAAAAAAGAAAGAAAGAAAAAGAAAAAAGAAAAAAAATAAAGAAAGAAGGAAAAAGAATGATCCTCTCACACCTAGAACATTAAAAGTAAAATATCTCCTTTCCTGTTTAGTGTGGAATGGGCGAATGTTTTGCATTGGATGAAGATGATATTTTAAATGAAAATATATGGAAGAAAACAAAGGCAACTGATGTTTATTTTAATCAGTTTTGTTCAAAGTGACTTGCTTAAAATTCTTTGGTTAAAAAGAGAATTATAATTAAGCGATTATGTTAGGTGAACGACGGAAAATCTCTGGAATTCTAACATCTTTACCTCTGAGTCTCTGTGCACAAAGGTGGGAGATTCCACAGCAAGGCAAGGGCTCAAACCTGGCTCTTAAATGGTTACTTAAAACCTCATTTTTGTACAGTTTTCAGCCTACAGGGCCCAAAGGAAATGAGAAAAATCATGGCAAGTTTGGGAAACTGCTGTGGTGATTTTATGTGGCTGTAATGGAAGGGATGTTGACAAGACTGAAGGGCTGGGCTTTCACAGGTGCTGGAATGCCTTCTTGTAGGGGAAGAGGGGTTCTTGAAGGGTTTTAAGAAGGGAAATGACATGATTAGATTTCTGTCTTAAAAAGACCAATGCGGCAACAATTTGGAAGTTAGATGGTAGGTGGGGACATCAGTTAGGAGGCTAAGGTAGTGAGTGGCCCAGGCAAGAAATAATGGGGGTCTGTACAGGACAGTGGGATTGAAGAAGTGGGAGCAAATTGGAGCTTTTGGAAAGAGATCTGATGGGACTTCAGGACCAGCTGGGTATGGGGGTGAGGGGAAAGTGAGGGTCTCTAGCTCCAGTGGCCAGAAGGAAGAGCAGATTTGTAGGCAAGCTGGCAAGTTTAATTGTGATTATGCTGTCTATGAGGTTCCTGTAGAAGGGACAGGCAGAGATGTTCACTAGGCATTTAGATCTATAGGCCTGGTGCTGTGGAGGAAGACCTGGGATAGACGTGGGGATTTGGAGTTATCATGGTTTGGGAAGCAGAGGGCACTGCTGAGTCACTGGGAAAGAGTAGGGGAAGAAGACCAGGAACAGAAGCTGAAAAACACCAACATGTGGGGGTATAGAAGAAAAGGAGCCCTGAAGAGGTTTAAGAAGTAGAAGGCTACTTGGGAGGCTGAGGCAGGAGAATGACGTCAACCCAGGAGGCGGAGCTTGCAGTGAGCTGAGATCACACCACTGCACTCTAGCCTGGGCTACAAAGCGAGACTCCATCTTAAAAAAAGAAAAAAAAAAAAAGAAGTAGGAGGAAAGGCAAGAGTGATATAGTCATAGGAGCTGTATCAGTTAGAGATGGGTTTCAGGGGCATATCCTAGAAAACCCAAATAACAATAGATTAAACAAGACAGAGGTTTATTTTTCTTATGTAACAGGGTGTGGAAATAAGCACTTGCCAGCATTAGTTCAGCAGCTGCAGAATAATGGGATCTGCATCTTTATAATTCTAGCCTTTTCCATGTGCTGCAAGATGGCTGCTGTAGCCCCAGCCATCAGGGCCATGTTCCAGGTAGGAGAAAGGAGGAAGGGTCAGGAGTAAATAGGCATGCATGCAGCAGTTGAGTGTGGCCCCCTTTAGGAGCTTTCCCTGAAGCTCCATCCAACAGCTTTCACTTAGATGTCACTGGCTAAGACTGTGATCTGGCCACCCCCTAGCTGCAGAGGAAGCTGACAAATGACATTCTTGAAAATTCTTTGGTTAAAAAGGGAATTATAATTAAGCGATTATAATTACTGAATTATATCTGGGCTGAGGAGAAGATCACCCGGCTCATGTCCAGGCCATGTGTGCCCACGTTGTAGATGTGGAACTTGAGGCAGGGGTGAAGGAGCGGGTTCTAGTTAGTAAGGATGAAGAACAGCTGGATATTGAGCAGGTAACTAGCAGCCTCTGCCACAGGAGCCAAAGAAGAGGATTTCAGGGAGGAAAGTGTGGTCAAAGTGTCAAGTGTTGCAAAGAGGTAACGTCGCCTGTGGGATTTGGCAATTAGGAAATCAGTGTAAGGGAATGGTGAGGTCTCAATTCAGACTCTGGAGGCTGGATTGATCTAGAAGTAGGGAATGAGACTCTGGAAGGGGGAGACTGGTCCCTAGAAGGGGATACAGTGGGGAAATGGAGTTTTGAGATGGGGAGGGCAGAGCGGGTTTAGATGCTGAGGCAAAAGCCAGCAGAGTAGGTGTTGATCCTGTGGGAAGGAAAGACAGTAGATGATGGCAGAGAATGTGGGGAGGAGCTGAAGTAACACCGTCTCCTCTGTGGGTGGGAAGGAGGAGCAGGCCAGGGAGGTGACAGAGTGTTTGCCTCCTTGGGACATTCCTATGAACACAGGAACGCTGTGAATCGTGGATCCATGTCTGCCTAGGCTGGAGAAAACTGAAGTGCAGCACTTCACAGTTTGGCATTTGTATTGTCCATTGTGCTGAGCAGGAGCGTTCCTTCTGAGTCGCCCATGGACATGTATCACACTAATTGTTGCTATATCTCGACCTTGCTGGAGGCTTAGGGGACACATAGAGCTTTGGCTCACTCCAGTCTCCTTTCTCAGTCTCCTCAGGCTCTGTTCATGGGCCATGGCCATTTGGAAGGACAGCTCCTTCCTTGGCTCCCGGGTGCAGCTCTCTGGCTCATCTGGAACGTGCAGGAAGGTTTCTGTGCCTCCCCAGTGCTGTCCGCTACCAGGAACGTACTTAGTAGAGAGGCTCACTGCCTACAGACCTTTGGCCCTTTTACCTCTGCATCCCTCTCCGTCCCGTGAGACCACACTTCAGGGTTTAGGCCACTTGCCTCATCCAAGAAGTTTTATGCCCCAGTTTCCGGGCCTGCCACGGAAGCCCAGGGGACCATCAGGAAGGGTGAGGGGAGAGAGATGGAGAGCAAGATTGAAAGCCATAAAAAACAAAGAGAAGAGAAAGGAAGGCCTCCTTTCTTCACTGTTTACCCTTCTACACAGCTAAGTAAACCCCCTTAGTTTCCTATTCATTGCAGCTCCCACACATATAATTGGGCTCACAAGTAGATTGTAAGGTCATTATATTCACAACATTTCACAGAAAAAAAAGACAGATCATAGTTACAGGGCTTCTGTAACCACTAACGTTCAGTTGTGATGTCAAGATACTGTGTTAGAGAATTACTGTGAACATTAATTCTGTGGTTTGAATGAGTCCTCAAAATTTGATGTGTTGGAAACTTAATCTCCAATGTGGCAGTGTTGGAGAGGTGGGGCCTTTAAGAGGTGAGTGGACCATGAGGGCTCTGCCGCTGTGAATAGATGAATGGATTAATGGGTTATCACAGGAGTGGAAATGGTAGCTTTATAAGAAGAGAAAGACCTGAGCTAGCACATCAGCACACTCAGCCCCACGCGATGCCCTGAGCCATCTCAGTACTCCTCAGAGAGTTCCCACCAGCAATAAGACTCTCATCCTCTCACCAGACATTTCCCTCAACCTTCCTTTCCTTATAAAATACTTTCCTTATAAAATACTCAGTCTTAGATACTCTGTCATAAGCAACAGAAAACAAGTTAAGACAGAAGAGGTAACAAGGAAAAATCACCCTGATGATGGAGGTTGAACTCTGCATTGAGTCTGAGCAGTTCTTCCAGAAAAGTTAAGGCATCATGGCTTTGGAAATTTGGCTAGCTTTTTCTCATTCAGAGAGTTATTTAGTCTTGTATAAGTTGGGATTTCTTTCTACTAAATATAACAGAATACCAGATTTTGGTATAGATTTGGCTGTTCAGCAATTTCACGGACAAGACCTCTGTTAAAAATCTCCTGGCTTGCGCTGGGTGTGGTGGCTCAGGCCTAATCCCAGCACTTTGGGCCCAGGAGGACAAGACCAGTCAATAGTGCGAACCCCATCTCTTAAAAAAAATTTTTTTGTTTTGTTTTAGGCTGGCCGTGGTGGCTCACACCTGTAATCCCACACTTTGGGAGGCCAAGGCAGGTGGATCCCCTGAGGTCAGGAGTTCGAGACCAGCCTGGCCAACATGTTGAAACCCTGTCTCTACTAAAAATACAAAAATTAGCCAGGCATGGTGGTGGGTGCCTGTAATCCCAGCTACTTGGGAGGCTGCTGTGGGAGAATCATTTGAACCCGGGAGGTGGAGGTTTTAGTGAGCCAAGATCATACCACTGCACTCCAGCCTGGATGAAAGAGAAAGAGTCTGTCTCAAAAAAAAAAAAAAATTGTTTTAAACTTAGCCAGGTGTGGTGATGCATGCCTGTGGTCCCAGCTACTTGGGAGGCTGAGGTGGGAGGATTGCTTGAGCTCAGGAGTTCAAGGCTTCAGTGAGCTATGATCATGCCACTGCACTCCAGCCTGGGTGACAGAACAATACCCTGTCTCAAAAAAAAAAAAAAAAATCTTTTGGCCTTTTCCTCCTTGTCACAAGTGGCTGTTGCAACTCCAAATATTGAGTCTGCATTCCAGGAGAAGAAAAAAGAGGAGAAAAGAACAACATCCACAGATACCTGCTTATAGCCCATTAGCCAGGACCATGTCATATGTTCACTTCTAGCAGCAAAGGAGGCTGAAAAATAGAGTATTTCATTTTCCAGCCTCTGTTTTGGGGGATGTTAAAGGAGAGGAGGAATGAGATTAGGTGTTGGGTGAGCTGACAGCATCTGCCACACCAGGCCCCAGGAAAAAAATATTGATGAGGATTAGGAAATCAAATTCAGATTCATTACTTTTACAGACATTGGAACTAAAGAATGATTGTGACAATGGTATGGTAGACAAAATTCTAAGATGGCCCCCCATCAATGACCCTTGCTTGCCCTTGTATAATCCCCTCCCCTTGAGTGTAGACAAGACCCGTGAGTATGATGAGATATCACTGCCATGGTTGTGTTATGTTACAGGGCAAAAGGGACTTCAGAGTTTTAATTACAGTTACTAGTAGCAGGGTGCTGTGGCTCACGCCTGTAATCCTAGCACTTTGGGAGGCTGAGGCAGGCAGATCATGATGTCAGGAGATCAAGACCACGCTGGCTAACACAGTGAAACCTGGTCTCTACTAAAAATACAAAAAAATTAGCTGGGCATGATGGCACGTGCCTGTAGTCCCAGCTACTTGGGAGGCTGAGGCAGGAGAATCGCTTGAACCCAGGAGGCAGAGGTTGCAGTAAGCCAAGATCACGCCACTGCACTCCAGCCAGGGTGACAGAGTAAGACTCTCGGAAAAAAAAAAAAAAAGTTACTAGTTAGTTGACTTTGAATTCATCAAAAGAGAAATTATCCAGGTGGGCCTGACCTCATCACACCTATCCTTTCAATATGGGCATAGAGGCTAGAGACAGCAGAAGTCAGAAATGTAAAGCACAGAGGGCCTCTGTGCACCCTGCTGGCTTTGAAGATGGAGGAGCAAGGTGTGTAGGTGGACTCTAGGCACTCAGAGCTGCCTCTCCCTGACAGCCAGCAAGGAAACAGGGGCCTCCTTTCTACAGCCAGAGTGAACTGAATTCTGCCATCACCACATACACTTGGAAGAGGACCTTGGGCTCCAGATCAGAATGTAGCCTGACCAACATCTCCATTTTATTAGCCTTGTGAGTCCATGACCAAAGAGCCCTGCCATGCTGTGCCAGAACTTCTGACCTACGGAACTGCAAGCTAATAAATGAACTGTTTTAAGTTACTAAGTTTGTGGTAATTTGTTACACATCAGTAGAAAACTCATACAAATAGTTAATAAAGGAAGGTAGCCAGAGAAATATTGTAGGGTAGCATCAAAATTAGTGGAGAAGGGCTGGGTGCTATGGCTGATGCCTATAATCCCAGCAGTTTGGGAGGCTGAGGCGGGTGGATCACCTGAGGTCAGGAGCTTGAGACCAGCCTGGCCAACATGGTGAAACCTCATCTCTACTAAAAATACAAAAATTAGCCAGATATGATGGCAGGCACCTGTAATCCCAGCTACTCAAGTGGCTGAGGCAGGAGAATTGCTTGAACCTGGGAGGCAGAAGGTTGCAGTGAGCCAAGATTGCGCCACTGCACTCCAGCCTGGGCAACAAAGTGAGACTCTGCCTCAAAAAAAAAAAAAAAAAATTAATAGAGAAGATATCAAGGTGCTGGACACTGTTAGAGGGATAATATTTTCCTTTCTCACAGGAATCAGAATACCTACCACCAGTCAGGTGCTGTGACTCACGCCTGTAATCCCAACACTTTGGGAAGCCAAGGTGGGAGAATCCCTTGAGGCCAGAAGTTTGAGACCAGTCTAGGCAACATAGCAAGACTTTGTCTCTTAAAAAAAAAAAAAAAAATTACCTGGGCATGATGGTATGCACCTGTAATCCCAGCTACTCAGGAGGCTGAGGCAGGAGGATTGCTTGAGCCTGGGAGTTTGAGGCTGCAGGTAGCCGTGATCACACCACTGCACTCCAGCCTGAGTGACAGAGCAAGACCTTGTCTCTAAACAAACAAACAAACAAAAAACGAGAACAAAAACAAATAATACCTACTGCCTATTTTAATAGAACTGGAGGCTGTAATTGAATTTAGAACTTTGGACATGAGTCTTCCAAGTGGGTAACTCTTCCCTGGGTATGAGCTGTGCCTCCCTGGGGGGGCACAGGCCCTTTCTCGCCACTGAAGGACACTGGGTAAAGTACTTTGGATGTTGTTCTACAGGCAGTAGGGAGCCATTGAAGGTTTTTGAACAAGAAAGTGCCATGACCAGAGTGATTCCTTAGGAAGATGATTCTGACACTATCTAAAATGAAAGAGAAAGAGACTAGAGCTGGGGAGAAACGGGAACCCACCAAGAGCTACTGTAATAATCTGCATATGAGGTAATGCGGGCCTGAGGCTGGGTCCTGGGCTCTAAACAGAGCTCAGCCCCCTGGCCTCTTACCTGGGCTCCATCAAGATCCAGACCTTTACATGCTTCTCTTAAAATGGGGCTGTCCTCAGTGGAGGGCTAGGGGACAGAGAACAGCTCCTAGAACACGGTGACTTCTGCCCCGTGGGGTCTTCTGGCAGCTGGTAGCTGGGTAGTGACTCCGGGAGGTGCTTCAAGGATGGAAAGGAGCAGGTCTGCCCAGGTTTGAGAGACTGAGGCAGACACGCAAGGAGATGCCGGGGCTGAAGAGCATTGGCCTGGGAGGCTGAAACCTGAGCTCTTGTCCCAGCTTCATCACTCATTCACCATGTCTGCCCTCTCAAGTGGGCCTTAAGACGTCTCTGCAATTGCTACCACTTTTGAGTCTATGAGATAGTCTTTGAATTATCTGGAGGAAAGAAGTTTGCTGGTTTGAAACAAAGTCTCATTCTGTCGCCCAGGCTGGAGTGCAGTGGTGTGATCTCAGCTCACTGAAACCTCTACCTCTCACGTTCAAGCACTACTACGCCTGGCTGAGGTTCAAGCGCCACCATGCCTGGCTAATTTTTGTATTTTTAGTAGAGATGGGATTTCACCATGTTGGCCAAGCTAGTCTTGAACTCCTGGCCTCATGTGATCAACTTGCCTCAGCCTCCTAAAGTACTGGGATTGCAGGTGTGAGCCACTGCACCTGGCCTAGGAGGAAAGAAGTTTTAAACTCAAAAGATGAACAGATAGAGTAGGTTACTGTGATTTACTGGACTATCAATCAGAGTTATTATGGGACAGAACTATGTTACTTCAGAAAAATGAAATTAACGGTTTACATAACTAGGAAGCCCTGGCCTGATCCAGGTGTCTGAGCAGTGTCCCTGGGAGTCTCTGTCTCTGTTTCCCAGCTTCGCTCTTCTCTGTGTTGCCCTCACTCTCAGGCAGGTACTCCCTGCACGGGAGCCACCAGTCGCCCCATACACTTCCTACCAACTGAACCACTCCCACAGAGGGAAAACATTTTCTTTATGAATAGTTCCTTCACAGTTCCCAGAGAGGGCGCTCACTGGACAACTCAGGTCACATGTCCAACCACAACCAATCCCATTGGCCGAGACTAGATCACTGCCTGTCCCAGGAGCCAGAGGAAGGTCTGTCCCACGTAAATCTCATGGATCGAGAGCAGAAGAATGTGTTCCCCACAGGAAAATCACAATGCAAAAGATGGGGACTGGATGCCAAATGGGCAAAAAAAAAAAAAACACAAAACAGTGGAGGCCCCTAATAACTGCTGTTACCTCAATGGTTTGAAAAGTTTAAAACCTTTCTGACCCCTTAATCACGGGATGATGAGACCTAAGAGTTCCAAGTAGGTAACTCTTTTCTACATATGAGCTGAGCCTCTTGGGACCCTTTACAAAAAGATTCTGAGTTAGGTACTGTTCTGAGCTCCATTGTACAGGTAGGGAAATTGAGACCCAAAGTCACAGTACTAGTATGTGATATGATTCCAGGCACATCAGATTTAAAAGCGCTCACAGTTTTGACTCCATCTTATTGAGTTCATGCACATGGCAACATATAGCCTTATGTTTTTTTGTTTGTTTGTTTGAGACAGAGTCTCACTCTGTAGCCCAGGCAGGAGTGCAGTGGCACGATCTCAGCTCACTGCAACCTCCGTCTCCCAGGTTCAAGTGATTCTCCCGCCTCAGCCTGCCGTGTAGCTGGGATTACAAGCGCATGCTACCACGCCCAGCTAATTTTTTATACTTCTAGTAGAGACAGGGTTTCACCGAGTTAACCAGGGTGGTCTTGATCTCCTGACATGATCTGCATGCCTCGGCCTCCCAAAGTGCTGGGATTACAGGCCTGAGCCACCGCACCCAGCCAGCATTATGGTTTTTAATGCTATAAAAGGCTTTTCACTTAGTAAGACTCAGACAGAATAAGTGCATGTGATGACATTAGCATATCTTCCCAGTCTGGTCTGATATGGACACCAACCACAAGCCTAGCTGAACTTCTAAGAAAGGAAGACTTCAGAAAAGGATCAGCCCCACCTACACAGGGAATGACGGCCATTAATATTTCAGAGCCAGCTTCTTACCCATAGGTGCAGCACAATTAAACATGTTCCAGCCACTGTCTACATGCACTTTTTTTTTTTTTTTTTTAGATGGAGTCTTGCTCTGTTGCCCAGGCTGGAGTGCAATGGCACAATCTTGGCTCACTGCGACCTCTGCCTCCAGGGTTCAAGCAATTCTCATGCCTCAGCCTCCTGAGTAGCTGTCATTATAGGCACCCACCACCACACTCGGCTAATTTGTGTATTTTTAGTAGAGTCGGGGTTTCACCATGTTGGCCAGGCTGGTCTGGAACTCCTGACCTCAGGTGATCTGCCCACCTCGGCCTCTCAAAGTGCTGGGATTACAGGCGTAAGCCACCGCGCCCGGTCAACATGCACTTTTAATAAATGTGATAAGCACTTCTGCCTGTGCTCAGTTGACATCTACATGCACACAGTGAAACTAGTTTGTATCATTGTAAAAGATTCCAAGTAAATATAATAGGAATATTGGGGAGTGAGGATCATGCTTGTACTTTTTAAATTCAGAATTCTATTTGGTGAGCAGTGACCTTCAGGTATTATGCAATATGAGTCTTTAAAATTTGCTATTTTGTTAGGAATGGGAATGAGGTTAGAATAGTGACCCAGAAGCTTGTTACATGTTTAGATACCTGGTCCTGCCTTGAAGTCTCTGACCAACTCCTCACATTCAGAGGGATAATGGGAGACAGAGGTTTGGTATTATATTTATTTCGAAGCATCTATTGTACCAAATACAATGCTAGAGACATACTGGAAAGGTGATTTTTAAAAGACCTCTGAACATGTTTTCTTGGGAGTTAATGCCTCCATATGTCACAACCATCATGACCATGCCCCCCAGTTTTTTTTTTCTTTAAGTGCTCACTTCTGAGATCTAGCTTAAGAAAGACATACAGGAGAGGCATTCTGGTCACATGAGGCATGAAGTCATGGTCACACTTTGGCCTGACCAAAAGGATTACCACCAGCATTGACCAAATTTAATTCCTACTAACTTTTGACCCCTACAGAAATTTGAAATCTATTCTTAAATTATTTACCACTACCAAGGGCATTCAAAAATATTCATTACAGTCTGTAATTACTTTTAACATTCCTTCATCCAAAAGGCATGCCTTTATTCACTCACTCACTCACTTGTTTATTCAACTTACATGTATCAAGTGTTTCCCACATGCCAGGACTGTTCTAAATATGAGGGATAGCCAGGTGCCGTGGCTCATGCCTGTAATCCCAGCACTTTGGGAGGCCAAGGTGGGCAGATCACTTGAGGTCAGGAGTTTCAGACCAGCCTGGCCAACATGGTGAAAACCTGTATCTACTAAAAATACAAAAATTAGCTGGGTGTGGTGGCGGGCCCCTATAATCCCAGCTACTTGGGAAGCTGAGGTAGGAGAATCGCTTGAACCCGGGAGGCGGAGGTTGTAGTGAGCCGAAATCATGCCATTGCACTCCAGCCTGGGAGACAGAGCGAGACTCCATCTAAAAAAAAAAAAAAAAAAAAAAAATTGAGGGATAGAAGGAAGAGCAGAAAATGGACATGATTCCTGCCTTCATGAAGCTTACAGTCTAGTGGGGAAGATAGAACTTAATAAACATTCAGACTGGGCGTGGTGGCTCATGCCTGTAATCCCAGCACTTTGGGAGGCCGAGGCGGACAGATCACTTGAGGTCAGGAGTTCGAGACCAGCCTGGCCAACCTGGTGAAACCCTGTCTCTACTAAAAATACAAAAAATTAGCCGGGCATTGTAGCACATGCCTGTAGTCCCAGCTACTCGGGAGGCTGAGGCAGGGGAATTGCTTGAACCCAAGAGACGGAGGCTGCAGTGAGTGGAGATCATGCCACTGCACTCCAACCTGGGCAACAGAGCAAGATTTTGTCTCAAAAAAAAAAAAAAAAGGGAACTTAATAATCATTCAAATAAGTATTAAATATCACTTATGATAAATGCTGGGAAGACATGGTACATTGGGCTCTCCAAGGAGGATTTGACTTAATATGTGAAAATCAAAAAGTAAACCACATGGGAAATTCAACTTACATGATACTAGAAGGAAAGGAATTCACTCAGCAAAGAGGTTCCGGTGGTGTCTCAGATTGGGCTCCCTGGAAACAGACTGAGACAGATTTACACATGGAAGATATTGGGGAGCTATGATATTGTGAAATATGTGTTTGGTCTTCATCCCATTTTCTGGCATACAACTCCAAATCTTCAAAGTGAAAAGCATCTTTTTGTATATTAATGAGTTGACTGATGGCTGGCAGCCCCTAGGAAGCTGCAGGATGGAGACTGGTCACCAGAAAAGCCAAGGTAGGATTAGAGGGTTAGGACTTTCAGCCTATCCCCCAATGGCCAATGATTTTATCAATCATGCCTGTGTAATGAAGACTCCATAAAAACCCAAAAGGGCAGGGTTCAGAGAGCTTCCTGATAGCCAATCACGTGGAGGCTTCCAGGAAGATGAACAAGAACACATCCACGTGCTGGGAGTGTGGCTCACCCCAGCTCCATGGGGACAGAAGCTTCTGAACTTGGGACCCTTCCAGACTTGGTCCTGTATGACTCTTCATTTGGCTGCTTATTTGTGTCATTTAAAATATCCCTTATAACAAACCAGAAAACATAAGTGTTTCCCTGCATTCTGTGAGCTGCTGTGGCAAATTAATTGAACCCAAAGAGAGGTTTGTGGGGACCTCAATTTACAGCTGGTGGGTCAGAAGTTTTGAAGGCCTGGACTTGCCACTGGCATTCAAAGCCTAGAGGCAGCCTTGGGGACTGAGCCCTCACCCTGTAGGACCTGGCACTGTCTCCAGGAGATAGTGTCATAATGGATTTGAATTAGAGGACATCCAGCTCGCATCTGCTGCAGAATGGATTGCTGGCTGGTTTGTGTTTTGAGAGTATTGTGGGAGAAACTGAGTTTGTTTCTTCTACTCAGGAGTGCTCTCCTGAGATGCAGCCATGAGGAAGGCAGGACTGGGCAGAGAGAACCTCACCCCTAGTGCGGCAGGCGGTGGGGACTAAGACCTCAGCCATCCTTCAGGGAGCTCTGGAGTTGGGATGACTCTTCTGAGTTGGCCCAAATTGAGGTGGGGTCCAGACTTGTGTATCCCTAAGGATGCAGTCAGTGACTGTGAGTAGCTGCCAGAAGGGGGCGGAAGCCTGGGATGCCATCCCCGCTGCAGAAGGCAGTTCCCAGGGAGGGGTGCAGCTGTGAGCCATCAGCAAGCAGTGGCCCCAGCCAGGCATGGCTGCATAAATTTGGGGGCTCACTGTGAAATAAAAATATAGGGCCTCTTCTTCAAATATCGGGAAAAAGCCTCCTTTCATGCTCTATTTTTCAACCAGCCATAGGGTTTGGATTTGCTATTTAATGTCATACTTCCCCAGGCTCTGGGATACTCAAAGAGTGAGTAGAGACCCTCACAGACACCCAGGGCTCCAACCCACGACTGGACCTGAGGAAGCATGTGCCTGACCCCAGCCCTCCCTGCACCTGAGTCCAGGCCCCTACCAGGCAGAAAGTGGCAATAGTCACTGGGTGAGGGTGGGGGTAGAAGTGGGAGGTGGGGAAGCAGACAGCCATGAACCCATCCCGGGGAGGCAAGCAGGTGGCAGGAGGGGGACTGTGTGAGCTGAGGCTCCAAGTACGGCTCTATTGGCTTATTGGACTTCACTTAAAAGACACAAATTCAAAGATAAATGATTACAAACAGCATTAAACCCCAGTAAAGGTATGCCTCTGAGCACAGGGCCCTGTCCATGGGCACTGGAAACTGGCCTGGCACCAGCAGCTGGAGGGTGGGGGCCAAGAACCTGAAGAGGGGATTGGAGCCAAGTAGCCCCCACAGGTGGGGAAGAGCATTTCAGGCCATGGGAATAGTCTGGGCAAGTATCTCTTGCTTTAGGGGAAATGAAAAGGAAGCCAGGAAATGAAAAGCACATCGTAAGAGGAAATGTGGTTCAAATGAAGATGGAGAGGTGGCAGGGGCCAGACGGAACCTGGCATTATGGGCCATGTTAAGGACTTTGGGTGATCGTCTCTGATCACTGGAAAAGCTGTGGCAGGGTTTCATGAAGGGGACAACATGTTTCAAATTTTGTTTTGAAAAGATTACCCCAGGTGAAGTGAAACAGATTGGAGGAGATTCAGGTAGTTTGTGGTCTTTGTAATCCAGGTAAGAGGTGATGGGGCTCAGACCACAGAGGGAGTAGTGGAGACAGAACGCAGTGGATGAATTGGGGCGATATAATATTTCAGAGTGAATAGGCCTCAGTGATGGTTTGGATACGGGGTTAAGGGAGATGGGGTGTCAAGAATGATTTGTTAGATAAGGCTGTGTCACAAGCACAGACTTAGACCCTGAGTACTAAACAGGGAACCAGGCAAACAAAGACCCTGAATACTAAACAGGGAACCAGGCAAACAAATGCCTGCCTTCATGAAGTTCCAGGAGAGGAAAGGGATGGACAAGGACATGGGCAGTGATAATACGGTGTGATCAGGGTTGTCTGAGCTGGGTACATAGGAAGGGCACCCAGCCCAACATGAGGACCTGGAGTCACAGGGTCAGGAAGGGCTTCCAAGGGGAAGGGACAACCAAGCTAAGACTTAAAAGACATGAAGCCAGACAGGTAAAGAGGAAGGAGCATGCGCTAGGTAAAGGGATCAGCAGAGCTCAATAGTCCTCAATGGCGGGTGATTGTGCCAAACTTCCTGGGGATACTTGGCAATGTCTGGAGACAGTTTTGGTTGTCATGACTGGGGAACTGCTACCAGCATCTAGTGGGTAGAGGCAGGGATACTGCCAAACATCTTACAATGAATAGCACAGCCCCCAACACAAAGCATATTCAGCCCACAACATCCACAGTGCCACACTTGAAAACCCTGGCATAAAGGCCTCGCAGCACAAGGCCTGAGGCTCAGTCGCAGAACAGAGTGGCTTTGCAGCTGGCTGCAGTGTGGAGTCATGAGGTGGGAGGGGTGACTAACGATACAACTAGAGAGTTTAGCAGACACCAGGCCCTAGGGGCTGGAGGAGTTGCACAAGGGGAGTTTGAACCTATTGGCAAGGGTGCTGGGGAACCGATGAAAGGTTTTTAGCAGGGAAGTGACAAAATCAATCTTGGGGCCAGGTGTGGTGGCTAATGCCTGTAATCTCAGCATTTTGGGAGGCCAAGGCACAAGGATTACTTGAGCCTAGCAGATGGAGACCAGCCTGGGCAACAAAGCGAGACTCTGCTCTATGTTAAAAAAAAAAAATAGCCTTGGAATTACATCAAAGAGAAGGAGTTAGAATGAGCACAGAAAGGCTGGGAGGGAAGCAGAGGACTCAGGGAACTGTGGGCTTGCACATTGTCTAATGGAGTCACGGGAATAAGGAGAGGCTGGGCCAGGGGGTCTGCAGGATGCGGCAGGAGGGGGCTGTCATGTGACATGATACAGTTCAGGGACCTAATGGTTGCCGTGTCATCTAATCTAATATAGACACATGTTAGAAGCTCAGAGCATTCATTTAGATCATGCGCAGCTGATGAAATATAGTCCTGCAGGTCAAGGAGAAAGGAGCTTGAGCATTTGAATCCTGGTTCTGCCACTTACTCTGGCTGCTGTGTACAGATGTGCAGGCTGACTCCCTGCATGGGAGAGTGGGGGCTGACGTCACATGGGAGGCTGGTTTGCTCCACGCACCAAGACATTTGGAGTGCCTTCTAATTGGCACAAATGTACTCATGGGTTGGCCACAGCCCTGCACATGATCTTACACAAGTCAGACTGCTTCTCTGAGCCTGCTTAATACTGCCTGCCTTTAGCGTTGATGAGAAGATTAAGAAACAAAGTAGATAAATGCCTAGCCGAGGGTCAGCCACTTGGTAGGCACTCAAGAAATGATTGTACAAGAAGCTCCAGACCTTCAGTCACAATCCCCGCTGTTGCAATTGTTTCTGCCTCACCTGACAGGCACTGTAGTTGCTCAGGTGACCTCTGCAGCTGTGCTTTGTTCTCTGCGAGGCACAGGGAGCCAGCGGGACCCCAAGGCTGCAGCAGTGGGCAGTGGGTGAGCAGCTTGCATCTGGGTTGAGCCAAGCAGACACTCACAGTTGTCTTGCTTCCTCACAGCTGTGTGGGGTTTCATTTGTGGTTTTCTTCTGAGCATCTTAGAGGCACCGTGGAAAGTATGCCTCAGCCTGCTGCCAGAGAGATTCATAGCACATGAAACCACTGAAGAACACGCTCAAGTGAAAGAACGGGAACTATTGATCTCTGACCATGTGCCAGGCCCTGCCTTTCAGTCTGATGGAGTCTTGTGTAGCTGTCCTGCCTGAGACAACCAGAACCCAGGCATGGTAACAACAGCCGCTAATACATACTGTGGTAGCAGGCCTGCTGTGCGCCAGGTTTTGGGTCGACACCCAATCTGTTTTATCGTTTTAATCTTCGTCACAGTCCCATAAGGCAAGAACTGTTGAGGCTCAGAGGGGTTGAGTAAGCGGCTGTGGGTGACCGGCTTATAACTGGTAGAGCTGGGATCTGAACTACAGCAAACCAACGCCAGTGTGGGAGCCATTTCACCCCAGACTCTATGCCTGCAAAAAGTGTTATTGTGACGACCCCTCTTTTGGGCTCCCTGTGTGGGCTCTGTGAAATGGGTGTCCTTCCAGGGGTGTCAGGGAGAGCAGGAAGCCGCCTCTGATGGGATGCGCCCTCCCCGCCCAGGAAGTGGCGGCAGAAAGCGAGCCCTGAGAAGCCAGGGGCAGGAGCGGCCTCCGCGCGACACTGCGGCGCTCCTGATTCTGCGGCCTGGGGCCGAGCATGCGGGGCGGGCGGAGCCTCGAGCTAAGTCCCCTGGGGTCCCAGGGCCGCATTCCTCCGAGGTCTGCAAAGGCCACTGCTTAAAGGCGCAGAGGAGCAGCTGGGAACGAGAACAAAGCGGCCAGGCCCCCCTCGGAGGAAGGAAGGAGAGAGCCCCAGGAAACAGCTGATAGCGCTAAGCTCAGCTTGTTTTTTTCCTCTGCTCAACAGTTCTCCTGCCACGGCAAACAAAACATGTACATTCTGATTCCCTCTTCTGTTTGGATTGTGCTGTCGACTGGATCTGGTTTGTGATGAGCTGGGGGAAGAGGCATCCGCGGGCGATTTCTGGCTCGGCGTGCCAGTGTGCTTTTGCTGGGCCGCGCCGGGATCGCGGAGCTTCCTCTCCGGCTCCTTTCTCCCCGTCTGCGTCGCTAATCCAGCCTGGCCCGGCCACCCCAAGGGAAGACACGGCCGTTTCTTTTGATAGTGGAATTGGAGGTTGCCAAGTTTTCAGATTTAATGGGAGGTGGAGGGTTGCTCGTGTCCTTGACCTTGAAGGACCTGCGCACACTCATACTTTTTCATGGACTTGTAAAACTGTTAAGAGGTGAACTGTGCCCTCTCAGCTCCACCAGAAGCCCCTCCATGTTCTCTGCACTGCGAAGGTCACAGTCTGGTTCCTGGTTGTCCAGAGCCACACTGGGACTCTGTCCAGGGCCAGCCTGGGCCCTGCCAGTTCGGTTCAGAGTGACAGCTACAGGGTCAATGGAAGAGGCCAGCACCCAACAGCAAGAACAATGTAGGGGGTATCTGGACGGGCTTGGGATCTTAATCACACCTTAAGGTGTCTACCTTCCCCAATGTCTGGACACCTGTTGGTGACAGGTGGCCCTGATGGGACTAAGCTTGAGATTACTGTACTAGAAGGACTTCCCGCTGCCCCTGAGGGGATGGGGGAGGGGCACTGGCACTGCCAGGCGTGCTAAACCCCGTGAGGTCTGTTGTTCGATGTCGCCCAATGCTGGGTATACTTGGTTTTTGCCTGACCAGGTGTTGACTGTGTGGGTCTGGAAAGGGCACCATAAAACCCAAAGTAAAATAAGGTAAAACCCAGAAAAGGATAAAACACATACACACACACACACCCACACACCCCTCCACTAAGAGGTGCTGATACTCGGGCAATCCCTACAGCCCTGGGCATGGCGGTTCTGGTCACATGCACTGAAGGAGACGGTTCTGATGCTGCTGAGACAGAGGCGCAGGGCCCTGTGTAACTGCAGGAGTTAAACCCAGCTGTAAGAGGTCAGCGTGGTTGGACCTGCTCCACGCTGCTTGGCGCGTTCTCTCCTCCCACCCTACTCTGAGGAGGCAGTTCACATGCAGAAGACAAATGGCATAAAGGGCAGGCAATTAATTTTTTCAGCTGGAGGCTGCAATGGAATGTGGGTGCTTAAAGTCTGGCGTGCGCCTCTAATTCCATTCTCCTCAGTGAAATACCTCCGCTCTTCAAGGAGGTGGTGCCCTTCAAAGCTCCATGGCTGACATTTTCTGTCTTTAGGACCAAGAGGTGAATTTAGTCCTGAAAATTATTTGGAATGAATCTAAGGCCTTCCTGCACGCTGTCTCATGCTCTTTCCACTACACCAGGGGGTCTACAGTGCTGTAAAGATGGCAGGCCAATTCTTTACTTATTTCCTTGGGGAGGTGGTTGCAGAGCATGGCCCAGGGTCTGGTCCCATCTCCCAGAACCCTCTGCTGTGTGGAGCAGCCGAGCCAGCCTGAAACAGGCAAAAAATGGAGAATTCACTGGGATAAGGGGAAGGGAAACATCTTTAGCAAGAATGCTAAAGATCAAGGACTTAGTACTGGGCAAATGGGGAGAGGGAAGAAGGGGACTCTACAAGGGAGAAAAGAAATCCTGAAGGGAACTTGGAGGGGTAAGAAAAAGTCACTTCACCTACTTCTATAGAGGCGGAATAATGTAGTAGTGAAAAGCGCAGGCCAGGGCAGGCATGGTGGGTCACGCCTGTAATCCCAGCCCTTTGG
Organism: Homo sapiens; assembly: GCF_000001405.40. Classification (NCBI taxonomy): domain Eukaryota; kingdom Metazoa; phylum Chordata; class Mammalia; order Primates; family Hominidae; genus Homo; species Homo sapiens. The sequence continues at coordinate 141,799,373 of NC_000003.12, forward strand.
GAGGCTGTGGCGGATGGATCACAGGAGGTCGGGAGTTCGAGACCAGCCTAGCTAACATGGTGAAACCCTGTCTCTACTAAAAATACAAAATTAGCCGGGCGTGGTGGTGAGCGCCTGTAATCCCAGCTACTCAGGAGGCTGAGGCAGGAGAATCACTTGAACCTGGGAGGTGGAGGTTGCAGTGAGCCAAGATCATGCCACTGCACTCCAGTCTGGGTGATAGAGTGAGGCTCGGTCTAAAAAAAAAAAACAAGGTGCAGCCTGTGTGTGATTCTTAGGTTGGTGATCTTAGGCAAGATTTAACCTCTCTATGGTTCAGTTTCCTAATCTGCAAAATGGACGCTATCTCATAGGGTTACTATGGAGATCAAATGAGGAATTCACATAAAGCACTACAGAAAATATTTAGCATGGAATAAGCACTCAATAATGTTTTCCATTATTATTTCCAATTTTTCTCTCAGCATGTGTTTCACAATCCTTTGTTCATGGCAAGGTATGTTGTCCACTTTCACCCTACACCTTCTACCGAGCAACTTAGGTTTATCCAGTATCCTCATTAGTAACTTTAATCCTTAATGTCACTCACCTTTGAAATGTGCTCATTGGACGGGTGCCACACAGAGCAAGCTCGCAATAAATGTTGCTGAATAGAACTTACTGACTGCCACTGACTTAACTTCGTTTGGATGTTGTTTATAGTCTCTTTATGCCTCTGCCACCCCAGCAGAGTCATAAAGAACCAGACAGAAGCAGGACCCAAGAACATGAGGCCCAAAGGAGAGCTGTGGGAAGTGAAATACTATATTCAGGGAGACCCTCAGCTCCTTCCCATCTCAGTTCCCCAAATGAGAGCAAGCAGGCTGATACTTCTCAGGTGGGGTATGGAGATATCCCACCTGATCCCTCTTGTCAGTTGATAAGCTGGACTCCACATAGCTTATAGTCAGCTTTTTGGTGCTTCACTCTTAAATATGAATGACTAGACAAAGATCAATTGTCATTTGTAAAAAAAAAAAAAAAAAAAAAAAAACTCTTCAAAATGAAAGACAGAACCAAAACAATCAGAGGAAAAGAACTTGTAGAAAACAAGAACGATGCAGGGAATAGAAGAGACTATTTTTTAAAACTTGTAATTATTATCTTTTGAGATTAAAGAGAAGATAAGGCCTCCATGAAACAAGAACAAATGCTGTAAATCAAGGAACATTCAGAGAACAACAAGGACATTTGGAAATAAAAAATATGTAAATACATTTGCAGAAAAACATGGACAAATCTTAAAGATATGTTAAATACAATAAGTCAGACATGAAAGAATACATACTATACTGTACCATTTATACAACATTCAAGGACAGACAAAACTAATCTATAGTAACAGAAATCAAAAAGTGTTTGCCTGAGAAGTGGCGAGGACTGACTGGCAAGGGGCACAAGGGAACTTTCTGGACAGACAGAAATGTTTTATATCTTGTTTGGGTGGTATTTATGAGGGCGTATTTAATTATTAAAATTCATTGAGCTGAATGTCTAAGAACTGTACACGTTATTGTATATTAATTATGTATCAATAAAATCATATTGGCAAAACTGAAAAGTTAAGTAGAAGAATTAAGCCTCTATGTCTAGCCATCAGTTTACAAGAAATGCATGGGCCGGGTGCAGTGGCTCACACCTGTAATCCCAGCACTTTGGGAGGCCGAGGCGGGCGGATCACAAGGTCCTGAGATCGAGACCATCCTGGCTAACAGGGTGAAACCCCGTCTCTACTAAAAAATACAAAAAATTAGCCGGGTGTGGTGGCAGGTGCCTGTAGTCCCAGCTACTCGGGAGGCTGAGGCAGGAGAATGGCGTGAACCTGGGAGGCGGAGCTTGCAGTGAGCCAAGATTGCGCCACTGCACTCCAGCCTGGGCGACAGAGCGAGACTCCGTCTCAAAAAAAAAAAAAAAAAAAAAAAAGAAATGCAAAGAACAGAAGAACATGTTAAATGACACCACAGGAATGCAGTCAGCAAAATCTGACTGTGGGAAACTACAGTTTGGCCCCTTTTTTTCAACAAAAACTTGCTAGGTGGGGAAAAAAGACAGAGGAGGAGCCTATAAAAGAGATTTAAGAGACAATCATTGTATGAACCACATTTGATCCAAATTTAAACAAAAGTTTAATGATTGTTTAAATGATTGTATGATTTAAGTTTAAATTTTACTTTTAAAAGTTTATAGGACAGTTGGTATACAAATATGTCCAGATAATATTAAATAATTATTCTTATTTTTTAAATGAGATAATGTTATTGTAGTGCTTTGTTTTAGTGTGTTTTCTAAGTGACCTTATCTTTTAGAGATTCATAGTGAAATACAAATGATGCATGACTAGAATAGTCAGGAGAAGTGGGAAGGGACATAGATGAGACAATATTGGCCATGTGTGGATAATTGTTGAAGCCAGGTGAAGACTACTTTGGGTTTATTATTCTGCCTCTGTTTTGTATATATTTGAAGTTTCCCATAATAAAATACTTTTTTAAAAATAGAAGAATTGGGGAAAAAAATGGGGGAAGTTTCCCCCTATGCCCCTCAAAAAGAAATAAGAGACAAGAATGGACATTAGGAGCAAAAGGTAAGAAACATAAAGGATAAGTTCAATATTTCTGAAAAAAAGAGAAGAGACAAAATGCAAGGGAGAAAATGATCAAAGAAATACTATGAGAGGCTGGTTGTGGTGGCTCATGCCTGTAATCCCAGCACTTTGAGAGGCCAAGGCAGGAGGATCCCAGAACTAGCCTGGGAAACAGAGAGAGACCCCGTCTGTACCAAAGAAAAAAAAATTAACCAGGCATGGTGGCATGCACCTGTGGTTCCAGCTACTCAGGAGGCTGAAGTGGGAAGACTGCTTGAGCCTAGGAGGTGGAAGCTGCAGTTAGCCACGATTGAACCACTGCACTTCCAACCTGGGTGACAGACTGAAACTCTCTTTCTCTCTTTCTCTGTCACACACACACACACACACACACACACACATAGTGTGAGATAATTTCCCAGTGTAGACAGCCATTGGTTTCTGGATTGAGGGGCCAGCTGATAGCCATGATAGCCATGATAGCCAGCACCGTGGATGAAAAAAGCCCCACATCAAAGTATGTCCTTGAGAAATTTCATCATATTGGTGTACTGGACCACAAACCTCACATACCTTCCTACATTCCCTCTACTGCCTCCTTTTCTCTCCCTCTTGGACAGTTCTCTGTCAGCAGCATATCCAGGCTGCGTTGCCCCTCCACTTTCAGAGCTGGATAAAACATCATCTGGATAAAACATCATCCTGTGGGGTATGGAGCCTTATTTCCTGGGCAGCTGCTAATCAACTGGATGACATGTCGGCAATATAGCTCTTCGGATAATCCCTGAGCAATGGAAACGGGAGATGGGAAGGACTGGGCAGCTGCATCCCCCTCATCCACTCTCTCCTGTGCTTCCTCCTTGTGCCTCTTCCAGAAGACTCCCTTGTGCCTGATGAACCAGCAGCCAGCTGGGCATCACATCCCCCTTCCCTCACTCTCCTTTTCCCTTCTGCATATTCTATTATAAAATCTTCCAAGCATAGAGCAAAGTTGAAAGAATTTCAGAAAGAATTTCAGAAAAAATTCAGAAAGAATTTCACACGAGCACCTTTGAAATACCCATTACCTAGAGTTTATCACTGACATTTTTAACAGCTTTACTGAGATATAATTTAACTACTATAAAAACCATGCATTTAAAGTGTACTGGCTGGGCGCAGTGGCTCACGCCTGTAATCCCAGCACTTTGGAAGGCCAAAGAGGATGGATCACCTGAGGTCAGGAGTTTAAGACCAGCCTGGCCAACATGGTGAAACCCTGTCTCTACTGAAAAAAAAAAAAAAAAAAAAGCCAGGCGTGGTGGTGCACGCCTGTAGTCCCAGCTATTCAGGAGCTGAGGCAGAAGAATCGCTTGAACCGGGGAGGTGGAGGCTACAGCGAGCCAAGATCACGCCACTGCACTCCAGACGGCGACAGATGTCTCAAAAAAAAAAATTACTGGTTTTTAGTATATTTACAGAGGTGTGCAAACATTACCACAATCAATTTTAGAACATTTTCTTCACCCCCAAAAGAAATCCCATATCCTTCAGCAGTCACTTCCATTACACTGCTCTTCCACCCCTAAGCAACCATTCATCTATTTTCTGTCTCTATGGAATTGCCTATATTAGACACCCTGTATAAATGGAATCATGTAATACATGGTCATTTGTGACTAGCTTCTTCCATTTAGCATGTTTTCAAGGTTCACGAAGCATGTATCAGTACTTCATTCCTTTCTTCCCCTCTCTCCCCTCCCCCAAGACGGAGTCTTGCTGTGTCATTCAGGCTGGGGTGCAATGGCACCATCTCGGCTCACTGCAACCTCTGCCTCCCAGGTTCAAGCGATTCTCCTGTCTCAGCCTCCCAAGTAGCTGGGATTACAGGCACGCCCAGCTATTTTTTGTATTTTTAGTAGAGACGGGTTTTCACCATGTTGACCAGGCTGGTCTCAACTCCTGATCTCATGATCCGCCCGCCTCAGCCTCACAAAGTGCTGGGATTACAGGCATGAGCCACCACTGCCGGCTAGTACTTCATTCCTTTCTATGGCCAAATAATACTCCTTGTATATCATTAACATTTTACTAGATTTGCTTTATCAAATGTCCATCTATCCATCCTCTCTATCCATCCATGTAATCAATCTTACATCTTTTATTTTCGAGTAAACTCACTTCTCTTTTTTCCAAGCCCTTGCACCTTCAGCTTGCACACCTCTCAAATAAAGCTCATATCACTATCCTGTGTGCAAAGGAGGCTGGGAGAGATGTTGTCTTTAGTCATCTGGGATTTCGTGATAGAGGGAGGCAAAGGAAAAGGGAGACTGGGAATAGATTCTGCTACCTTAGCATACAGTTTCTCAATCCCATCTCCCCTCCCTCCATGGCATGCCCCAAATCATGTATTCTAGAAACACCAAATTCCTTAAAGCTCCCTCAATACCTTACACTTTTTCTGACTCCATCTCTTGCACATGCTCATTACCTGGATAGCCTTCTAGGTGTTTCCCTCATATTCAGCCAGCTGTGGCTCTTCAGTGAAGTATTCTCAACACACACACACATACACACACTCACATAACACACACATACACATACACACATACACATACAGGCACTCACACACGCATACACACGCTCATACATACACACACTCACACACATGCACATATACACACACATACACATGCACAGATACACACATACACACATGCTCTCATATACACATGCACATTCACACATACACTCACCCTCACATACACATACATATGCACACTCACATGCACACATACACACATGCTCACATACACGCACACATACACACATGCACATACAAACATGCTCACATACACTCACATGCACACATACACATACACGCTCTCATACACATGCTCACATACACTCACATGCACATTAACACATACGCATGCTCACACACACATGCATACTCACACATACACTCACATACACACATACACACCACACTCACATACACACACCCACTCGCACACACACATACACTCACACACACTCATACACCCACACACGCATACACCCACTCACACACACTCATATGCCCACACACACACACACACACGCACATACACTCACATACACACACAATCACATACACACACAATCAGATACACACACATGCACACACTGACCCCGTGGGCCCCCCTGCGCGTGCTCCACACTCTATTGAATCAACCTTCTGACCTGTCTGTCTCTACCAGTCTCTAAATCCTCAAGGGCAAGGGCCAGGCCTTACAGGTCTCGGTATCCCTGGAACTCATTGCAGGGCATGACTCAACAAATGTTTTCTGCGTAGTGAATGGAAAACATCTAGTCACCGTCTTTGTCGTTATTTATTTAAAAACATGGCATGCACCAGGTGAGGCCCTGTGATAAGTGCCTGGATTTGGAGACAAAGATGAGTAAGACTGTATCCTGGGCCTCAGAGGCGCCTACAGGACCCTTTTGTCTGGACAAATGCAAAACTGGACAAGACGCCAGGGCAACAGATGTAAACCGGGACTGTCCCAAGCAAACCGGAACATATGGTCACCCAAATTATATACCAGCTTCTCTGAAAACAGCACTGCCATGCTGACTCATGCACAGCCCGTTAGATCCTAGTCACTTCCAGAACTTTCTTGTTCAGGCCAATCACTCTTCATTAGTACTTGGATTATTCATGTTTTTTCTTGTTGTGATCCATGTAGAAATTATCCATGAAATTTCATATTTCTAAAGCATTACATTAAAAAATACTTAAGCAACTAGAAATAAAACACCTAATGCACAGCTCAACACTTTCTAATGTTTTCTTCATAGAGACGGGGTCTCACAAAGTTACCCAGGCTAGAGTGCTGTGGCTCGTCTATCGCACTACAGCCTCGAACTCCTTGGCTGAAGGGATCCTCCCATTTCAGCCTTTTGAGTAGCTGGGACTACAGGCACACACCACTGCATCCAACTTTTCCAACCTTTCCTGAAGTACTGAAATGCATAGTTGTAATCAGTGGGTGACAATCATTACATATATAAATTCCTTGGTATTAACAATAGACTCTGGTTTATCATCTTATTGATGGGCCTTTGGGTGTTTCCAGCTCGTGACCATTCTGAGTTAATGAAGTTATGAACATCTCAATATAGATTCCTTTTTCTTTCTTCTGAGTCTCTTCTTTGAGGTACATACTCCACAGTTAAATAATCTGGTTGAAAGACAGGAACAATTTGTTACCTTTCGTTTCCCATTGCTCTCTGTCATATCGCTCTCTGAAAAGTCCGAGTCGGCCAGGCACGGTGGCTCACATCTGTAATCTCAGCACTTTGGGAGGCCGAGGCGGGAGGATCACTTGAGGTCAGGGGTTCAAGACCAGCCTGGCCAACATGGTGAAACCCCATCTCCACGAAAAATACAAAAATTAGCCAGGCGTGGTGGCAGGCGCCTGTAATGCCAGCTACCTGGGAGGCTGAGGCAGGAGAACGGCTTGAACCTAGGAGGTAGAGGTTGCAGTGAGCTGAGATCAGGACCCTGCATTCCAGCCTGGGTGACACAACGATACTCCATCTCAAAAATATATATATATATATACACACACACATATATATTTGAGTAAATACATGTATTAAAATCAATGCAGCCATAAAAAGACAATTATTGCATGATTCCACTTATATGAGGTACCTAGAGCAGTCAAATTCATAGAGAGAGAAAGTAAAATGGTGGTTGCCTGGCGTTGAGGGGAGGAAGAATGGCAAGTTGTTTAATGAGTGTAAATTATCGGTTTTGCAAGATGAGTAGTTCTGGAGATTGGTTGCACAACAGTGAGAATGTACTTAACACTACTGAACTTACACTGCAAAATGATTTAGATAGTAAATTTTATGGGTAATTTACCATACACACAAGTATATATAAATAGATATGTCTTATATATAGAAATAAATATGTATGTATATATATAAAGTGAATATGTATATATATTTAATCTAATGATCATTTGGCATATATTGTCAGTAGAAGTGTGCCTATAATACATAGTCATGCATGTGAAATGAAATTTCATGTGTGTATGGAATTTCCTCAATTAAAATGACAGTGTTAATTATTCAGTGCAGAGACAGGCAGAGGTGTGCGATGTTAATGTTATTACATAGCACACAGAGTAAGAAACATGATAGACTAGACAACATATGAACATTTAATATTAGTAATAAAGTGCTCAACCTTAAAAAATCATATACATCTAATTTTCTATTATCTGTGAATTTTTAAAAAAGCAGAGCTTAGGGGATCTTATAGACATCCACTTGAACTTTTCATCTTAAAGATGAGGTGATGAGCCTAAGAGAGGTAACAGATTTTCCCACATCAGGAGCAGCTACGGCTTCCCTTTTCATGTGACCTTAGCCACCAACTCTTTATCTCATTGGCCAAAACGGGTCGCATGGCCTCCCCTGGCTGCACCCAAAGCTGCCGGGAAAGCAGCACAAAGAATAGGTTAGACACATTGCCACCCCAAACAAATTAGGGTTCCCTCAACAAGGGAAGAAAAGGAGAATGTGTATTAGGTAGGCAGTCAGCAGTGTCTGCTACACTCACCTTAGTGTCTTTGTTCTGTGTTGTCTTGTTTTTTGTTTGGGATGTTACAGGCTGGAACCAATGGTTACATGGCTCCTGAGATCCTAATGGAAAAGGTAAGTTATTCCTATCCTGTGGACTGGTTTGCCATGGGATGCAGCATTTATGAAATGGTTGCTGGACGAACACCATTCAAAGATTACAAGGAAAAGGTCAGTAAAGAGGATCTGAAGCAAAGAACTCTGCAAGACGAGGTCAAATTCCAGCATGATAACTTCACAGAGGAAGCAAAAGATATTTGCAGGCTCTTCTTGGCTAAGAAACCAGAGCAACGCTTAGGAAGCAGGTAAACTAGCATGTAACAGAGAGGATTGCTGACACCAGTATTGTCCACAGGGATTAGGAGAATACTTTTGATTTGTGGCAAAGTCTTGGAATTAAGTATTATGATTTTCTTATTTTTATTTGCATATTATATGGTTAAACATTTCTAATACTTTCAAACACTATTAGCACTTTCTATGGAACAATTTCCAAGATGTATTTTAAGGTGGAAAAGTGAGGTGCAAAGCAGCTTGCGTTAAAAAAAGAAAAAAGAATACATAATTCAAATGGTTGTATAGAATATTTCAAGGAATTTATAGGATTGGTTATGTCAGATGAAGGGAAATTGGGGGCTGGGGATGGGGATGCAAATAAGAATTTTCACTGTATCACCTTAGTTTCTTTTGCATCTGAACCATGTTGAGTAAATAAATGTATTAAAATCACATGCAGCCATAAAACAAAACAAATATTACATGATTCCACTTATATGAGGTACCTAGAGTAGTCGAATTCATAGAGACAGAAAGTAGAAGGCCGGGCAGGGTGGCTCATGCCTGTAATGCCAGTACTTTGGGAGGCCGAGTCAGGTGGATCACGAGGTCAGGAGTTCAAGACCAGCCTGGCCAAGATGGTGAAACCCCATCTGTAATAAAACTACAAAAATTAGCCGGGGGCGGTGGCAGGTGCCTGTAATCCCAACTACTCGGGAGGCTAAGGCAGGAGAATCGCTTGAACCCAGGGAGCAGAGGTTGCAGTGAGCCAAGATCAAGCCACTGCACTCCAGCCTGGGTGACAGAGTGAAACTCCATCTCAAAAAAAAAGAAAGAAAGTAAGTAGAACGGCAGTTTCCTGGGGTTAAGGGGAGGAGAAATGGGAAGTTGTCTAATGAGTATAAATTTTCTGTTTTACAAGATGAAGAGTTCTGGAGATTGGTTGCATAACAACGTAGTGTGAATGTACTTAACACTGTTACATTATCTATTCAAAAATAATTAAAACAGGCTGGGCACAGTGGCTCACACTGTGAGCCAGGCATGGTGGTTCACGCCAGCACTTTGGGAGGTTGAGGTGGCAGATCACCTGAGGTTAGGAGTTTAAGACCAGCCTGGCCAAGATATGGTGAAACCCCATGTCCACTAAAAATACAAAAAAATAGCCAGAAGTGGTGGCAGCCACCTGTAATCCCAGATAATCAGGAGGCTAAGGCACAAGAATCACTTGAACCCAGGAGGCGGAGGTTGCAGTGAGCCGAGATCGCGCCACTGCACTCCAGCCTGGGCAACAGAGCAAGACTTCGTCTCAAAATAATAATAATAATAATAGTAACAATAATTAAAATGAAAACATAAAACTACCAGTACTGATAGTCATAGCTCTGGAAAATTCTGTTCCTTTCAAATGTCTCCCGTAGGATATCATCAGTCCTTCAAAAAATATTTATGATATTGCCAACTGTTAAAATTGAAGCCAAGTTTCATTGTTTATGATAGAATAAGAAAATCAAGCTATTTTAGAAGGCCGGGCGCAGTGGTCATGCCTGTAATCTTAAAACTTTGGAAGGCCAAGGTGGGAGGATTGCTTGAGCCCAGGAGTTCAAGACCAGCCTAAGCAACATAGAGAGACTGTGCCTCTACGGAAAATACAAATATTAGCCAGGTGTAGAAGTGCATGCCTGTAGTCCCAGCTACTCAAGAGGCTGAGGTGGGAGGATCACTTGAGCCCAGGAGCTCAAGGCTGCAGTGAGCTGTGATCATGCCACTGTACTCCAGCATGGGTGGCAGAGCAAGACCCTGTCTCTAAAAAAAAGATACTATAGAAGAAAAAAAGACGTAAAAGTTGGCCTGTGAAAAGACCCTTGGCAGTGAGTGACTATGTTGTGTAGGGAGAAAATCAAGAGCTTTAGATTCATAGACATAGATTCATGTCCCAGCTCTGCTATAGACTGGTCATTTTACCTCAAGCAATTGAATTACTTTCCTTGAGTCTCAATATCCTCATATATAAAAAGGCGGGGGTTGTGGGTGTGATGGTTAATTTTATGTGTCAACTTGGTTAGGCCACAATACTCAGATATTTGGTCAAATATTATTGAGATATTTCTGGGCAGATTTTTAGATGAGATTAACATTTAAATCAGTAGACTTTGAGTAAAGTAGATTACCATCCATAATGTGGATAGGCCTGATCCAATCAGTTGAAAGCCTTAATAAGAAAAGACTGACTTCCCCAGAAGAAACGGTAATTCTGCCAGCAAACCACCTTTGGAGTCAAACTGCAATCCTTCCCTGGGTTTCCAGCCTGCTAAACTACCCTGCAGACTTTGGATTTACAAAGCCCTAAATTAAATCAATCAATCTCTCTCTTTCTCTCTCTCCCCCCTCTTTTCTCTCTCTCTCTCTCCCCATCCCTCCTTCCCTTCCTCTCTCCCTCTCTCTCTCTCTCGCCTCTTTTCTCTCTCTCTCTCCCATCCCTCCTTCCCTTCCTCTCTCTCCCTCTCTCTCTCCCTCTCAGAGACAGATTTATATGTGTACACTCACACATTGTCAGGGAGGAAACGCATTCTCTACCCTCTTACCCTCTCACATTCAGTTATTGGAGACCTACAAATTATTTATTATTATTATTAGTTTTTGAGACAGAGTCTTGCTCTGCTGCCCAGGCTGGAGTGCAATGGCACAATCTTGGCTCACTGCAATCTCTCAGCCTCCCAGGTTCAAGCAATTCTTCTGCCTTGGCCTCCCGAGTAGCTGGGATTACAGGCACCCACCACCACACCCAGCTACTTTTTGTATTTTTAGTAGAGACGGGGTTTCACCATGTTGGCCAGGATGGTCTCGATCCCACACACTTCACACACGGTTCTGTTGGCCAGAACTAGTCCTTGGGTCCTGCCTACGGGTAAGGGTGCTGACTAGTGTCTTCTGCGTGCCCAGGAGTGAGAATCAAATAGGATATGGTGACCACTGACAATCACTAACAATCTCTACCCTCATGATCTTCAAGTTCAGTGAGTATCCAAAGGTGCGGGAGCAGTGGCTGAGTCAGGAGGACAGTCTGTTTAGATGACTTCCCTGAAGGGAACAACACCCACTTGGATGCCTCAATTCCCACGTTTGATTTAAAATCTATCTTGGCCGGGCGCGGTGTCTCATACCTGTAATCCCAGCACTTTGGGAGGCCAAGGCGGGTGGGTCACCTGAGGTCAGGAGTTCGAGACCAGGTTGGCCAACATGATGAAACCCCCTCTCTACTAAAAAAATACAAAATATTAGCCGGGTGCAGTGGCGGGTGCCTGTAATCCCAGCTACTCAGGAGGCTGAGGCAGGGGAATAGCTTGAACCTGGGAGGCGGAGGTTGAAGTGAGCCAAGATCGCGCCACTGCACTCCAGCCTGGGCAATAAGAGCAAAACTCTGTCTCAAAAAAAAATTAAAAAAACAAAAATAAAATAAAATATATCTTAATACTCTATAAGCAGACTTTGGGTTTATAAAATGAAATATTAACAAATTTCATGAAAATGCTACCTTAAAGCACTGTAAACACTTTAAAGCACACTAAAGACTGGTCACTCCCTGAAGCTGCTTCCTCAAGCAAAGCCTTTTTAGTAAAGCATCTGTTGTTGTGACTGTTTTGAATAAGACTTTACAACATTAGAGGAAAGGCATATAAAAAACAGCTGTTCAGTGAAACAGAAAATCTTCCAACATTTTTTTTTCTTACGGCCTCTATAATTGCAGAATCTTCCAACACTTTTATTTCAACTCTTTATATTTTTAAAAAATTTAATCAAACGAGATCACGTTGGATTAATGTAGTGGGCATCCTCCAAGCCAAGGCAAATGCCTCGACAGCATGTTACACAGCAGAGTTCAAATGCTCCCTCCCTGTTGCCTTCTTAAGCATTTGAAATGAATTAAAGACCCTTCTCCTTTAGACATCACTGAAAAGGATTACCTTCTTTGCCTTTATGGGTCTGGGAGATAATTTTGCAGAGAAGCCAAAAGCTTTTCTGAGCATCTCCAGGGGCTCCAGATGGGATCAACTACAGGGTCTTCCAATAAAATAAGTGCTGAAGACCACTTAAGTTTTTGCAGGTTTTATTCTGATCAGGCAGTGCAGCAGAACAACAGCAAATAATCGTGAAAATCTCTGATTTAAGTGCTTCTCCAACAAACAATTTCATGGTTCTTGGCAGACCAAATTCCCTTGTGGGCCTCATGTATAGGCGGGTGGTATCTTTGCTTCATTGACTATTATAAGAAAATCCATTGTAATCTCTGTGTGGGGTTCCATAGTACGAGAGCCTCTGTTAATGCTCTGAAATATATTCCACTCCAATGAGCAGAAGTCCTCCCTGCAGCTGCCTCTTTGGCTGTTACAAAAGATACTGCCTCCAGCAACAGCCTCTCCTATTTGTTCAAAGTGTACCGCACAATGATGGGCCGAAAGAGCCCTGCACAGAACTGCCAGGGAAAGATGTAAGAGTGAAATAATCAGCCTGCTATTTTAATGACGGAACTGTGGTGGGAGTTGCTAATGCAAAAGATCAAAGACATCATTTTTGTGGTGGCCCAGCCACAAGAACAAGGAATAGAGATTGGAAAGCCCAGTCTTCACTGGTAGCAGCAGCACCCACAGACATTTCTTGGGAAAAGGTATACAAGGCATGAATCCTGCCCTCCAGGGGCATCTAGTTGGGTTGTTGAAGAACATAAAGGAAACCTCAGAGTGACCCATGGTTTCCTTGTCTTTTATAATTAGTTGCAAAAGGGCTGCAGTCAGCCACCCCTGATGGACAAACCAAGGCTCCCTGGGCATGGTGTGCTTGAGACGCCATGTGAGAACTGTTCATCCTGATGTAAAGACTGGTCTGGCAAGTCTCCCGAGTTACCAAGCTCCTGGGCGTCTCCATTTACTCATGTGAAAGCTGCTTAGACTGGGTTTTAAGGGCCCTTTTGACACCTGACACAGTGTGTTCAATTCATGCCCGCCAGTGATCATGGAAGTGATGCAAGATCTTCCCTGTGGCACCTAGTCCCATTCCAATGCCTTCATTCTCTTTGAGACATGCAGGTCTGGGGCTCATTCCTGATTTATTTGGATGGCATTCTAGCTCTATCCTTCTGCCATGTTTAAAAATCCATCTGATACCTTTAAAAGGTGAATATTTCTGTGTAAATTATACCTCAATAATCTGACTTTTAAAAAATCTGTTTGTTCGTTTGTTTGTTTGTTTTGTTTTATGAGAGAGTCTTGCTCTGTCACCCAGGCTGGACTGCAATGGCCCGATCTCGGCTCACTGCAACCTTTGCCTCCCAGGTTCAAGAAATTCTCCTCTCTCAGCCTCCCAAGTAACTGGGATTATAGGCATGTGCCACCACGCCTGACTAATTTTTGTATTTTTTAGTAGAGACAGGGTTTCACCATGTTGGCCAGGCTGGTCTCAAACTCCTGGCCTCAGGAGATCCACCCGCTTTGGCCTCCCAAAATGCTGGGATTACAGGTGTGAGCCATGGTGCCCGGCCTAAAAATCTATTTTTGAAGCTTCCATTTATCTCAGTAACTCTCCCTCAAGGCTCTTAACCTACAAGATGTAAACCACACAGACACTGGGGCAGTCGGTTCTGGTAGATGGCAAGCCTGCATTTTCTTTCTTTCAGTTGGTGGAGACTTGGTGGCTTTTAGAAAAGACACCCCTTGTAGCACCTTTTGATCCAGGTCTCCATACACAGTGGGAAAAGTCCAAGAAGTTCCGGATAGACCTTTCTGGAAGTGGGTAGGGCTGGGTCACAGAACAAGAACCCAAGGAATCACTGGATCATCAGATGCCTCCAATTAAGTTTCTCTTTTCATAATAAAATTTAATTATACATTTTCCTTTGAAAAAGTCACCTATTTACTCTGGCTTCCTCAGATGCACAGTTATTCATGAATGCAGAAGCACATAAAGGAGTCAAAAATACAGGACTTAGAGACAGGGCTGTTGTACTGGTTGAATGTAATAATATAAGTGAAGAGCTGAATGTTGTGTTAACTGACAGTAGGCCCTGAATAAATGTCAGTTATCCTCATTCTTGTTATTAGTTGTGCCATTATTGGGTGTTGCCTTAGTCGTCTTGCTGGGCAGAGTCTGTTGTAGTTATCATCTGACATAGTGGGGAATCTCTGAAAGGAATATATGGGGCAAGCTCTCAATCCTTTCCCAAAAAGCTTTTTGATATCTTGAATGGAAAATGTAAAGGAGAGACCATGAATATGATTAATTTCTAATTGAGGTTGACTTATGGCAGAAACTGACTTCTTTTAAAAGGAAGACATTTCTTTAAAAAAAAATCTTTTATTTTAGATTCAGGGAGTATATGTGCAGGTTTTTTACAAAGACATATTGTGTAATGCTGAGGTTTTGGATGCAATTGAATCTATCACCAAGTAGTGAGCATAGTACTCAATAGGTAGTTTTTCAACCCTTGCCACACCCCCAAAACATCTAGTAGTCCCCTGTGTCTGCTGTTCCCATCTTTATGTCCATGTTTACCCAATGTTTAGCTCCCACTTATAAGTGAAAACATGCGGTACTTGGTTTTCTGTTTCTATGTTAGTTCACTTAAGAAAATGGTCTCCAGCTGCTTCTATGTTGCTGCAAAGAACATGATTTCATTCCTTTTTATGGCTGCATATTATTCCATATTGTGTATGTACCACACTTTCTTTATTCAATCCACCATTTATGGACTCCTTAGTTGATTCCGTGTCTTTGCTATTGTGAATGGTGCTGTGATGAACATATGAGTGTATGTCTTTTAGGTAGAACAATTTATTTCCCTTTGGGTATGTACAAGTAATAGGATTGCTGGGTCAAATGGTAGTTATATTTTTAGTTCTTCGAGAACTCTCCAAACTGCTTTCCAGAATGGCTGAACTAATTTACCTTCCCATCAACAATGTGTAAGCATTCTCTTTTCTCTGCAGCCCCTCCAATATCTGTTTTTGTTTGTTTGTTTGGTTGGTTTGTTGGTTGGTTTTTTTTTTTTTTTTTTTTTAGAGACGGAGTCTCTCTCTGTCACCCAGGCTGGAGTGCAGTGGCACAATCTTGGCTCACTGCAATCTCCGCCTCCTGGGTTCAAGCAATTCTCTTGCCTCAGCCTCCTGAGTAGCTGGGACTACAGGCACACTCTGTCACACCTGTCTAATTTTTTGTATTTTAGTAGAGATGGGGTTTCACCATGTTGCCCAGGCTGGTCTCAAACTCCTGAGCTCAGGCAATCTGCCTGCCTTGGCCTCTCAAAGTGCTAGGATTACAGGCATGAGCCACCATGTCTGGTTGGTTTTTTTTGTTTGTTTGTTTGTTTGTTTGTTTGTTTTTTCTTAGTAATAGCTATTCTGACTGGTATGAGATGGTATCTCATTGTGGTTTTAATTGACTTTTATCTGATGATTAGTGATAATGAGCATTTTTTCATATGTTTGTTGTCCACTTGTATGTGGAAGATGTTTCTTAATCAGACCAGGAAATATATTCACATTTTTTAAAAGAAAAGAATCGTTTTGAATCTGATGCCACAAAACAGCCCACTTTTTATTTTGTTGCAACCTAGATTTAAGAGTAACCAAGAGGAGTATGGTAGGCAGCCCCTAAGATGGCTCCCAATGATCCCCACATCCTGGCATTCATACTCATGTATAATCCCTTTGCCTTAAGTGTGGTCTTCCTTCAGTAAGAAATAGAATATGGCAGAAGTGATGAGATGTCACTTCTAAGATTAGGTTATTAAAAAAAACTATGGCTTCTATTTTGAGCTGTGTGTGTGTGTGTGTGTGTGTGTGTGTGTGTGATCACTGGCCTTGGGAAAGCCAGCTGCAATGTTTCAAGACAGCCCTGTGGAGGCTCATGTGATACAGGATGGAGGCTTGACAATAACCACATGAGTGAGCTTGGAAGCAAATCCCCCAGCCTCAGCTGAGCCTTCAGATGAGACCACAGTCTCAGCCAGCAGCTTTACTGCAACCTCACAAGAGACTCTGAGACAGAGACACCCAGTTAAGCCATGTCCAGATTCTTGACCCTCAGAAGCTGTGACATAATAAATGTTTGTTGTTTTAAGGCACTAAATTTTGGGGCAATTTGTTACACAGCAATAGAAAACTAAATTAATAGTAGAGGTTACACAGTTGGGAACATACTTTTTTCTTTAGATACTCTAATAATTTCTAGCATAGAGATGGAGGGTTTGATAATAATAATCATAGTCTTGAGTACTAAATTTATACTACTGCAAATTACTAATGGATTTTGTTAAGTCTTTAAAGAAATAACACCAAGATTATTGTGGCAGTTGGGGAGGTAAGTGGGGCTTGTAGAAATCATATCATATTACCAATAAAGGGATATGAGTGCTGCCTTTTTAAATGGGAGTGGTGGTTGTGTGGGACAGAGATATGCTTAACTTGTTCTGTGTGACCCTGAAGAGGCAATGACTGGAAGCTGCAGGCAAGCAGGTGTGTTTCTACAGAACTTTCATAGTATTTCCATGAAACACCAAGAATAAAAGTCATGTCCAAAGCTTCACTGTTTAAAAATTGCATCTACAGGTGAAAGCTGTCTGCAAATAATGAGAATGCTACTGTCTACTTATACGGGAATTTGGGGTGATTTCAAAAGTTATTATTTTTCAGTTATTCTTTATGTTATTATATTGTCTTTGCAATTAAAATAAAATGTAAGAAAAGAATGCTACACACTTTGTATTGTTAGAACATGTCCCATTTTGTTTTGTTAACTCTGTCTCAGGCTGATCATCTCCTTTCTTCACAGAGAAAAGTCTGATGATCCCAGGAAACATCATTTCTTTAAAACGATCAACTTTCCTCGCCTGGAAGCTGGCCTAATTGAACCCCCATTTGTGCCAGACCCTTCAGTGGTTTATGCCAAAGACATCGCTGAAATTGATGATTTCTCTGAGGTTCGGGGGGTGGAATTTGATGACAAAGATAAGCAGTTCTTCAAAAACTTTGCGACAGGTGCTGTTCCTATAGCATGGCAGGAAGAAATTATAGAAACGGGACTGTTTGAGGAACTGAATGACCCCAACAGACCTACGGGTTGTGAGGAGGGTAATTCATCCAAGTCTGGCGTGTGTTTGTTATTGTAAATTGCTCTCTTTACCAGACAGGCAGCAGGAGTCTCGGCTGACATAATCCTCGAATGTTCCACACGTGGAAATCTGTGGAATGAGGGCTAATCAGTTAGGAGGGACATCACAACCACAAAACAATTCAAAAGACAGGCAAGCTCACTACTAGAACACATTTTATTTTCTTTTTCTTTCTTCATAAAGATGAGTAAAGTCTCAGTTTTCACTGAGGGCAGGGAAAAGGAACACTCAGGTTTATTTTGATAAACTGAAAGCATCAGCCTTTTACCATCATGTCCCTGTGTATTACGCAAAGTCCTAGGAACAGAGAATGGAACTTTGTGGTGTGCCCAGAAAATGAGCATTTGCAATTCTTAGTAAATAATCATTTTAGTTTTTCTTTGTTTATATCTTTTTTTCCCTTCATCTTTCTTCGCTTCTATACTTATAAAAAGGATTTTGAAGCTGGAAACAAATGTTTCTGACATTCTCCCCCTAAAAAGGAGTGGATTACAATATTTTGGCAATGTTTTAAATCACAGAATAATTTTCAATTTCAGTGACAGTTTCTTTTGCAATTTTGTGGAAATAATTTACTATCATAATGTTGAAGCATTTTAAACATAAACATCCATGACATCTGTGAATTAAAGCATTCTGTAAATTTAGTTGAGTCCTTTAAGTAATATGGTACAAATTGCTTCAACTTGCACTACCATATGCCATCGGTTCCCAAACTCTGCTGAACTTTGGAATCATCTAGGGATCTTTTAAAAAACTAATGCCTGATTCCCATCCATAGACATTCTGATCCCCACTCCCAGGTATGAGAACAGCTTGACCATTTAGAATTTCAGAAGCTCCCCAGGTGATTCTAATGTGCAGCAGAGTTTGGCAGGCACTGCTGTGCACATTTGAATGTTATTACATTCAATCTTATTTTGGTTGCTCAAAACTTCAATCATACATTTTGATGGCAACTTTTCAAATGTCCCCAAAGCATGTCATTTTAGTAATTGCAGTATAAATGAAACAAGACAGTCTATTCATCTTATGGCTTCTCTTGTCCTTGCACACTTTAGTTTCTCACACGTATCTTGGGAGCTCGGTCTCTTGGCTATTTCAAGTCCTGAAGGAGACCTATGGGCTTAGAAATTGAGTTGAACAGGCCAGGTGCGGTGGCTCATGCCTGCAATTCCAGCACTTTGGGAGGCCAAGGCAGATGGATCATGAGGTCAGGGGCTCAAGACTAGCCTGGCCAACATGTTGTAAACCCCGTCTCTACTAAAAATACAAAAATTAGCCCGGTGTGGTGGTGCACATCTATAATCCCAGTTACCCGGGAGCCTGAGGCAGGAGAATTGCTTGAACCCAGGAGGCGGAGGTTGTAGTGAGCCAAGATCGCAACATTGCACTCCAGGCTGGGCAGCAAGAGCAAGACTCTATCTCAAAAAAAAACAAAACAAAACAAAACAAAAAAAACAGAAAAGAAATTGAATTGAAAAAATACTAACCATCATTTCAAGTGGCTGCCCAGCCAACACTGTATGGTAGAATTAGCACTTCTCAAAAGCACAGCCAAGGTGAGAATTCTACAGCTGCGAAAAAATATTTGGGATACAAATATAAAGCTGAGTGATATTTTTTAAAAGGATGTATGTGCACATAATAAAATCTAAATTTATCCCAGTGGTAAAAAAAACCTGGCTGAAGTCAGTTTAAAAGTTTTGTCCCTTGAGTTAAGGATTCAAGAGCTGCAAAAGTGCCGGTCAAAAAAATGTTGGTTAACTGGAATCTGAATAACAGTAATACTCATCTACAAGACAGCATTAACCACACCTGGAACAAGTTAAGAAGAAGCCCTCTGAGAGTTGAGGCCTCGGCCGGTGCACCTGCGGCTCACTTTCCCGCTCCTCCTCCATCCTCAGCATGCTCCCTAATGCTCCAAATCCTAACCTAGGATGCTTAGATTTCTGTGTCACCAAAGCAGGATAGAAGTGTGCCCAGGAGATTTTTTTTTTTCCTGAAGTAAGAAAGTAAATTAAAGTTTGGTTAAGTTTTGAACAAGTCCCTTTTAACAAAAAAACTGATTGGTGATTAACAGAAATCCAATTAACCAGAGCACTCCAATGGTAGAGTTCTCAGGATTGGGCTTTATAGACGTTAGACATTTAAAAACAACATTGGTTATTTGTTGATTATGCCTTAAAGCTGGCAGAGGGACAAATGCAAACTAATAATTAAAGATAAATATCTCAGTTTTTAAAAGGACAAAAAATTTGGAGAGATAAAAAAATAAAAATGTCTTGTTGCATTGGTTCCTTAGTGTGAATTGCCTCTGCTTTCAATAAACTTTAAATGCAAATCTGTTTTATATCTTAGAACTAACTTAGGAAAATAACTGAATAAGTAGTTGTATTAATCCATTCTCACACTGCTATAAAGAAATACCTGAGGCTGGGCATGGTGGCTCACGCCTGCAATCCCAGCACTTTGGGAGTCCAAGGCAGGCAGATCACCTGAGATTAGGAGTTTGAGACCAGCCTGGCCAACATGGTAAAATCCTGTCTCCACTAAAAATATACAAATTAGCCAGGTGTGGTGGTGTGTGCCTATAATCCCAGCTACTAGGAAGGCTGAGACAGGAGGATTGCTTCAACCTGGGAGGAGGAGGTTGCAGTGAGCCGAGATTCAGCCACTGGACTCCAGCCTGGGTGACAGAGCAAGGCTCTGTCTCAGAAAAAAAAAAAAAAAAAAGATTAATCCTAGTTGTCCTGGAGGACTTGGAGCCACTGTCTGTTGGACTTACTTCACCCATACTGATATGTCTGATAGGGGTGGAGTTCAAGATCAGGCTAGAGAAAAACACGTAAAGGAAGTAATCTCCCAACTGACCTGGGTACATAGCACCCCTAGCCCCTACAAAGGACTAGATCTCTCAAAACTACATGAAACCCTCTGTACCCATACTCGCCTGGTAAGCCTATTTAATACCGCCCTCACTGGGCTCCATGAGGTCTCAGCCCAAAACCCTACTAACTGTTGGATGTGCCTCCCCCTGCACTTCAGGTCATACATTTCAATCCCTGTACCTGAACAATGGAACAACTTCAGCACAGAAATAAACACCACTTCCGTTTTGGTAGGACCTCTTGTTTCCAATCTGGAAATAACCCATACCTCAAACCTCACCTATGTAAAATTTAGCAATACTATAGACACAACCAACTCCCAATGCATCAGGTGAATAACTCCTCCCACAGGAATAGTCTGCCTACCCCCAGGAATATTTTTGTCTGTGGCACCTCAGCCTATCGTTGTTTGAATGGCTCTTCAGAATCTATGTGCTTCCTCTCATTCTTAGTGCCCCCTATGACCATCTACACTGAACAAGATTTATACAATTATGTTGTACCTAAGCCCTGCAACAAAAGAGTACCCATTCTTCCTTTTGTTATCAGAGCAGGAGTGCTAGGTGGACTAGGTGCTGGCATTGGCAGTATCACAACCTCTACTCAGTTCTACTACAAACTATCCCAAGAACTAAATGGTGACATGGAATGGGTTGCCGACTCCCTGGTCACCTTGCAAGATCAACTTAACTCCCTAGCAGCAGTAGTCCTTCAAAATCAAAGAGCTTTAGACTTGCTAACCGCCAAAAGGGGGGGGAACCTGTTTATTTTTAGGGGAAGAATGCTATTATTATGTTAATCAATCCGGAATCATCACCGAGAAAGGTAAAGAAATTTGAGATAGAATACAACATAGAGCAGAGGAGCTTCAAAACACTGGACCTTGGGGCCTCCTCAGTCAATGGATGCCCTGGATTCTCCCCTTCTTAGGACCTCTAGCAGCAATAATATTGTTACTCCTCTTTGGAGCCTGTATCTTTAACCTCCTTGTTAAGTTTGTCTCTTCCAGAATTGAAGCTGTAAAACTACAAATCATTCTTCAAATGGAGCCCCAGATGCTGTCCGTGACTAAGATCTACCACAGACCCCTGGACCAGCCTGCTAGCCCATGCTCCGATGTTAATGACATCAAAGGCACCCCTCCCAAGGAAATCTCAACTGCACAACCCCTACTATGCCCCAGTTCAGCAGGAAGCAGTTAGAGCCATCATCGGCCAACCTCCCCAACAGCACTTGGGTTTTCCTGTTGAGATGGGGGACTGACAGACAGGACTAGCTGGATTTCCTAGGCCGACTAAGAATCCCTAAGCCTAGCTGGGAAGGTGACCACTTCCACCTTTAAACACAGGGCTTGCAACTTAGCTCACACCTGGCCAATCAGATAGTAGAGAGAGCTCACTAAAATGCTAATTAGACAAAAAACAGGAGGTAAAGAAATAGCCAATCATCTATTGCCTGAGAGCACAGCGGGATATAAACCCAGGCATTCGAGCCGGCAATGGCTACCCTCTTTGGGTCCCCTCCCTTTGTATGGGAGCTCTGTCTTCACTATTAAACCTTGCAACTGCAAAAAAAAAAAAAAAACCTGAAACTGGGTAATTTATAAAGAAAAGAGGTTTAATTGGCTCACTGTTCCACAAGCTATACAGGAAGCATGGCTGAGGCCTCAGGAAACTTACAATCATGGCTAAAGGCAAAGGGGAAGCAGTCACGTCTTACATGGCTGCTGAAGGAGGAAGAGGGAGACAAATGCCACACACTTTTAAACAACTGGATCTCGTGAGAACTCACTCACTGTCATGAGAACAGCAAGGGGGAAAGATACCCCCATGATCCAATCATCTCCCACCAGGCCCCTCCTCCAACATTGGGGATTACAATTCCACATGAGATTTGGTGGAGACACAGACCCAAACCATAGCAGTAGTCAATAATTATAAAAATAGTAAATAAAAATAACCAAGTGTGTCTTGAGATCTAATTATACACAGTGTGGCATTGGGGACAACATAGAGAAAAGACAGCCATGTAAGAAAGGTAATGTGGTGTGGAATACAGAATGTAGGCTCCTGTTAGTGTTAATATTCACATTCTAAATCAGGAAATGGAAGCTCATAGAGATTTTGTACCTCAAGTCCCACAGCTTCACAGGGTTGTTGTGAAGACCAGAAATCAGGTATATGAAGCCAGTAGTGCATGACTTGCACACAGGAGGGGCATAATCTGTTGAAGACTGTGGCCAGTAACAGTGGATTGAGAGGGAATGATCAGGGGACAAAACCACTAAGGCCTGAACCAGGACGCCGTAATGAAAAGTTTTAGAGGAAGTAAGAGAAGAAAGAGATCTGGGTCCCTGGAAGTAGTTGAGAAGGAAAATTTTCATACACAGTGAAAGAAAAATCTAAGTAGAATGAGTGGGGAAGTTAGGGTCCAAGGCTGCTCCTAGGCCTCTCTGTCATATGTGGGCTCCCATCTGGATCGAGTCAGAGTGCAGGAGGCTTACCATGACATGGGCAGGTGAGGGGCAGGCCTGACCCAGGAGGTTAAATGTTCGAGGGGTGGAGAAATGCAAGGGATAGGTGCAGGGTGTTGTTGGGCTGGGGGGTTAAGGAAAGATTTAAATCAGATGCAGCCAGTTGCCTCATCAAAGGAAGGATGTAATTTTTGAAAAGACAAGATGCTGGGCCAGGCATGGTGGCTCATGCCTGTAATCCCAGCACTTTGGGAGGCCAAGGCGGGTGGATCACAAGGTCAGGAGTTCAAGACCAGCCTGGCCAAGATGGTGAAACCCCATCTCTACTAAAAATACAAAAAAATTAGCCGGGTGTGGTGGTGGGCGCCTGTAATCCCAGCTACTTGGTAGGCTGAGGCAGAGAATTGCTTGAACCCAGGAGGCAGAGGTTGCAGTGAGCCAAGATGGCACCACTGCACTACAGCCTGGGTGACAAGAGAGAGACTCTATCTAAAAAAAAAAAAAAAAAAAAAAGAAAGAAAGAAAGAAAAGACATGATGCTTGCTTATTTTTTAAAAGTTAAAATGACCTTATGTTTTAATAGAAAATCTCATTAAACATAATGAAATGTCAGGGGAAACAAAGATATATGTGAGTTAAATATTTAGACAAAGAAGAACCAGGGAGAAGTCATTTTTATTCTTCCAGTTTATCAGGGATTATTTTGAATGTTTGTTTCTCAAAGGAGGAGATGGAGTTAATAAACTGCGGGAAGGGGCTGAGAACAGCTGTGCAAGGCAGAAGATATGAATGATGTTTTTATAGGAAATAGTATGAAGTTATTAATTTTACCTTTGCAAGCCACAAAGGGTTGAAAATTGTTCTCAATTTTTTATTTTTATTTTTAATTTTGGTAGATATGTTGCCCAGGCAGGTCTTTTGAACTCCTGGCCTCAAGTGATCCTTTCGCCTCAGCCTCCCAAAGTGCTGGGATTACAGGTGTGAGACACTGTACCCAGCCTCAATTTTTTGTTTTAAATATAATTTTTTTTTTTTTTTTTTTTTTTTTTTTTTTTTTTTTGGAGACAGAGCTTTGCTCTTGTTGCCCAGGCTGGAGTGCAATGGTGCAATCTCGGCTCACTGCAACCTCCACCTCCCGAGTTCAAGTGATTCTCCTGCCTCAACCTCCCAAGTAGCTGAGATTACAGGAGCCTGCCACCACACTGGCTAATTTTTTGTGTTTTTAGTAGAGATGGGGTTTCACCATGTTGGCCAGGCTGGTCTAGAACTTCTGACCTCCCATGACCCACCCGCCTTGGCCTCCCAAAATGCTGGGATTACAGGCGTGAGCCACCATGCATGGCCTGAATATAAATTTTAACATGTTTCTCATTTAGGTAATCAGGCATAAATGTGAAATAATTCAACAATTTTTGCTTCTTAGAAATTGCGAGGCATATCTTTTGAAATCATTAAAGTCTACCAGACGGACCAGGTTTGGCGGTGCACGCCTGTAATCCCAGCACCTTGGAAGGCCAAGGCAAGAGGATCACTTGAGCCCAGGAGCTCAAGATCAGCCTGGGCAAAACCCTGTCTCTGAAAACAATACAAAAATTAACCAAGCGTGCTGGCGTATGCCTATAGTCCCAACTACTTGGGAGGCTGAGGCAGGAGGATTGATTGAGCCCAGGAGGCTGCAGTGAGCCATGATCACACCACTGGCACTCCAGCGTGGGTAAACAGAGCAAGACCTTGTCTCAAAAGTAAATAAATAAATTAATTGAAGTCTACTAGATCAATTTCTAAATATCACTATACTGCATGTATCATTAGGGCAGTTTAATAAGACAATTTAAATAAATTGTTCAGACAGTAAAATATGATGAAAACTAATGAACACAAATAATCCTTGCTTCTTAAATTGTTTTTCTTGGCAGTTATAAATTTTTTTTTTTTTTTTGAGACGGAGACTTGCTCTGTCACCCAGGCTGGAGTGCGATAGTGCCATCTCAGCTCACTGCAACCTCTGCCTCCCGGATTCAAGTGATTCTCCTGCCTCAGCTCCCGAGTAGCTGGGACTACAGGCATGCACCACCACGCCTAGCTAATTTTTGTATTTTTAGTAGAGATGGGGTTTCACCATGTTGGCCAGGCTGGTCTCAAACTTCTGACCTCAAGTGATTTGCCCACCGGGGTCTCCCAAAGTGCTGGGATTACAGGCATGAGCCACTGCGCCCAGCCATAAATCTTAAAAGGGAAAAAATGATACAAAGTACATAAGGAAAAAAGATAAGCACAAGTATTTTTTTACCTGGAAGACTGACCATATTAGCTATTTAGATTATTAAAAAATAAATTGGCTGGCATGGTGGTTTGCACCTGTAACCATAGCACTTTGGGAAGCCAAGGCAGGTAGATCATGAGCTCCGGAGTTCGAGACCAGCCTGGCCAACAAGGTGAAACCCCGTCTCTACTAAAAATACAAAAAAAAAAAAAAAAAAAAAGCCAGACATGGTGGTGGGCACCTGTAATTCCAACTACTCAGGAGACTGAGGCAGGAGAATCACTTGAATCTGGGAGGCGAGGTTGCAGTGAGCCAAGATCATGCCATTGCACTCCAGCCTGGGCAATACAGCAAGACTCTGTCTCAAAAAATAAACAAATAAAAATAAAAATAAAAGAGACCCTGAATTTTCTTGAGTCATCTGGGAAAAATCATTGCAGTTATTCAGACTTATTTGTTCTTTCTTTCTGTCTTTTTTTTTTTTTTTTTTTTTTTGAGACGGAGTCTCACTCTGTCGCCCAGGCTGGAGTGCAGTGGCATGATCTCAGCTTGCTGCAACCTCCACCTCCCGGGTTCAAGCAATTCTCCTGCCTCAGCCTCCTGAGTAGTTGGGATTACTGGCGCCCACCACCACGCCCAGGGAATTTTTGTATTTTTAGTACAGATGTGGTTTCACCATGTTGGTCAGACTGGTCTCAAACTTTTGACCTTGTGATCCACCCACCTCAGCCTCCCAAAGTGCTGGGATTACAGGCATTCTGAGCCACCACGCCTGGCCTGTTATGTCAATAAATATTGGCGTCTGCCATGTGCCAGGCTCCATGATAGTTCTGAGACATATGCTAGGTTTTGTCTCTTTAGGATTTTTAGATTGCAAACTGTTTTTAATCCCCCTGTGTATCAGTAAATCTTTACATCTCTCTGAGTGAAGATGAATTTTGTACTTTCCATTTTTTTCCCATGTTTTCTGCACTGAGCATTTATTTTTTTTTTTAATTAGGAAAAAACATATTATTTAAAGCCAGGCAAGACCCATCATCATTGGAGGGGGTGTGTGACACATGCACAAGCTGGCTCTGGCAATAACCACCCCCCAGAGAACACGCCCCTTCTCCCCAGAGGGCATCAGCTTGAGTACAGGAGTAAGGCCGTGACTCTGGGCCCAAGCCAGCAGCCTTTCTGGACAGAGCCAGCAGCTAGTGCCTGAGATTGGGCCAGGTCAATGGTTCCACAATCTAGACCATTAACTGTCTGTTCAGGGGTGGAGTTTTTACCAAAACTCAGAGAAATTAAAGAAAGAATAATGCAGCAAGATTTCATATGCTATTTCATATGCTATTCACTTTAAAATATGAGTAGTTAAAATGTGTTCTTTCATGAGGTAGTTATATTTGACAAAAGTAAACACTAGAGACCCTATAACTATCCTCAAAATTTTATTTTGAAATTTTACCCATAAGATCTTAAAATCTAGGAATCCCTGAGCTGGATGACCTTGAATGACCTTCCAATTGTAGGGAAACATTTGTGTTTCAATGGAAAACCATGCATTGTCTAGAGAAGGCTCTACAACTTTCTCTGTAAAAGACCAGATAGTGGCTGGGCTCGGTGGCTCACGCCTGTAATCCCAGCACTTTGGGAGGCCGAGACGGGCAGATCACAAGGTCAGGAGATCGAGACCATCCTGGCTAACACAATGAAACCCCGTCTCTACTAAAAATACCAAAAAAAAAAAAAAAAAATTAGCCGGGCGTGGTGGCAGGCGCCTGTAGTCCCAGCTACTCAGGAGGCTGAGGCAGGAGAACGGGCTGAACCCGGGAGGCGGAGCTTGCCGTGAGCCGAGATCGCGCCACTGCACTCCAGCCTGGGCGACAGAGCGAGACTCCATCTCAAAAAAAAAAAAAAAAAAAAGACCAGGTAGTAAACATTTTAGACTTTGCGGATGCATCTTCTTAACTCTGTCTTTGTCTTGTGAAAGCAGCCATATATAAGTGTTATAATAAAACTTTATTGGCTGGGCACAGTGGCTCACACCTGTAATCCCAACACTTTTGGAGGCTGAGGCGGGTGTATGCTTTGAGCCCAGGAGTTTCAGAGACCAGCCTGGGCAACATGGTGAAACCCTGTCTCTACCAAAAATACAAACTTTAGCTAGGTGTGGGCACGGTGGCACATGCCTATAGTCTCAGCTATTCCAACCTGGGCGACACAGTGAAACCCTGCCTCAAAAAAAGAAAACAAACTTTATTTACAAAAACAGGCAGTAGGGCTAGATTTGACCACAAGCAGTTTGCTGATTCTAGTCATAAATTAACTCTTATTATTAAACTGACTGGGTTAGCTGATTGTGTATGTGTGTGTGTGTGTGTGTGGTCACTTCTTTATTTCTGATACAAATGTACATGACACATGTCTTGACAGTCAGCCCACCCAGCACCACACAGGTAGGGCATGGCTCCCGGGGAAGAGGCAGGGTGGGAAGAGAGCTGGTGGGTGCTGCCGTCTGCCTCTCCAGCCTTCCCAGTCTGCAGCCAGGTTCCCAGGCCTCCAGAAGGTGGGACCACAGCAGGTGCAGGTAGTGATGGTGGGTGCTGGCCTCCCAGGGGTTATGGGGAGGGGACTCAGCTCCACAGCCACCAGCTGAGTCGGGGACCCCGGGGGAGCCAGCCCCAGGCTCAGGTGCTCAGTCCTCCACCCTGGCCAGCACACATTCCCCCTCCACATGGGAGCGGGAGGAGAGATGGAGGGAAGCGGTTTTCAATTTAAGTTCATAGAGAAGGGACATGAGCAGGGGAGGGATCAGGGAGGGAGCAGACAGGATCAAAGCTAGTTACCCGGGCAGTCCCTGGTTGCAGGTGGGGAAGGGAAGCTAACTAACCCCCACGCTGGTCCCCTCACCCCTCAAAACTGCAGATGGACCAGGCCTCCGGAACGGCACTGCCGCCCGCACATTCAGCTGGCACTCAGGGACACTTAGTTACCACAAAGTTAAAATTAAGGGGTGGGGAAGAAGAAAGCAAAAGAAAAAAGACGTTCCAGTGTTTGCTGCTGGGGACCCCACCACACAGGTTGGGCCTGTGTCCTAGGCAGGGGCCCTTTGGCATTAAAGGAGAGCAGCAAGGGGCTTGTGGCTACAGGGCGAGGACATCCACGGAGACTATGAAAAAAGGAGGGGATGCCCCTGCTCAGCCCCTGATAGGGTTGAACTGGCTCATGGGGTTGGGGCACGTGTAGGGAGAGCTGCCCCACTTGGAGTGTCCCCACCCGCCCCTTTGCTGAGGGTGCCCAAGAGGGCGAGGGGCTGGGAGTGATGCCTTGCAGGCCCCTGCTCACTAGGAGGGAGGAGAGGGGGACGTGTATGGAATATGGGGGACAGAAACTCCTGCCACCCCACCTCCCCATCTTTCGGGCTTGACGGGGGTGGGCACCAGGGCACTTGGCTGCCAGGGGGTGGGTTATCTGATTCTAAGGGAGCTATTCTACGACTCCATAAATTATAGGTAACTAATGGGAACTTAAAATGATTCTCATCTATAGACATGCAAATGACCCCTTCACCTCTGTCTTAGTGTGTTTGGGTTACCATAATAAAGTGCCACACACTGAGTGGCTTAAACACCCGAAATTTATCTTTTCACTGTTCTAGAGGCTTGAAGTCTGAGATCAAGGTGCTGTCTAGGTTGATTTCCTCCAAGGCCTCACTCTTTGGCTTGTAGATGGCTGTCCTCTCTGTGTCTTCTCATGGTCTTCCCACTGTATGTGTCAAACTCAAACTTTTCTTATAAAGGAACCAGTGATACCGGATCAGGACCCACCCTAATGACCTACACATTTTGAAGTACTGGCTGTTAGGACTTCAACATATGAATTTTGGGTAACACAATTCAGCCCATGACACCTCCAAGCCAGTTTTGTATCCATTTGCTCATTCATTTCAACATTCCTTTACTCCATATAAATTTGTGCTTTATTTTTTTTTACTTATCTGAACTTATTGTAACATCTTACCAGTTTCCTCATTACAGAGTTAAATAAAATCTTTAACATGTATTCATTTTTATTTCTGTATGACAATCATGATTTTACCATTTTTTTTTCTTTGAGGTTATCCATTAATATAACCCAGAATGTCACAATGAGATAAAAGAACCTGAAGCTTATTTTAGAAATTCTGGTTCCAGAAGCAAAAGTTCTCTGCAAGAGCCCTCTCTCCTTTTGTTCTCTTATGAAACACATATCAGACAGAAGAACCCCTAAACAGAGGGCTGCCTGGGGTGGTGGCAACCCCAGAAGGCAGCTAGCATTTCCTTGGGAGTTTGGTTAAGGGGCATGGGGCCAGCTGACTATTGTGTAATTTTAAACCAGTTCACCCCGCCCTGCCTCTCCCATCTGCATTGCACTGCCAGCTGTCATGTCCATTCCTGCTACCAGGAGAAGCTGTTGGAGAGGGAGGGAGGAGAAAGCCAGGAGCCAAAACAACCAGGGAAAGCTTCAGCGGTTCACCTGCTAGTTGTGCAGAGTGCTGAGCCTCAGGGGCCATCAGTGCAAATGTGCATTCCAGAGGCACACCCAAAGCAGGCACCACTTTAGAGTCCCTGTACTAACAACTCCCCTCCGAGGGTTGCCAGATAAAATGCAGGATATCCAGTCAAGTCTGAATTGCAAATAAGCAAAGAAAAATTGTTTTCTTGTATAAGTATGTCCCAAATATTTCATGAGACATACTTATAGTAAAAAATTATCTGTAGTACATGAGAATAGATAATTGATGAAGAATTGTCTGTGGTCATGATTAGTTAAAATGCCACGAAACTCCTGCACACACACTGAGGGCCCCACATGGGTTATGTGCATCTGAATCTGACACGAATCTGTCAAATCTGTCCTCGGATACAGCTTCTGGATATTTTTTGCAGCAAGTCCATGTGCTTGTTCTCACCTAAAGATTGTTGGCTGGTTGGTGCTGTCAATATCACCACTACTATCAGCAATAATAATAACACAAGAAAAGCTTCCATTTAGTGAGCACATACTATGTGCCAGGCACTGTCACTGGCACTTTTTGTGAATTACTTCCAATATTCACAAAGATCCTGTCAAGTAGGTATAATCATCTGCACATTATAGATGAAGAAAGGAAACCCCAGAAGTTAACTGACCTGCCCAAGGATACAGTAAGTGTTGAGTTAACCCAGCTCTATTTGACAACACTTAGCAAAGAGGTCACTGGTTTCTCAAAGTAGGAACTGCTTCTGTTCCTATTCCCTAAAATGTCTCCTATGGGGCTTAGAAAGAGGTAGTGAGCTAAGCCCATGGAAGAAACAATTTTTGAAAAATATATTTTAATCCCTAAATGGACTGGCAGGGCTGGGATGACAGTGAGGCACCTAGGGCACAATATTTAAGGCAGCACTCCCTCTCAGGGTCGTGCGAGTGCAATGGCAAAATCTGCACAAACCTGACAGTGCAAGCATCCTTAAATTTTGCACCTTAGAATCCTCATTCCACTCACCCTAATTCTGGTGCGAGGTTGTCCAGAATTGGTCCAGAATTGTTGTAGATGATGGAAATGAAGCACAAGACAAACCAAGCCTACTCTGAATATGTCCCCCCACCCCCCCAGGATTATTGGATATTTTACATTTTACCCTATGGCTGGATATCCTTATTAGCCAATTTGGATCTATACTTTTTCTTGATTCTCTTGTTACCTTTTAATTGATGCGAGGACCAAGTGGCACAATGTCCTAGGGGTATTTAGGAACCAAACTTCAGTTTCCCCTCCTTTAGTTTTTAGAAGAATTTCTCCAAGGTTTATGCTTTAGAATCCTTGCTTTTAACTGTAAAATTAGGACTCGTGAACCCCTTATTACCTCTCCCTGAAAGTGGAAAGTTACAGCCAGGCTACAAGACACAACCAGATTGGATCTCGGTGAACGCTGTTTTAACAAATGCCAGTGGAATGAGTGGGAGAAGGCTAATCTGGCGCATGTCATAACCAGTGAGGCAGCAGACAATGGAGAAAGAGCAGCTCAACCAAACAAACATTCAGATGCTCTTGTCTGCACCTTGCTTCCAGGGAGCGGTGTGCCCTCCAGGCTTGGCCTCTGCTTGGTTGTGTTTTAGGGCAAGGCCCATAAAACAGCACAGCAGACACTGTGATGCAGAGCTTTGTCCAGACATGTGGATTTTTCAACATCATTATACCTTTTCATGTCTTCGTCAGCAACATTTACTGTTACAGTTCCATGTTTGATCAATTCTCACTTAGTTCTTTTTTTTTTTTTTCTGGAGATGAGTCTTGCTCTGTCGCCCAGGCTGGTGTGCAGTGGCGTGATCTTGGCTCATGCAACCTCCACCTCCTGGGTTCAAGCAATTTTCCTGCCTAAGCCTCCCAAGTAGCTGGGACTTCAGGTGCCTGCCACCACACCCAGCTCTCAGTCACTCAGTTCTGACACGCAGTTTGTGGACTATCTGGTCACCTTGACTGTCCCCTCCACAGCTCATTTTTGGTGATTTTGTCATTCACTGTGCCCCACTCCATTGTGTGTAGAGATGGAGAAAGGAAGAAAAAGAAATGCATCCATTTGATTTTGGAACAGGAATTTAAGAAGGTCAAAGTCATTAATTGAAATCTGGATACTCTAAGAACTTACATAACATATTCTGCCTACCTTCTCTCGACCTCTTTCTTTTCTTTTTTCTTTCTCTTTCTTTCTTTCTTTTCTTCCTTCCTTCCTTCTTTCTTTCCTTTTCTTTTTTTTCATAACCATAGACTAATTAGCTCAGCTAATGTGCCTTGGACGTTGCAACGAGTTGACCGTTTTCCTTCTGTATAACACTCACATCACACAGGAGCAGATCACCTCCATCAGCCCTTTCACATTCCCTACATGGTAAGTGTCTGGCCAGTAAAAGTTACTATGAGGCCAGCGTGGCTTCACACAGGAAAGAAGGAAGGACAGTGGGAAAGATTGACGAGCAAAATGGAGTTCTGACTCAAAGAGGGGACCGTGACCATGCTGAAGATTGAATTTGGAAGAAATTCCGGAGACAGTGTGTTTCACGAGTTCTTCTCTGTCATGGAAGAGGTGGCTTCTCCTTTGCTTGGCCCCAGTGTGCTGGAGCTGATTGTGCTCACCTCTTCTGGACTCCACATTTGGATTGACACCAGATTGACAGCTTGAAACAGACACAGTGGGTGTATTTGCATCACAAAATAGGCAAATCCTACAGATTGGAATTTGTTTCTTTCTGCAGAGCCAGTTGTTAGCATTTACCAGTACATTACTGACTTGTCCCTGAAATATATTCTGGTTGGTCAGTGTGCCTCTGCCCAGGACTCAGCAGGGTCTCCCCCAAGCTTTGGTTCCATTTGCAGAGAGCCGGTGAGGCTGTATGGGAGAAACCAATAGAGGAGTCGAAAGCCATCCCCCATGGGAGACACTCAGCAGGCAGAAAGGTGAAGAAATGCCCCTCAAAAGCTGGATGCAAGGCTTCCAATATCTAAAAGATGACAGTAAGGTCATGAAAGTCAGGGGCGAGCACCAGAGCTGCAACAAAAGGAAAGGACGCACAGAGAAGAAAACAAGGCTGAGTGGTCTGTAACCTGAGTGCACAAATTCTACGTACTAACCCAAGAGCTTGCATCATTGCCTCACAAAATAGGTTCATTAAAAATGTCATGAAACTGGCTGGGCACAGTGGCTCACACCTGTAATCCCAGCACTTTGGGAGGCTGAGGTGGGTGGATCATTTGAGGTCAGGAGTTCTAGACCAGCCTGGCCAGCATGGTGAAACCTCGCCTCTACTACAAATACAAAAATTAGCCAGGCATGGTGGGGGGCACCTGTAATCTCAGCTACTCGGGAGGCTGAGGCAGTAGAATCACTTGAACACGGGAGGCCGAGATTGCATTGAGCTGAGATCGTGCCATTGCACTCCAGCCTGGGTGACAGAGCAAGACTTTATCTCAAAAAAAAAAAACCAAAAAAAAAGCTATGAAGCTAATGTCAGCATGTGATTTGATGAAAGTCACTTTGAATTATTGGGATCTGCTACCTTCTTTCATATTCACTCTAGCAAATGTGACTCATTTATCTGCAGAGACACAAAACACACAGAGAGTTAAAAGTGTTCCCCGCTGGCTCCCGAGAAAGATGGCCTTCTGATGGGATCCTGTCCTTCAGGCACAAACGTCCTCCCAAGCACCTACCACAAACCTAAGCCACATGGGCCCCAAAGCCACAATCATGAGCTGCTGAATATTACTGAGAAAACACTGGCACTCAGATTGCACTCTGTCCTCCCTCCTGCCCTGTAAGCTGTTCTGTAAGGGTATTTGGAGGGTAAGGTACTAGGATGTGTGGGTGGGCTGAATAATGGCCCCCAAAGATATCCATGTCCTACTCCCTGGAACCTGTGGATATTACATTACATGGCAAACGGGACTTTGCAGATGTGACTAGCTTAAGGGTCTTGAGATGGGGAGATTGTCCTAGATTATCCAAGCAGGTCTAACGTAATCACAACCCTCCTCATAAAAGGGAGGCAGGAGGAATCAGAGTCAGAAGAGGCAGGCAAATGCTCGCTGAAAATGGAGGAGGGGCCACAAGCCAAGGAACAGAGGAAGGCTCTAGAAGTTGAAAATGGCAAGGGAAGGGGGTCTCCCTGTGAAAGTTGCAGATACCAGGATGGAGTGGCTTTTGTCAGACCCAGATAAAATAGGGCTGGGAAGGCCCAAAAAAGACATGATCTCATGTCTGAGATAAGAATTGTTTCCAAGGACTTTCTAAAAACCCTTTCATACCTTTCACCCATCTCCTGCTTTGATAAGGTTTATTACTAGACATTCTTTAGAGCTGCATTTTTTTTTTTTTTTTTTTTTTTGAGACTGGAGAGAGGAGACAGGAGTCTCACTCTGTTGCCCAGGCTGGAGTGCAGTGGCACAATCTTGGCTCACTGCAACCTCCACCTCAGGGGCTCAAGTAATTCTCCCGCCACAGCCTCCTGAGTGGCTGGAACTACAGGCCTGCAGCACCATGCCTGGCTAATTTTTCGTATTTTTAGCAGACACGGGGTTTTGTCATATTGCCCAGGCTGGTCTCGATTTCCTGGCCTCAGGCTATCCACACACCTTGGCCTCCCAAAGTGCTGGGATTACAGGTGTGTGCCACCATGCCCGGCCATGAACTCTGTGTTTCTAAGCAGCTTAGGTAAATCTCTTTTTTCTAGTAAAAGCTCCCCTTTACCATTGCCTCACCGAATACACACTGGTGGTTGCCTAGTGTCTTTTTTTTTTGGTTCACGCCCCCTAGAAGCTCCAGAATAACCAGCCCAGCCAACACCTTGACTTTAGCCCAGGGAATTGATTCTGGATTTCTGGCATCCAGAACTGTAAGACAAATCTGTATGTTTTAAGCCACTAAATTTGTGGCAATTTGTTACAGCAGCCATAGAAAAGTAATACAGTGTTCTTGGCCTTGGAATTTAAGAATTTTCTGAAGCCTTAAAAGTTAGGAAAAACAGGTCAATTATTCCATGAAGGAATAACTATAAATTTCACTAATGAGCAAACCACCTCCCCTACTTTCCAACCATGACCTTCTTCTTGCCCCAGGCCTTCTACTTTTTAGGCCTTTTGGGAAGAGGGACATGAGAGGAAGGAGAAAGGGGTTTATAAGGCAGCCTACCCAACAGCCATCTCTACTTCCTTGCACACAGAGGCCAAATATTGCCCACGGAAGACATGTGCCCTTGCCCCAGGCGGTGAATCATGATTGGTCTGAGCCCAATACCCACTTTGCCAATGATTGGGCTAGGCAGTCATGTGACCTCATCCTGGCCAATGAGAATTAACCAAATGTTTGTGGGGTTGCTTATTGGATGGGTTTTCTTTGCTCAAATAGGAGAGAACCATATGAAGTAAACCCCTATGCCGCCCTTTCTCTCTCTCCCTCTCCTCTCTTCTTTCTCTCCTCTCTCTCTCCTCTTTCTCTCACTCTCTCTTTCTCTTTCCCTCTCTCTCTCTTTCTCTGTCTCTCTCTTTTCTCTCTTCCCTCTGTCCTCTCTCTTTTTTTTTTTTTTTTTTGAGGTAGAGTCTTGCTCTGTCACCTAGGCTGGAGTGGCGGGATCTTGGCTCACTGCAACCTCCAGCTCCCGGGTTCAAGCGATACTCCTGCTCCAGCCTCCCTAGTAGCTGGGATTACAGGCCCCACAACCATGCCCGACTCATTTTTGTATTTTTAGTAGAGACGTGATTTCGCCATGTTGGCCAGGCTGGTCTCGAACTCCTTGACCTCAGGTGATCCGCCTCTGCCTCCCAAAGTGCTGGGATTACTAGGCGTGAGCCACCGCGCCCAGCCCTCTCCTCTCTTTTTAAAAAATGTTTACATTATGTTATAAGAGGACAATGATACCCGACCCTGTAGCAGCCATCTTGAGACCATAGGGTATGAACTCGAGGAGTGGACCCATGAAGAGGCAGGGTGGCAAGGTGGGCCAGCTGGGTCTTGATGATATCATTGAGCCATCAGAGCTGCCAAGAACCCTAATTATTCTCAGACTTCTTAAGATAATAGGCCTCTTTAGGGTTTCCATTTACACTGACAGTCGAGTTTCTGATTACTCGCTGCCAAACTCATTTAAAGAGTTAAAAGAGGGGCCGGGCACAGTGGCTCATGCCTGTAATCCCAGCACTTTGGGAGGCCGAGGCGGGTAGATCATTTGAGATCAGGAGTTCGAGACCAGCCTAGCCAACATAAAGAAACTACATTCCACTAAAAATACAAAAAATTAGCCGGGCGTGGTGGTTCCACGCGTCTGTAATCCCAGCTACTCGGGAGGCTGAGGCAGGAGAATCGCTTGAACCCAGGAGGCGGAAGTTGCTGTGAGCCGAGATCACGCCACTGCACTCCACTGCACTCTAGCCTGGAGGACAGAGTGAGACCCTGTCTCAAAAAAACAAAACAAAAACAAAAAAACAAAATAACAAACAAGAAAGAAAGAAAAAGAAAGAAGAAAGAGAGAAAGAAAGAAAGAAGAAAGAAAGAAAGAGAAAGAAAGAAAAAAAGGAAGAAAGGAAGAAAAGAAAGAAAGAAGAAAGGAAAGAAGGAAAAAGAAAAGCGAGTGTGGGACGCATGTCACTCCCTTTACGGAAGTGGGCTGCTAGGCCTATAACGCGGCCAGAGCCCCCAAAGTGAGAGCCAATGGGGCTGGAGGACTCCCTGCGCAGTGGCAGGGGGCACAGAGGCACTTGCACGTGTGCGCTGCCTGCTCACTACCAACCCCTTCACAAACCCTGGGACCAGTTATCCAAGTAACAAAGTGTTACTCAGGGCTCCAGCACCAAAACCATGAGAAACGCAAACAATTAGCGAGTCATCGTAGGAAAAACGAAAATGTGGTTTTTTGTTTGTTTGTTTGTTTGTTAACTTTCTCACTGTAATTCAGAGTTGAGCATGATTTGGATTTAGATTACATAAATCTATGGTAAGAGGCACCACCATATTTTCAGTGTTCAGAACCTCAAGCAATGGAATCACATAGTGGCTAATGGCACAGGCTCTGGGTCCAGGCTGCCTAGCTTTGAATCCTGGTTCCACCACCTTCTAGTTCTGTGACTTTGGGCAAGTCACTTGATCTTTTTTGGCCCTTTCCCATCTCTAAAATAGGGGTGATGATGCTAACAGGACCTGCCTGTTAGGGTTGTGTGAGGCTTAAATGCCTATATACACATAATGTCTACACAGTGCCTGGCACAGAGTGGATGCTATAGATTTTTAAGTGGTTGCTGTTATTGTTATTATTATTGTTGTTGTTGGAACTTCTATACATCTCAATGTGATCCTGGATCTCTGCCACCTGGCAACAAGGAAGTGACTTGACCCCATAGCCCACCAGACAGAGGCCACTCCAGGGTTTTTGACTGGCAGCAGTGAGACGCCCTTCCTGTGCCATGAGGCTATGAGCTGACATGCCCAGGATTCAGGTTAGAGGCCTGAGAGGAGTGGGCCCAAGGACCTGGGGGACCCTTTGCACCCCAGCATCCCTCTTTACCTCTGCCTCTGCCTGCCTTCCTTTGGGGGATCACAAGAGCCAACTACTTCCCACATGCACTTCTTTTTTTTGAGACAAGAGTCTTGCTCTGTCACCCAGGCTAGAGTGCAGTGGCACAGTCTCAGCTCACTGCAACCTCTGCCTCCCAGGCTCAAGTGATTGTCCTGCCTCAGCCTCCCGAGTAGCTGGAATTACACGCAGTGCCACCACACCCGGCTAATTTTTGTATTTTTAGTAGAAACAGGGTTTCACCATGTTGGTCAGGTTGGTCTTGAACTCCTGGCCTCAAGTGGTCCACCCGCCTCGGTCTCTCAAAGTGCTGGGATTACAGGCATGAGTCATTGCGCCTGGCCAACTTCTTAGAGGTGGATTTCTGTGAGTTGCACCTGTAGCCAGTCTTGACTGGATGTTTGCTTGATGAAGACCTGGCCTAGGTCTGTGCAGAATTGTTCTTACCTCCACCTGATGAGATTAAAAATGCAGTGCTCTGGACCATGATGAATCTTGAACTGATTTCTTCATTATGTGTTTCATAGTTGGAGTGAAATAAATAATTCCTCTTACAGATAGAGTCTTAAATATCTTTAAGTTGTTAGGGTTTTCTTTTTTCTACTAAAAAATAATACAAGATGAGGCAAGATTGGTCATGGGTTAATTGCTGAAATTCAGTAATGGGTACGTGGAAGGGAACTATTACTATTTTTTCTGGTTTTGTTAATGTTTTAATTTTTCCAAAAAAAGTTTAGGGAAACACAAAACATGTTCATTGTATAATATTAGTAAAAACTAAATACAAAAAAGAAAATGCCAATCACCATCTTGAGGTAAGCACTTTTTATATTTGGGTGGATATTTTGGTGGCCTGATTATGTATTTGGTAGATTTGGTGAATTATTTGGAGTGCAATCTCTCTCTCTCCTTCTCTCTCAAATTGGCATAGTTATATATATATCCATGTTTTTTGACCACTCTGGGGTTATATTATGTATTGAGAATCTGCTTTTTTGTTTAACAATATGTTATAAGCATCTTACCATATCAGAAAAAAATCCCTGATTAATCTTTTTTATAACTGCATTCTAGCTGTACCATAATTTATTTAATCAACCCTCTGTTTTGATTATAGTTTTTCCTTATTATAAATAATCCTATAGTGACGTCTTTGTAGCTTTCTTGCAACATCCTTTATTATTATTTATCATTGTCCCAGGGTAAACTCCTAAAAGTGGACTGTTGGGGTACACATTCTTTTGAGTCTTTGATAAATACTGCCAGATTGACCTCCAGAAAGTTGTTCCAGGTTGCACTCGATGAGCTATGGCTTGTGACCTTTTGTTTTCTTTTTTTTTTTTTTTTTGAGACGGAGTCTCGCTGTATTGCCCAGGCTGGAGTGCAGTGGCGTGATCTCGGCTCACTGCAACCTCTGCCTCCCAGGTTCAAGCGATTCTCATACCTCAGCCTCTGGAGTAGCTGAGATTACAGGCGTGCGCCACCATGCCTGGCAAATATTTGTATTTTTAGTAGAAATGGGGTTTCACCATGCTGGCCAAGCTGGTCTTGAAGTCCCAACCTCAGGTGATCCACCTGTCTCGGCCTCCCAAAGTGCTGGGATTACAGGCGTGAGCCACCATGCCAGGCCGGCTTGTGATCTTCTGATAAGATAACAGACTAACTGTAGTGAAAGATTGGTGAACAAGCTACCTCTTTGGCCTGAATGTTGCTGGGTTGCCACGTGTTCAGAACAGATACTGCTTATTTTACTTAGTATTTCCACTGAGAAAATGAAGAGTGGACCCGGCACAGTGGCTCACACCTATAATCCCAGCACTTTGGGAGGCCAAGGTGGGTGGATCACATAAGGCCAGGAGTTCGAGACCAGCCTGGTCAACATGGCAGAACCCCCATCTCTACTAAAAATACAAAAATTAGCCAGGTGTGGTGGTGCGCACCTGTAATCTCAGCTACTCTAGAGGCTGAGGCAGGAGAATTGCTTGAACCCTGGAGGTAGAGGTTGCAGTTAGCCGAGATCACACCACTGCACCCCAGCCTGGGTGACAAGGCAACACTCCATCTCAAAAACAAAGAAAGAAAATAAAAGTATAATCCCAGATTTTCCAGGTCAATTTAGACTTTATCTGAGATAGCTTCCTCATTTTACAGATGAGAAAATTCAGCCCTAAGATCACACAGCTAATTAAAAATGGAAACTTCTGGCTAATTTGTGCTACAGAAGAGCTATTGTGATGTCACAGCCTTAATGACAACTAATAGTCAACATCTGTTGAGTACTTACTCCATGAATTAATCATTTGATCCTGCCCCATGGTGTTTGTACTATTCTATCCCGATTGCACTTTTTTTTTTTTTTTGAGACAGAGTCTCACTCTGTCGCCCAGGCTGGAGTTCAGTGCTGCAATCTCGGCTCACTGCAAGCTCCGCCTCCCGGGTTCATGCCATTCTCCTGCCTCAGCCTCCCGAGTAGCGGGGGACTACAGGCGCCCGCCACCATGCCTGGCTAATTTTTTATATTTTTAGTGGAGATGGGGTTTCACCGTGTTAGCCAGGATGGTCTCGATCCCCTGACCTGGTGATCCACTGGCCTCGGCCTCCCAAAGTGCTGGGATTACAGGCATGAGCCACCGTGCCCAGCCTATCCCCATTGTACTTTTAAGTGAAGGGGTGCTAAAAGGTGAAGTAACTGGCCTAAGGACATAAACTTTCAGGATCCCAGGTGCATTCCAAGCAGACAATTTCTAAAGCCCAGATTTAACCATTAGATTATCAGCACAGATTCTTAACTGAGGAAGAGAAATTTTATCCCTAAGTTCCTTTCAGGCCAGACTGGTCCCCACCCAATTTTACAGGAGCACAAGTGTGACTGGAATCTTGTCCCTGCTATTTTATGCCACCACCCAGCCTCACCCTGTCACTGCTAACCTCTCCATAAGGCATGGATTTTTTAAGTCTAACTTCATGTGTTTTTCTTAAACTCATCTGAATGATGATTAGAAAAAAAAAAAAAAAAAACTATGTGACCAGCCTGGCCAACATGGCGAAATCCAGTCTTTACTAAATATACAAAAATTGGCTGGGCATCATGGCGCATGCCTGCAGTCCCAACTACTCAGGAGGCTGAGGCAGGAGAATTGCTTGAATCCGGGAGGTGGAAGTTGCAGTGAGCCAAGATCACATCACTGTGTTCCCGCCTGGGTGACATAGAGAGACTCTTTCTCAAAAACGAACAAACAAAAAACCACTACTATTGGCCGGGTGTGGTGGCTCACGCTTGTAATCCCAGCACTTTGGGAGGCCAAGGCGGGCGGATCATGAGGTCAGGAGATTGAGACCATTCTGGCTAACACGGTGAAACCCCATCTCTACTAAAAATACAAAAAATTAGCTGGGCGTGGTGGCACACGCCTGTACTCCCAGCTACTTGGGAGGCTGAGGCAGGAGAATCGCTTGAACCCGGGAGGCAGAGGTTGCAGTGGGCCAAGATTGCACCACTGCACTCCAGCCTGGGCGACAGAGCGAGATTCCGTCTCAAAATAAATAAATAAATAAATAAATAAATAAATACCCACTACTATTGTCAGGTGCAGTGGCTCATGCTTGTAATCCCAGCACTTTGGGAGGCCGAGGCAGGCAGATCACTTGAGATCGGGAGTTCGAGACCAGCCTGACCAACATGGAGAAACCCTCTCTCTACTAAAAATATAAACTTAGCCCAGTGTGGTGGCGCATGCCTGTAGTCCAAGCTACTCGGGAGGCTGAGGCAGGAGAATCGCTTGAATCCAGGAGGCGGAAGTTGCAGTGAGCCAAGATCACGCCATTGCACTCCAGCCTGGGCAACAAGAGTGAAACTCCATCTCAAAAAACAAAACAAAACAAAAAAAACCCTGCTACTATTCTTGAAACAGAACCTCAGAACTTTTCAGGGATAGCCCATGGAAGACAATGTTTGCAATGTTCCTCTCCTTCATCTGGTCAAAGTTGGATGCCCAGACTTTTCCCTCTTCAGCAGCACTGGAAATGACAGACACTCATCAATTGTATATTGTGAATGGTTACTAATTGACAGCTTTTCCTGGGGTCTTCCTGTCCCAAGAAAAGAGTCCTGGCTGCACTTGAGCTATTATTGGTTAAAACAATGAAAGTGCTCACAATAACAATGAGGAAAAAGTTACTGAGCCCGGAAAGAATGTAATCTGCAAATAATCCCCAGGTCTTTTTGGAGCAAACCAAAAAAGGCAGATTTTAAAAGCACTTTCCTTCTTCTGTCCTCAAAGGTAGGAAAACATAATGAATCACCATGACTTAGTTGCAGGGCTGGCATTGAAATGGCCATGTCCATAGCCCTCACCGCAAGGAACAGCAGAGGAAGTGGACCCACTTATGATAAAAGAGTCCTTCATTTCAAATCTTTCCCGTTCCCAGGCATAACCTACACTTAGAATTCTGAAAGAGAACATGGTCATTAAAGAACAAGACAGCTATAGGCAGATTTCAATCTTATAATAACATTTTTTTTTTTTTACCAGAAAGGAGCACCCCACCTCATGAATCATCCAACCACTATTCTTTGTTTGGCTTTTTCTCAGCTCGTTTCCTTTGTTCTATCAATCGCCAATTTTTTTTTTCTGCTTGAGGAAAAACCTTGCTTTGAGTTAATCCCCTGTCTCTGATGCCAAAACCCGCCAGCAACACAACCCACATGAGGTAGGGTGTGTCTTCATCATCAGTATTGCAAAGGAGTGGTGGTTAACATGTCCCATGACAGCTGGAGCAGTAAGCTGGGGACAGAGCACCTGGACACCCTTGACCTTCTCCCCAGCATGAGGGGGCAGTCACACAGCTCCCTTGCCATGGGGTAGTCTGCCAATTCACTCATTTCTAGTTGAAGCTGAGAAGGCAATTGAGGAAGGGATGTTAAGATAACAGGGGAGAGGGCCGGGTGCGGTGGCTCACACTTGTAATCCCAGCACTTTGGAAGGCTGAGGCAGGTGGATCACCTGAGGCCAGGAATTCGAGATCAGCCTGGCCAACATGGCGAAACCTCATCTCTACTAAAAATACAAAAAAAAAAGCTGAGCATGATGGCACGTGCCTGTAGTCCCAGCTACTCGGGAGGCTGAGGCAGGAGAATCGCTTAAACCCAGGAGACAGAAGTTGCAGTGAGCCAAGATCACACCACTGCACCCCAGCCTGGGCGGCTGAGAGAGACTCAGTCTCAAAATAATAATAATAATAATAATAGTAAAGATTATAGGGGAGAGATCACCCTAGACAAACCAACTAAAT
This sequence comes from Homo sapiens, assembly GCF_000001405.40. Classification (NCBI taxonomy): domain Eukaryota; kingdom Metazoa; phylum Chordata; class Mammalia; order Primates; family Hominidae; genus Homo; species Homo sapiens. The sequence goes on from NC_000003.12 coordinate 141,842,039, forward strand.
TTTCTTTACCTATTTCTATTTATTCTAGTGGGCTGTTCAGACAGATCTTAATGGTTATTCATTAAACATTATTATTTCTATCACTGTGTGCAATACTAGTCTTCAGCATCCCACATGAAAGGGCATTATGCCTGTTGATTATGGCTTGCTAATTCTTTTGTTAGGTGAGGCCTGCGGCTCTCAGGCTCAGAATCATTCCCAGGTTCTCCTCTTCATTCTTTTCTCTCCGTCTTTGCCATCATCACCATAGCATCATGTCAGTCCCTGCCCATTACTCTCTCCTCAGTGGTTTCATTAAAATTTCTCAATGTTCTTGAACATGGGTCAGCCATTTTTATATTTTCTGAAACTCCGAAAACTTTGAGCAAGGAAAAAAGCATTTGAAACACCTCTCGGAGATACAGGTGACCCTCACAAACATTCTGTCCTCTGCAGTGAATTCTAAGCAGGTGACAAAAGTTTGACTTTAAGGAGTATATAAATTATAAGCTAAATTTCAAAAAGATAAGTAAATCATCTTCTTGTAAATGGTCACTGTCATTGATAAATGTACCAGGCTGAAAAGCAGTAGAGGGAAAAGGAAAGCATGTGAACTCCAGAATCAGACCTGCCTGGGTTCAAATCTCACTTCTTTTACTAGCTATAGGTCCATGGCCAAATTACCTAAGGTCCCTCCATCTGCAAAATGGAAGTGAGCAAGGTAGCCCACCTCACAGGATTGTTGTGATGATTAACAATATTTTTATAATTAATTTAATAGTAAGAAATCAATTAAAGCATCGTATAAAATTGTCTGGCACATGGTAAGCCCACAGGAAGTGTTGGGCTTATTTCCAGAGGATTCTAAGATGCCAGGAGGATGTGAATGGTTTGGCTAAAAAAAGTCAGTTTTGTTCATGGGCTTTTCCCAGAAGATGAGTTCATCCTCACCCCCTTACATTTTTATATTTGGTGCCAACAAATCCTGGACATCTAGAGTTTGTGTTAAAAATTCTATCCTTATTCACAACAAACTTTAATTTTCAAAGTTTAGCCTAACATTATATCTAGGTTATAAAATTATATCTACACTCTAGGTTTCACTGGATGTGCTAAGACTCTTCCAGGTCAGTATTTCCAGGAATTTCCCTTTATTCTCCTGTGCCCCAGGCTTTGGAATGGTCTCTACTGGTCAAAAAGTAAAATCATGATTTCCACTTTTACCCACAGACATATGCCAAGTTTAAGATTTTCGCTGGGTACTGAAACACTCACACATACACGTACACACACACACACACACACACTCTTAAATTTGTATAATACTGGCCAATTCATAGAACACTTTCAAATATACTCTCCTTCAATCCTTGGAATAACACTTTAAAATAAGAAGAGGAGGGACCAGGTGCAGTGGCTCATGCCTGTAATCCCAGAACTTTGGGAAGCCGAGGCAGGTGGATCACTTGAGGTCAGGAGTTCAAGACTAGCCTGGCCAACATATGGTGAAACCCCATCTCTACTAAAAATACAAAAAATATCTGGGCGTGGTGGCGGGCATCTATAATCCCAGCTACTCAGGATTCTGGGGCATGAGAATCACTTGAACTGGGAGGCAGAGGCTGCAATGAGTGGAGATCATGCCACCGCACTCCAGCCTGGGCAACAGAGCAAGCTTATGTCTCAAAAAATAAATAAATAAAATAAAATAAGCAGAGCAGGTATTCTTACCTTAATTCCGTGTATATGGAACCCAACACTGAGACAAATTAAGTGACTTAATCATTCACCCACCGTTCACCAATGATGCTATGAATTTTCACACCTCTGAGGCTGGGCCTGTACTCACTCTTCTGCCTACCATGCCTCTCCTCTTCTTCAGAGGTCAGCTCAAATGTCACATTCTCTGTGAAATGCCTTCCCACTTCAGCCCGTGAACTACTCTTGCTGCATAGACCTCCCACAGTCTAGTCTCCTATTATAACATAGCTAGTCAGGGGTGCCCTGGACTCTAAGAGAGAAACACCCAGGTTTGAATGTCTAGTCCTCCCTTTGCTAACAGATGACCTTAGACAAGTTCCAACTCCATGCAGGCACTGTGCTTTCTTGAGTAAAATGAGGATATTTCTAACATTTATTGAGCATCAAAATATGTCAGGCACTTTACAAATTAGCTCATTTATTCCTCCTCAGAGCCCTAGAAAGAGGTGTTATGCTCAGTTTTATAGATTTCTCAGGCATGGACAAGTTTTGACCTCAGGCTATCTGACTCTAACAGATGGGAACTTCTTTCTAGATTATCCTCTGCCTTTTAAACTGGAATGATTATTTTGTGATCCTGGCCGCCCTGAGTTTAAATGCCCTGAGAGGCTTAAATGAGGTAAGTATGTTCAGCTTTGTGGCTCAGTAGTTGGGTAGATCTCCTTCTTTCTCTGCCCCATCACACAGTCTTATTGATTGTCAGCCACTAGAGTGGCCTATGAAAGCACAGACTCATAGGAGTCCTTGATATGCATCACAGATGTGCACCACAGAGATGCAATATTCAAGTCAACTCATGACTTACCTGGGAAAATGCTGGCCCTTTATCTTTTTAAACACATACAGACACAAGAGTACACAACTACACGCATACTGAAAAATGCACAAAACATAAGGATTCAGCTTAAATAATTGTTGTAAAGTAGAAATACATCTGTGTAACTACCTCTCGGGTCAAGAAATAGCTCATCACCAGCACCCAGAAGCCACCTCACACTCCTTCCCAATCACAGCCTCTATCCTCTCTTCTATCAAGCGTAACCACTACCTTGAATTTTATGGAAATCACAGCTTTACTTTTCTTTATAGTTTACCACCTAATAGGCATCCCTAAACACTTAGCATTATTGAACTTTTATATCGGTGGAGTCATACAACATGTGCTCTTCTGTGTCAGGCTTTTTCACCCAACATTGGGTTTGTGAGAGCCACCCATATTCTGTGTGATGGTAGCTTGGTTTTTTCATTGCTGTATAGTATTCCACTGGACAAATACACCACAATTTATTTATCTGTTCTATTATTGCTAGGTATAGAGATTGTTCTAATCTGGGTTGCTATGAATAGCAGTGTTTTGAAGACCTCTAGTCTACTGAATCTAGTGGTCTTTCTCACTATTCTAGAGGTGCTTTCTAACACTCTACTGTCCAGAAGCAATGCTTCCCCTACACACACACACTACCCCACCCCCACCGCCTTGTCTGCTGTCCAGCTTGGAAATGTTAAAACATTACCGTACAAGCTGGGAACCACAAGCTATTGAAGAAATTGGAGGTCAAAGATTTTCCGAAGACCTCCCTTCCTTTCTGCCTCAGATTTGACTTCTGATAACAATAGCGATAACAAAAACAGCAAAAAGAATACTTAAAAGTGTAATGAGAATTCTTATCCATTTACTCCAGGTCTGGTGCGTGGGAAATGGGGGAGAAGGTGCTGAGCTTACTGATATTGCCGGTAAGGCTGGGCCCAGGCTCTTAAAAGCCTCAAGCAGGGAAAGGGGTCCCACGTCTGCACAGGGGAGGTGACTAGAGAAGTGGCTGGCAGCACCCCCTGCTGTCTGCGCTTCTGCTTCTATGCAGGACCTGATCTATAGCCAGTTTTCAGATAATTTGGAGAGAAGGATGGTGAGGCCTGCAGCAAAGTGGCTTATTCTAACCACAGGCCCCCAAGCTGGCTGGGCTGGCCAGGCCATCAGCTTGCTTCATTGACCTGGCTCAGAGAAAGTGGGGCTGGGTGAGCTGAAGGTAGGGCCTCCTTTCCTGCTTATGCCAAAAGGTGCCTAAGTGAACTTTGCCCCAGTGGAGAGACTGTATCTGACCTAATGGGCTTCTCACTAAACATGCGGGTGTGAGTAGAGTAAGACTTCCCTGCAGGGTCCAAGCCAGCTTATGAGGCTCCCTCCTCAACCCAGGGCTTCCCAGCTCATCTGACACAGAAACCATCCCAGAAACCAGCTGCTACAGTTTATCTTGAACTTCCATTGTTACAATGTGCTGGACTTAAATTTTTTCAAAAATAGGCCGTTGTCAGGAACACAACTGGTACCGTGTTTCAGGAGGGCACTTTGGTAATAAGAATCAGAAGCCTGGAAAATGTCCTTTCCCTTTAACCCAGCAATGCCACTTCTAAGAAGCCATCCTAAGGAAATAATCAGACAATAGACACAAGAATATGCACCACAGTATTGTTTATAATATGGAAAACCTGGAAACAACCCAGACGGCCACAATAAGGAACCAGTTAAATAAATCTCTGTACTTCCTTATAGGAATGTTATTAAAGAATGTTTAATAGGCTGGAATGTTTACTCTACAATTTAAAAAAATTACAAAATGATATTTAATGATATGATTCCAAAGGAGCAAAGAGCCTGAAAGAATACATATCTTCATAGAAATATCTCTACAGATTAATATGTAGTTATAAGATTGGTATATACAATAAGTAATTTTTTTTTTTTTGAGGCAGAGTCTTGCTCTTTCACCAGGCTGGAGTGCAGTGGCACGATCTCAACTCATTGCAAACTCCGCCTCCCAGGTTCAAGCAATTCTAATGCCTCAGCCTCCCGAGTACCTGGGACTATAGGCGCATGCCACCACGCCCGGCTAATTTTTGTGTTTTTAGTAGAGACAGGGTTTCACCATGTTGGCAGGCTGGTCTCGAACTCCTGACCTCAAGTGATCCGCCCACCTCAGCCTCCCAAAGTGCTGGGATTACAGGTGTGAGCCACCGCACTCAGCCTATATATAATATTTTGAAAATTTTATTTATTTTATTATATTTTATTTTATTTTTTGAGATGGAGTCTCAGTCTGTCACCCAGGCTGGAGTGCAGTGATGTGATCTCGGCTCACTGCAACTTCTGCCTCCCAGGTTCAAACGATTCTCCTGCCCTCAGCCTCCTGTGTAGCTGGGACTAAGGCACCCGCCACCATGCCCGGCTAATTTTTGTGGGGTTTTTTGAGACAGAGTTTCGCTCTTGTTGCCCAGGCTGGAGTGCAATGGCGTGATCTCGGCTCACTGCAACCTCTGCCTCCCAGGTTCAAGCAATTCTCCTGCCTCAGCCTCCCGAGTAGCTGGGATTACAGGCATATGCCACCATGCCTGGCTAATTTTGTATTTTTAGTAGAGATGGGGTTTCTCCATGTTGGTCAGGCTGGTCTTGCACTCCCAACCTCAGGTGATCCTCCCGCCTCGGCCTCCCAAAGTGCTGGGATTACAGGCGTGAGCCACCGTGCCCAGCTGTTTTCCTGACTCTTACAGCTGAAGAAAGAGGCTCAAAATGGTTAAATCTGAAACTCTATCACTATTTTCTGGAATGCAAAATGGATCATCAGCATAAAGGGTCGTGTCCTTGACTGACGCCCTAGATCACTTTGTACAGTCAGTTCTCGGTCCCACAGGAGATTAGATTTGGAAGAAATTGTCAAGATGATGGTTTTCAACTCCCTCACAGTCCAAGAGTTCCCTTTGCTCCATGCCCAGATGTGGCCCTGCAGCTGCTTCTTGCACATGCCCAGCGACAGGGTCCCTGCTTCAGTTCATGGAGCTGAAATCTGCCCATGTACAACTTGAATTCCCTCGCCCCAGTTTCTCTTCTGTGTCCAAGTCCTATGGGTGGATCCTGGCAAACCCAGCAGGGTATGTGCCATCACGATGAAGGAAAAAGGAGTTAGGCCAGAGGTTGGATCAAGGATCAGGGTTTAAAAAAAAAAAAAAAAGTATCAGGGTTGAAAACCAGCTTCCAGATCTCAAACAGAAAATGAATCAGGTGGGCCAGGCATGGTGGCTCATGCCTGTAATCCCAGCACTTTGGGAAGCCAAGGCGGATCACGAGGTCAGGAGCTCAAAACCAGCCTGGCCAACATGGTGAAAACTCGTCTGTACCAAAAATACAAAAATTAGCCGAGCATGGTGGTGTGCGCCTGTAGTCCCAGCTACTAGGGAGACTGAGGCAGGAGAATCACTTGAATCCAGGAGGCAGAGGTTGCAGTGAGCCAAGATCGTGCCACTGCACTCCAGACTGGGCGACACAGTGAGACTCCATCTAAAAAAAAAAAAAAGAGCCAAGTGTGGTTGCTCACGCCTGTAATCCCAGCACTTTGGGTGGCTGATGCAGGTGGATCATGCAGTCAGGAGTTCAAGACCAGCCTGGCTAATATGGTGAAACCCTGTCTCTAATAAAAATACAAAAATTAGCTGGGCGTGGTGGCGCACACCTGTAGTCCCAGCTGCTCGGGAGGCTGAGGCAGGAGAATCACTTGAACCTGGGAGGTGGAGGTTGCAGTGACCTGAGATTGTGCCACTGCACTCCAGCCTGGACAACAGAGTGAGACTCTGTCTCAAAAAAAAAAGAAAATGAGTCAGGTGAACTAGAGATTGAAGAAATTACACACACACGCACACACACACACAGCAGTCTACAACTGGCCTGTGCGTTAGGGCAAGGATACTGGTGTTGGACTCCATCCAACATGTAGCCCTGAGTAATATAGTCTAGGTACTTGCTTGAATGGGACATGGGGAAGCCTTCAGGGGTACTGGAAATGCTCTGTATCTTGATCTGGGTGGCAGTAACAGAGGGATTTACATATGCAAAAGTTCACCAAACAACATATTTTAGACTGGTGTTCTGCACTGAATTTACAGTAAATACATATTTTAAAAGTCTAAAACAAAATAAAAATGATTCAAGAAAAAGAGGCACAGTTGCTGGAATGTGTGAGGGGTGAGAGGGGACGGGCTGCAGCGCAGAGGTTGGTTGGGTGGCTGCAGGAGCACATGGAGTGTCTTTTTTTTTTTTTTTTTTTTTTTTTTGAGACAGAGTCTTTCTGTGTCACCCAGGCTGGAGTGCAGTGGTGCAATCTTGGCTCACTGCAACCTCTGCCTCCCGGGTTCAAGCGATTCTCCTGCCTCAGCCTCCCGAGTAGCTGGGATTACAGTCATGTGCCAAAACGCCCGGCTAATTTTTGTATTTTTAGTACAGACAGAGTTTCACCATGTTGGCCAAGCTGGTCTTGAATTCCTGACCTCAAGTGATCCGCCCACCTCGGCCTCCCAAAGTGCTGGGATTACAAACGTGAGCCACCATGCCCGGCCTCGAGTGGCTCTTTTGATTGCTGATATCTTGTTAGAAACAGGCAGCTTAGGCAGAAGCTGATAAGGAGAAGCAGGACGGGGAGGAGGAGGGAAGGGTTGAAGAGGAGGGAAGGGTTGAAGAGAAGAGAAATTGGGAAACGGCATTCTAGAATGGAAATGGAGGAGGATTTCCAGCAGTACTAAAGAAAGGCCTGATGGTGATTCCTTTTCCATCCAGTTAACCTTTCTTGATCAAGGTGCTTTGAATCTTTTCCTTGCTAATTTGACTTGAATTAGCCATGAATTCCTATATAAAAGGAATTCAACATGTTTGCTAGTTAAAGTGAGGCAAGTAGCATGGTTCTGTGTGTCCACATTCAGCTGAGTACAGGTAGAAAAGCTCTGCCGCAGCTGTGGTTTTGCTAGGAGACACAGTCAAATGAGGCAGGGCCAAGGAATTGAGGGTGTACGAAGGAAGTAGAAAGTGGATGTTGAGGGCTGACGGGCAAGGAGGAGGGTGGGGCCGACACATGACTACAATTGCAGTATTAGAAGAAAGGAGCTGAAAATATAGCAGGCCAGGAGAGAAGGAGGATTGAATAGAGGTTATGGAGGAGGCAGAGCTATTGGTAATAACAATGTCTGACCATGGAGGGTGATAGTCAAGGTTGTGTACTGGTTCAAGCTAATTGCTATAACAAACAATCCCTCATTCTTAGTGGCTCAGCACATAAAGGTTTATTTCTTGTTCAAATCGCAACCCAAGGCTTGTTGGTGGGGTTGCTCAGGGTCAGCTCAGTCATTCAGGGTCCTGGGCTCTTTCCATGGTGGCTTGGACTGCATTGTTTAATACGGTAGCCACCAGCTACATGTGGTTACTAAACATTGGAAATGTGACTTGAGCAACTAAGAAACTGAATTTTTCATTTTAAAAATTTAAATTTTGGCCGGGCACGGTGGCTCAAGCCTGTAATCCCGGCACTTTGGGAGGCCGAGGCGGGTGGGTCACGAGGTCAGGAGTTTGAGACCAGCCTGGCCAACATGGTGAAACATCGTCTCTACTAAAAATACAATAAAATGAGCCAGGCATGGTGGCAAACACCTGTAATCCCAGCTACTGAGGAGGCTGAGGCAGGAGAATCGATTGAACCTGGGAGGTGGAGGTTGCAGTGAGCTGAGACCATGCCATTGCACTCAAGCCTGGGCGACAGAGTGAGACTCCATCTCCAAAAAAAAATTTAATTTAATATTTTGAAAGTATGTTTGGAACAATTTGGATATGTGCAACTACTTTATGAAGTTAAATACAGATTGGCTGTTCTGCCTATGGAGTAGCTATTCTTTCGTTTCTCTCAATAAACTTGCTTTCACTTTACTATAAAAAAATTAAATACAGATCAATTTTTTGTTGTGATTTTTTAAAGACATGAGGTCTCGCTCTGTGACCTGGGCTGGAGTACAGTGGCGCAATTACAACTCACTGCAGCTCCAACTCCTGGGCTCAAGTGATCCTCCCATCTCAGCCTCCCGAGTAGTTAGGAGTACAGGCTCACATCACCATCCCCAGCTAATTTTTTAAATTTATTTTTGTGGAGATGGGGGTCTCACTATGTTGCTCAGGCTGGTCTTGAACTCTTGGCCTTAAGTGATCCTCCTTGGCCTGCCAAAGAGTTGATATTACAGGTGTGAGCCACCATGACCAGCCCAGATCAAGTATTTTTGACGTAAACTTAACATTTGAATTGATAGGTGCTGTTAAGTGTAAATTACACACTAGATTTCAAAGACTTAATATGAAAAAAAGATACAAAATACCTCACTTATAATTTTTATATTGATAACATGTTGAAATGATATTTTTAATATGCTGGATTAAATAAAATGTACTATTAAAATTAATTTTACCTGTTTTTTGTTTTTGTTTTTGTTTTTGAGACAGGATCTCATTCTGTTGCCCACCCTGGAGTGCAGTGGTGCGATCTCAGCTCACTGCAGCCTCCGCCTCCCAGGTTCAAGTTTTTCTCCTGTCTGTTTCTGAGTAGCTGGGGTTACAGGCATGCACCACCACGCCCGGCTAATTCTTGTATTTTCAGTAGAGACAGGGTTTTGCCATGGTGGTCAGGCTAGTCTCGAACTCCTGACCTCAAGTGATCTGCCCGCCTCTGCCTCCCAAAGTGCTGGGATTACTGGTGTGAGCCACCGTGCCCAGCCATACCTGTTTCTTTTTGCATTTTTAAATATAGCTACTTGAAAATTTAAAATCACATATGTGACTTGGCTTCCATTTCTACTGGACTGCGCTGTTCCAGGGCCTTATAACACTCCATTGCATCCTCTCCATCTGGCTAGCAAATAATGAGAGAGCAAGCAGAGGACTGCAAATCCCTTTGTCCAGAACTCAGTCATGAAGCCATTGTTACAAAGGAGAAGTGCATATGTAGCCTGCCCGGAAAGGAGAGGAAACAGATTTGGTGAGCAATGAGCTGGCCTCCGGCACAGGTCCAGGGTAGAATGACAACATTGTTGGAGGTGAGGTGGTCAAGGCACTGGCAGGCGGGGCATTTGGAAAGACTGTTTGTGAAGTCACCAAGAATCTGAAGTGACAGGGAATGGAACTCTTCAAGGAATTCAGAGCAGTGACCCGAGTCTACAGTTGATTCAACAAAGCTGAATATTTAGTAAATATTCAGATGACAGCTTCAAAGCTGAAAGCTTTGAAGAAGAGAGGAATGGTGGTCTTGAAGCAGCAGTTGGGAGAAATGAGTATACCTCCTTCACCTCCAGGCCAGTGGTCCAAGATGAGTAGGGGAGAGAAGAAAGGCCCCATTTGAAAGGGTGTCTGGGGAAGAAGTGTCCTTATGGAGAATAGGTTTTAGTGCATGACCTTAACCAAGTTATTTAACCATTCTGTTTGAGGTTTCCTTGGTTTAAAATAGGGATAAGAATAACACTTATCTCATAAGGTTGTTGTATTAAATACTGAAATACAGATGCTCCTCAACTTATGATGGGGTTACGTTCCAATAAACTCATGGTAAGGTGAAAATATCATAAGTCGAAAATGCACTTAATACACCTAACATGCAGAACATTGTAACTTAGCCTAGCCTACCTTAAACGCAATCAACATTCTTACATTACCTGCAGCTGAGCAACACAGTTTATGGTGTGGCTGACAGGGACTGGCCCAGCTTGTCAAAAGAGTATCATACTGCTTTCTACTGAACGTATATCACTTTCATGCCATCTTAAAGGTGAACCATTGTCAGGGACCGTCTCTACCTGCAAAATATTTAGCATGTCGAAATGGCTATGTTAAATAATTTCCTGACATTGTACTAAAAGCACGCTGGTTTCTCCTTTGTTTTTTGTTGTTGTTGTTGTTGTTTGTTGTTGTTGTTTTTTGTTTTGAGACAGAGTCTCACTCTGTCATCCAGGCTGGAGTGCAGTGGTGCAATCTCAGCTCACTGCAACCTCCACCTTCCAGGTTCAAGCAATTCTCCTGCCTCAGCTCCCCAAGTAGCTGAGATTACAGGCACGTACCACCACGCCCGCCTAATTTTTTTGTTTGTTTGTTTAGATGGAGTCTTGCTCTGTTGCCCAGGCTGGAGTGCAGTGGCACTATCTCGGCTCACTGCAAGCTCTGCCTCCCGGGTTCATGCCATTCTCCTGCCTCAGCCTCCCAAGTAGCTGGGACTACAGGTGCCCGCCACCACGCCCGGCTAATTTTTTTTTGTATTTTTAGTAGAGACGGGATTTCACGGTGTTGGCCAGGGTATTCTCCATCTCCTGACCTTGTGACCCGCCCGCCTTGGCCTCCCAAAGTGCTAGGATTACAGGCATGTGCCACCGCACCCGGCCCTAATTTTTTGTATTTTTAGTAGAGACGGGGTTTCACCATGTTGGCCACGCTGGTCTTGAACTCCTGACCTCAAATCATCGACCCACCTCAGCCTCCCAAAGTGCTTGGATTACAGGCGTGAGTCACTGTGCCTGGCTTCTCCTTTGTTTCTGTCTTCTTCCTTCGCGTATTAATTTTCCTTTGTGTGTGCCTTCAATCTGGCGTTGCTCTTGGATAAATGAAGCAATTTATTAGCTTTGCCCTTATTCTAGGACATGATGCACTGGCAAAATTCACTGGGTCCATGTAAATTTATGTTGCCACTCAGAAGAAAGTGGTCAGCTTGGATGTAATGTGAAACTGATGTAATCTTAGATAATAGTTTGAGAAAGAAACACACATTTCTTCCTATAAATAGAATACAAATTTCATTTTCAAAAGGAAAAAGCTTTGTGTGTGAAGAGGGAAGTTCTGGAAGGAGGGTGTGGCTACTTTCCAGATTACAGTTGATACAATTGCACAGACTTTTTCTATTGCCTAATAGAGACTTGTCTATGAATGGCAAAATGAGGAATGATCCATTCTTTTACACCATTTCCAGAACAGTGCCCTGAGAATCAACTGCTTCTGTTAACGCTGTCTGTGGTAAGATGTCTACGCAGAAAACCCTAGGAATAACAATTAAGTTAGTGCTCTGTATTACGGTTTGCTTTCCAGAAGTGACACTCCACAAATCCCTCTCAAACCTCACACCAGAAACTCAAGAGCTCACCAGACCTTCCTCTGAAATATGACTGTGCCAGGGGCCTGATGCTGGGCAAAGGGTCGGGCTGGGGAAGGAGGCAGGTGATTCTTCTGTTCGCCATGGCTGGATAAAACCAGCACACCCCAGCCTCTCAGAAAGCTTCATCCTGTGCATAATTTGTAAAAATTGCTTAGTTACTTGGTCTTAGAGAGGGGAAATCTGATGCCTTGTGATGGAAATTTGGAGTTTCCATCCACGCCTGGCCTGCCGAGGAACTCTGCTGAGCAGTGGCTGCACCTGCCAGGTCTGCCTGTTAACCTCACCGGCGCTGCATGTCCGTATTTAAAAATTGGAACTGAATCTACAGCGCTCAAGGCATTTTCAGAACATGAAACATTTTTGATGTAATCATTTTTTAAAAGTTTCTGCAGGGCACAGTGGCTTGCATCTATAATCCCAGCACTTTGGGAGACTGAGGAGGAGGATCACTTGAGCCCAGGAGTTTGAGACCAGCCTGGGCAACATAGTGAGACGCTGTCTCTATGAAAATAAAAATAAAAAATTGTTTTCAAAGTTTCACTTACATGCTGCCTTTTTTTTTTTTTTTTTTTTTTTTTTTTACGGAGTTTCACTCTTGTTGCCCAGGCTGGAGTGCAATGGCATGATCTCGGCTCACTGCAACCTCCACCTCCCAGGTTCAAGCAATTCTCCTGCCTCAGTAGCTAGGATTATAGGCACCCACCACTACACCCGGCTAATTTTTGTATTTTTAGTAGAGATGTGGTTTCACCATGCTGGCCAGGCTGGTCTCGATCTCTTGACCTCAAATGATCTGCCCGCCTCAGCCTCCCAAAGTGTTGGGATTACAGGCGTGAGCCACTGTGCCTGGTCCACATGGTGCTTTATATCATCTTCACGTAGGTTCTCATCAAACCCCTGTAAAGGATGTTTTCTTGTCCTTGTTTTACAGATGAGGGAGTTGAGTCTTAGAGGATGGTGTCTCTCCTAAGGTCACATAGTCACACATAGTCATAGAAAGGCAGCAGAGGCTGGGTCATAAGGACCCTCTGATGTCACATCCTATGCTCTTGTACAACACCCATCCTCTCTTGTAATTAAAAACTAAACCAAACCAAAATGAAATTAAATACTGCTTCCTCATCTAGCTAATTTTGTCACAGAATCACTGTAACCAGTGATTTGGAGTAAATGGCACCTAGTTTCTCCACTGGGAGGCAGCCATAGCCACCAGTGGCTCCTGTGTTCTTCCAGATATATTCTGTGTGTAAAATTTTAGACGTGCACATCTAACGCAAATGCAAGCAAACTGCCCTGTAGGTGGTTTTTTTTCACTTTAGATTTTCTCAATGATTCTTCTGTATTAGTTATCAATAACTTAGAAGAGGGGAGTGGATTTCTGAGCCTGATCCTTACAACTTAAATTCAAGAGCCTAGCCATCATTCCCTCCGCCTTATACTGAAAACACCTACAGTAGTTCTCTATTACTTACAACATCCCATCTAAATGTTTAGCCAGGAATTCAAAGGCATATATAACCTGGCCATAAAACACCGAAGTTTATATTCCTATAATCCTATATAAAACTCTGTCCTCTCCTGCTAGTGCTCCCTATCCCATGGGCTGGGTACCACCCTCCCAACCCCATCTTCATATAATAAATTACCACCCAGTCCTCAAGGCCTTACTCCAACCCCATCTCTTTCAATGTAACTCCCAAGACCTCTACAGCTAGAAGGGCTTCCTTCCTCTTTAGAGTCTCAGTAGTGCTGATCGCTTGATAGTTAATATTTATTGTCAAATTATCTTTTTTTTTTTTCTTTTTTTTTAGACAAGATCTCACTCTGTCACCCAGGCTGGAGTGCAGTGGCCCAATCTTGGCCCACTGCAACCTCCATCTCCTGGACGCAAGTGATGCTCCCACCTCAGGCTACCAAGTAGCTGGGACCACAGGCACATGCCACCACACCCGGCTAATTTTTGTATTTTTTGTAGAGATGGGGTTTCACCATGTTGGCCAGGCTGGTCTCGAATTTCTTTTCTTTTCTCTCTCTTTTTTTTTTTTTTGAGATGGAGTTTCACTCTTGTTGCTCAGGGTGGAGTGCAATGGCCTGATTTCAGCTCACCACAACCTCCACCTCCCGGGTTCAAGCACTTCTCCTGCCTCAGCTTCCCGAGTAGCTGGGATTACAGGCATGTGCCACCATGCCCAGCTAATTTTTGTATTTTTAGTAGAGACGGGGTTTCTCCATGTTGGTCAGGCTGGTCTCGAACCCCCGACTTCAGGTTATCCACCTGCCTCGGCCTCCCAAAGTGCTGAGATTACAGGCATGAGCCACTGCGCCCAACCCTTTTTTTTTTTTTTTGAGACGGAATCTCATTCTGTTGCCCAGGCCAGGGCACAACAGTGCAATCTCGGCTCACTGTAACCTCTGCCTCCAGGGTTCAAGCGATTCTCCTGCCTCAGCCTTTGGGGTAGCTGGGACTACAGGCACGTGCCACCACGCTCGGCTAATTTTTGTATTTTTAGTAGAGATGGGGTTTCACCATGTTGGCCAGGCTGGTCTCAAACTCCTGACCTCAAGTGATCAGCCTGCCTCAGCCTCCCAAAGTGCTGGGATTACAGGCATAAGCCACCGTGTCCGGCCTGGTCTCGAATTTCTGAGCTCAAAAGATCCACCCGCCTTGGCCTCTTTGGTGCTGGGATTACAGGCATAAGCCATCATTCCTAGCCCTATTGTCCCATCATCTTAACAGTAAATATTTGTTAACTCAATGACTATTCCCAAATGGGTTATTTTTATTTTTTAGAGACAATGTCTCATTGTGTTGCCCAGACTGGTCTCAAACTCCTCTGAGCTGAAGTGATTCTCCTGCCTCAGCCTCCTGAGTAGCTGGAACTACAGGTGTGTGCCACCACAGCCTGGCACCAAATAGATTGTTAATCACTGAAGGTGTGCAACTAGTTCTTTATCTGACCTACACAGTGTGTTGGCTTGAAGGGGCATGAGCTGGTGAAGCAGTTTGGCTGTTTAAGTGAACAATGATGATTTTGGGGTGATTCTTTCTAAGAGCTAACATTGCCTGTGGCCCCCTGTTCTTTGGATTGCTACAAGAAGGGACAAATCAGATTTCTGTTGTACACAGTGATGTACTGTGCCGCTCTCAGGCAGACTGTGGCTGTCATCCTGCCTATCTGTCTTATGTTTTCTCCCCTTTTAATCATTTCTAGGGACTTACTGAGTCCAGTGACTTTGGTTCCTGTGCTTTTGTTTCCCCATGTGAAGAATTCTACTAGGATTAATAATTTCATTGGGGAACGGACACGGTGGCTCACACCTGTAATCCCAGCACTTTGGGAGGCCGAGGTGGGCAGATCACGAGGTCAGGAAGTTGAGACCATCCTGGCCAATCTGGTAAAACCCTTCTACTAAAAATACAAAAATTAGCTGGGCATGGTGGCACGTGCCTGTAATCCCAGCTATTCGGGAGGCTGAGGCGAGAGAATTGCTTGAACCAGGGAGTTGGAGGTTGCAGTGAGCCGAGATCGCGCAACTGCACTCCAGCTAAAAAAGAAAAAAAAAATCATTAGGGATATCGTAAGAAAGACTTTGAACATCAAAAAAGAAAAATGATTGTAGTTGATTGAAACACATCAAATCTCCAAAAATCCAAAGTCTATAACAGTAAGAGAAAGCTTGTGTGTCACCATTTGAAACAACTGTTTACTTTGAAAGTGGATAACGAGGGAGAAGTAGGCATTTATCCTGCCTTTGCAGTAGCAACTCTACTGCAGAAACCAAAATAATCCCAGATGACAGGGGAAAACTCTACATTTATACATTTATAGGTTACATTTACATTTATACCGTTACTTTACACTGAAAGAATCATTTGTAGTACCTAAGGAAATTATCAATTCAGGCAAGGATTATCAGTTGACCTTAAAGCTCTAAGAATGGGAAACTGGTTACTGATGCTGTACCAAAGTTATACCACTTGGGTCACTTTCTGGTCATAGGAGATGAAAAACATAACTATATGATGGAGGCCTGGTCTCTTAAAAAAATCAGTGTAATAAGACAGTTAAATAATAATAATAATAATTAAATAGAATATGAGGTTCTGGGTTAGTTCATGATCTGTACAAACCAGCTATAAAGGACATTTGGAAGCCAAATGAAGAAATTTGAGTATGTATTAAGTATTAGATAATATTAAGAAATTGGGCCGGGCATGGTGGCTCGCGCCTGTAATCCCAGCACTTTGGGAGGCCAAGATGGAGGAATCACAAGGTCAGGAGATTGAGACCATCCTGGCTAACACGGTGAAACCCCATCTCTACTAAAAATACAAAAAATTAGCCGGGCATGGTGGCACAAGCCTGTAGTCCCAGCTACTTGAGAGGCTGAGACAAGAGAATCGCTTGAACCCTGGAGGCAGAGGTTGCAGTGAGCTGAGATCGTGCCACTGCACTCCAGCCTGAGCAACAGAGCAAGACTCCGTCTCAAAAAAAATAAAAAAAGAAATAAATGTTAATTTTGTTAGATGTGAAAATGTTATTTTGGCTATATAGGAAGACATTTAACTCTTTAGAAATGCATACTGGAGAATTTAAGACTGTATCAGGAGATTACAAGAGATTTATTTCTCCCTCGCTCCATCACCATCCCAGGTCAGCTGTCACTCTCCTTGTTATCTGCAGTCTGGTGTGCAGGCTGAAGAAACAGCCCTGTGTGGGACACTGCTGGTCTTCTGGTAGAAAGAAAAGAAAGATGATGGAATCACACTGTGATTCAGATTGTGGGCTGCACTTCCACTTACGTTTTATTGGCTAAAGTAAGTCACATGGTAAAGTCTTGTATCAGTGGGGGTAATTTTCCCACAGGGTTGGGCAGTAGGATTATTTAGAAGTCAGTGACAAGGAGGACAAAGCATCTCAAACACTGAGAAATAACAAAATTGTTTATCAGGAAGAAAATTATAATGTTAAATCCAGATGTTAAAAAGCAAGAAAGATTGAAAATGAGTGAACTTAGCTTTCAACTCTAGAAACTAGAAAATAACAAATAAACCAGAGAAGGTAGAAGGAAGGAATTAATAAAGATAAAACAGATAATATGAAATAGAAAACCCAACACAATAATTTGATGTTTTAACAAGCTCAAAACATAGAAAGCCTTTGGCAAGTATGAACTAGGAAAAAAAACAAAGAAAGAAAGAAAGAAAGAAAAAAGACACTATAACATCAGAGAGGAAAACAGAATGCAGAGATTTCAAATTTTTTAAGTGCTATGTGCAGCTTTATTCCAATGAATTTGAAAATCCAGACCATGGAGAATGGCTTTCTAAAGAAATATAAATTACCAAAATTGACTCAAGGAACAGAAAGCCTGAACTTATCAATAGTAATATAAGAAATAGTCAAAGATCTACCTTCAAAAAAGAAAACAAGTCCACATGGTCCATAAGGCAAGGTTCTACCAAGAGTTCAAGGAGGAGATAAACCCCACATAATGTGAAAGATGGAGAGTTTACCAAGAGCAGACTATCACTTTGCAGCTACAGATGCTGTATAACGAAGGTCTGGTCCATATAAATTACCAAAATTGACTCAATGGGGATGACCACAATTCTGAATTCCTAAGCTTTTGATCTCATGAAAACTAAAACAGGAGCCTTGACCAGAATGGTTGTTACAGCAGGTTCACATATTGAATGTTTGCACTTGTTGTTCATATGACATTGATAATAAGTTTCCTTTTGCTTATGTTACGAGGTGTTAGGTGATAGTACAGTTTATTTGGCCCATCTTTTTTGTGTTCCTGTTGGCTGATGCAATTCAATGTTAACAATTAAGTTATTTTCAGTGAGATTCAGGGCATTCAACAAATTAATAATTCAGGTGTGAATTTTTCTGCTTATTAAAAACTTTAAAAAATTAAGGTAAAGTTAAAATCTATGCCCTAAGTGAAAATATGAACACTCTTATACTTTGTTAGGCGAGTGGACAAGTGATTCTATGCCAAGGACATCTGAGATATATGGGAATGACTCAGGCATAGGAGTTTTGGACTCCAGGTCAGGCGAATCTAGTTACCGGAGGGGACAGAGAACAACCGCCTCACTGAGAAACTGGGAGGGGACTGTAATTACCAGGGACTTAGGAACAGAGCAGGGGTCAGCCAGGAACAGGAAGGTAAGGCAGACACCAGTTACTATAAACCTGGAAACTAAGGCCAAGGCAGTGGCAGGATAGAGTCAAACCAACCCTATCCTAAGCATTGACCCCAGTGTTGAAGGAAATGCTGAGCCTGGAGAGGAGGTGGGGATAGTTAAGAGACAGCCAAATTTCCAAGTCACATTTATTGCACCAGACATATTAACTGCTTCCTCAGAATCTCAATTCCTGCCAGAAAAGACTGACAGACTACTGCTATGAAAAGAAGACCCCTTTATTTCCTGGGTCCCTGGGAAAAAAATGATGAAGACAACAAGCCTTTTGTTTGGTGTGTGCACCCGCCTTCTAACCCTGAAGTTAACCCCAGAAATCAAAACACATTCACTTTAGAACACTGGCACATCTAAGAAGCCCAAAGTGCCTGAAGGGCATCATATAACTAAGCCCCCTTTACAAAGACTTGGCAAGTCAACACTTTGTTCTAACTTCCAAAGTAACAGTTTGAGGATCAGTTCTACATGTAAATCTGGGAACCACAAAAGGAAGTTAATCTCTGCTAGTACCAGCCTGTTGGAGACAGTCCATCCCCAAAGGCCACAGGCAGCAAGTGGCTGTGTCAGCTCAGAAGCCATACTCTTGGGGAATGTCCCACAGAACACAACACGAGGCCAAGATGCAGGCTGAAGCTAGGATTTGAGTTTCTTGGTGGCCAACTTTCATTTGTCATAGAAATAACATCCCACCTTTGTACTGTACTGCCATTTCCTCCCTCAGCACTATGTATAAGACTCCTGTTAAAATGTTTACTGTGATTTTGAGTTGAATCCTGGTGAGAATCAAAGGACATTTTACTTCCTATCATTTTCCAAATTGAGTCCCCAGGCCTGCTATTGTCTTTCTCAAGTTTTCCAACTTGGCCTCCCTTTTTCAGTTCTTCTCTCACTTTCTACCTTTACTTTAGGTGTGCCTGCCCTCAACCCGGGACACTGGAGCTAGCACCAAAGCCTACACGGAGAGGATCAGGACATCCTGTTGAGCACCAGAACATTTCCTTCCTCAAGAAAAGGAAATACAAATGGATTTATTCTCAGGGCTACAGATTTAGGAAAAAAAAAAAAAAAAGCTGTGCTTAACACCAGGCCACTGTACAATCACCAGGACTTTTCTGGATGTGGAGCAACTTCATTTGGTTATTTCAGAATGCTTTGTAAACACGGCAGACACGGACAAAGCGTGGTTGAAGCATTTCAGTTGTACTTGTCTCTCATTTTCTACACGTGTTTTCCCAAAAGCTGCTTTCCCAAAAGGAGCCTGGGGAGAGGCCTTAATCATCTGTTATCTCTCTTGCAGCTTCCTGCTCAGCCAGTGGCAAGATCCAAAATATATATGAGCATTTCCTGTTCTTTCTCATTTTGTATAACCCACATGTTAGAGAGATTGAGTTGTCTGATCTAGCTCCACATAGGACTTAGGTGGCACGTGAAAACCTAAGTCCAACCACTAAATGCTCTAATTACCCCTCATCTTAACCTAGGTAAAGGATGATCTCTTTCAAGACGTAGAATGTGCTTATCTTTCCTTGGACATTCAAAACAAAACAAAACAAGAGTCTGTTTTCAAATGTCAATGTCAAATCACAATATCATTGTATGTCTTGTATCCAGAAAGGATCTTAGTGAATATATAGCCCAAGAGGCTTAAAGTGGGGCTGTGAATAGCTTCGGAGGAGTCTATAGCTCCCTAAATTGTGAATGATAGAAATACATCAGGGAGATGTGCTTGGGTAGGGTGTGTGGGAAGGTGGATGGCTGTTTCTCTTCCTTTCCTAGATACCTGAAAATGTAAGGAACCAGGCTAAAAATATGGAAGTTTTTGGGAAACCTGTTTCCCTAATCTCTCTCATAATTCTGTTTTCAGTCTGAGGACAAGTTCTTGGTGCTTGCTCTTAAAGAAGAGCCTGGAAATGGAGTCGAGACTTTGCACATAGTGAATCCTGAAAAAATGTTTGTTGAATGAGTTAACAAATGCATGAATGACTCTAGGTTGAAATGCTAGTTATTTAAGGCATTTAAATAGAAGGTTGTGGCCAGGCACAGTGGCCCACGCCTATAATCCCAGCACTTTGGAAGGCTGAGGTGGGTGAATCAAGACCAGGAGCTCAAGACCAGCCCAGCCAACATGGTGAAACCCCGTCTGTACTAAAAATACAAAAAATTAGCTGGGCGTGATGGCAGGTGCCTGCAGTCTCAACTATTCGGGAGGCTGAGGCAGGAGAATCGCTTGAACCAGGGAGTCAGAGGTTGCAGTGAGCCGAGATCGTGCCATTGCACTCCAGCCTGGGCAACAGAGCGAGACTCCATCTCAAAAAATTAAAAAAAGTAATAAATAAATATTATAAATAGAAGGTTGTACGATTTATCTTGCCTTCCCTCTTCTTAACACTATTCCAAATTTCTGCATGATGTATTTAAGGGGCACTGACTCCACCCCCAAGGTCAAGATTAGATCCTGTTGGGCTTGACTCAATCAACACATTCCATCTGTCTGGTCTTTGATGATTACTTTAGGATGAACACAGTACCCAAGTCAGGGCAGTGCTCACACCTGTAATCCCAGCACTTTGGAATGCTGATGCAAGATGATCACTTGAGGCCAGGAGTTCGAGACCAGCCTAGGCAATATAGCAAGACCCCATCTCTTCAAAATAAAATAAAAATTAAAAATTAACCAGGTGTGAGGGTATGCACCTGGACTCAAGAGACTGAAGTGGGAGGATCCCTTGAGCCCAGGAGGTTGAAGCTGCAGTGAGCCATGATCACACCACTGCACTCCATCTCGGGTGACACAACAAGACTCTGCCTCAAAAAAAATTTTTTTAAGCTATTGATAATGCTAAGTCTCTCTTTTCTACTGGATTTGAACCTGAAAGCATGTACGCTCTGAAGCTTCTGGAAATTAACCCTGAGGTGATGAAACCAATAAATGGAAAGCAGGAGTTCAGGATTTGTTTATATCATTGGGGCGTTGGATGAAAACTTTCCTGAAGCCAGTAACGTCCAGAGTTTTCAGCAATATTCATCCCTGTAAATTTCCTTTTTTTTTTTTTTTTTTTTTGAGATGGAGTCTCACTCTGTCACCCAGGCTGGAGTACAGTTGGTGTGATCTTGGCTCACTGCAACCTCTGCCTCCCCAGCTCCAGCAATTCTCCTGCCTCAGCCTCCCAAGCAGCTGGGATTACAGGCACCTGCCACCATGACCGGCTAATTTGTGTGTGTGTGTGTGTATTTTTAGTAGAGACAGAGTTTCACCATGTTGACCAGGCTGGTCTCGAACTCCTGACCTCAACTGATCTGCCTGCCTCAGCCTCCCAAAGTCCTGGGATTACAGGCATGAGCCACCATGCCCGGCTGATTCCCTTATTGTATAAGTCAATTTAATTTTGCTTTCTGTTTTCTGCTATGGAAAAAATCATTGACTAATACAAGCTTATGTGATTTGCAGGTAGTTGAAACATAATATGTATTCATGGATATTTCTTAACTCCCAAACCAACATTTAACCAAAAGATAATTTTCCTCATAATATTCCCAGTAAGGTAGAGTTATGTACTTGTATACAATGCATTAGAGATAGTGATTTGTGTAAAAGTAATTAAGCTACAGTCTTAGAGTGAGTCAGTTGCAACACAATAACTAGAATCAAGGAACTTGAATTCCCATGCCCCTGGAGACATTATCAAGTCTCTTAGGAAATATTGTTGTGATATTGCCTAGACATTTAAATTTTCCCTCATGTTCTTCTTAATAAGATTGTGAAAGGTAGTTCCTGTTTCAAAGAACATAGTCACTTCTCTGACACAATTATTTTCCACTAAAAACAAAACGTCAAACTGAAAGGAAAAGGAATTATTTAAATAATGTTAAGTCAGTTATTTCTCTTTTTTTCCCCAAGCCAAACTGTATCCAGCTTTATAAAAGATACTTTCCATAAACAATCATGGTATTTCAGGCAGGACATGGGCAGACAATCGTTACCGGTATACAACTTTCTTGTTTTTTTTTTTTTCTTTTTTTTTGAGACGGAGTCTTGCTCTGTCGCCCAGGCTAGAGTACAGTGGCGCAGTGGCACGATCTCGGCTCACTGCAACCCTCCGCCTCCCAGGTTCAAGTGATTCCCCTGCCTCATCCTCCCGAGTAACTGGGATTACAGGCACCTGCCACCATGCCCAGCTAATTTTTTGTATTTTTAGTAGAGACAGGGTTTCACAATATTAGCCAGGATGGTCTCGATCTCCTGACCTCGTGATCTGCCTACCTCGGCCTTCCAAAGTGCTGGGATTACAGGTGTGAGCCACCGTGGCCAGCCTACAACAACTTTCAAACTCCCTTCTTTAATGGATTACCAAAACCCAGGAAGTCACTATAAAACCCAATGAAGTCTTCATTCGATGCTCTCAATGGGAAGAGTATAGAATGAGGGTTGACATTTCACATTTAGCATGTTGTTTAACAGCTTTTCATGAGTCAATCCTGACTTTCAGGAAGTGAAATGCAAATGGCAGAATTTATCTGAAGATCCACAATCTAGAAACGGAACCACTGCTCTTTTGAGGGGTGCCATCTCACTGGCATCACTGGAAAGTCCAGATTGCCTCATACACTGGTAACCAATAATTGGGGGTCAGGTCCCAACAGATGTCTGGGTTTAAGGGAGTTAAGCCTACGCTGAAAGGTGGAAAGGGAGAAGAGGACACAAAAACGAATTTGTTTTTCTATAACACAAGGCTTTTTTGCCAAGGGGCCATCTGTGTCAAAGTCAGGGAATCCCTCCTCCTGGGAGCCAAGAGGAAGTCTCTCAAAACTAGGAGGGAAAGGTGTTTTCCCCACATCAATCCAGCTTCAGAGACATTCTGTTAGGGACATATGCCCCACCCCCTAAAACAATGAAGTGTTCTGTGTGCTAACAACAAAGCTTTAAGAAAAAAAGCAAAACAAAATTCTGCATTTTTATAAAACTTGATTAAAAAATAGTATTTCAAACTGTACAGTCACCAGAAGTACACAGTTATCAAAAATGCAGACACTTCACTTGGCATCTCCAGGACTTTCAGCTTTCTGTGCCTGGTCTGTTTTGGCAACTCCATTTTCTGCAGGGTTATTCCCCTCCTCGCCAGCATCAGCTTTTCCCTTTTTCCCTTTGGGTACCTTCTCTCCCTTTTTTGCAGGGGCCTTTTTAGGCTTGGGCTCTGGCTTTGGAGGAGCAGGCTTAGCAGACAACCTCACGGATCTTCTCTGTGGTTCGTCCTTCACCTTGGCTTTATCTCTTTTAGTATCCCCTTCAGCCTTTCTCTTGGGCATGGTGGCAGCGCTGGCGGGACGTAGGCGCGGGGCGTGGGATGCAGTGGGGTGCAGGCTTTGGTTGGTCTGGGGGTCTTTCTCGCCTCTTCATACTGCTCCATCAGTTATTTCTTAATAAAATCAGATAACACAATCCTGGCAACTAGGAAATTGAATTTAAATTTTGAATTGCTCCAACTTTCCCCTAAGCATTGTCTAGCAGACACACCAGAAGCCCATGACTTGTTGGAATAGAAAGAATGAGTTCTGATCACTATGTTTGAGACATCTTTGTTCACATAAAGATGGAATGCAAAAAGATAGGTCCTACTTTTCTTTTAGGCTACATTTCCTTATTCATAGAAGGATGCCCTAGACTCCAGGATATGGAAAGTATTTTCTTTACCTCCATTATTCTGGACCAATGAGGGACTTTTAAAATCATAGACTATCTAAAGAATCATGATTGGCCGGGCACTTTGGGAGGCCAAGGCAGATGGATCACTTGAGCTCAGGAGTTCAAGACCAGCCTGGGCAACAAGGCAAGACCCCCATCTCTACAAAAAAAAAAAAAATACAAAAAAATTAGCCAGATCTGGTGGTGCACACCTGTAGTCCCAGCTACTTGGGAGACTGAGGTGGGAGGATCACTGGAGCCTGGGAAGTTGAGGCTGCAGTCTGCTGTGATCATGCCACTGCACTCCAGTCTGAACAATAGCGTGAGACCCTGTCTCAAAAAAAAAAAAAATCATGATTTTTCAGGTTTACAAAAGTATATTTTAGACTTTTTTTTTTTTCAGATGGAGTTTCACTCTGTCACCTAGGCTGGAGTGCAGTGGCGCAATCTTGGCTCACTGCAACCTCTGCCTCCCAGGTTCAAGTGATTCTCCTGCCTCAGCCTCCCCAGTAGCTGGGATTACAGGGGCCCACCACCACACCCAGCTAATTTTTGTATTTTTAGTAGAAATGGAATTTTGCCATGTTGGCCAGTTTGGTCTGGAACTCCTGACTTCAGGTGATCAGCCCACCTTGGCCTCCCAAAGTGCTGGGATTACAGGCATAAGCCACCGAGCCCCGGTAATTTTTTTAAAATACTGGTATTTAACGTATGGAGAGTTTGAAAATTTTGATCAAATTTGATAGTGAGTTTCTGAGTTAAAGAAATGGCACAGTACATGGGCATATTGCATGACAGTGAGGTTAAAAATAGAAAAATAAAAAAAAACAGCACAGAATAACAGAAAGAAAGCCTCACTAGGAGCTGAGCACTCTGGTCTCATTTTATGCATCTCATTGAGTTTCTGTGTAGACTCAGTTTCTCAGCCCCTCTGGGCCTCAGTTTCCTCATCCATGAACAGAGGGGCTTAAACCAACTCATCTGGAGGAACCCTTCCCTGAGGATCTAGGAGTGGGTAAGACATGCTTAACCTACTACCATGTTAAGAATCACAATGTGAGCGAAAAGCTACACATCCTTGGTAGCTTTTCTTCATGCTGACAATCAGAAATAAATTGTTCTTCAATTATGACAATCAGAAATAAATTGTCGAGTTTAGGATGATAAGACTTTTGAAGGATTCTTGAATAGGGAATCAAATGCCTCAAATTTGGCAAGAGCATTTGAGTTTTATCCAAAAAAAAAAAAAAAAGCCTAGGGCTATTTTTTTTTCTTTTTTTGAGACAGAGTCTCACTCTGTCACCCAGGCTGGAGTGCAGTGGCACAATCTCAGCTCACTGCAACCTCTGCCTCCCAGATTCAAGTGATTCTCCTGCCTCAGGCACCCGAGTAGCTGGGATAAGAGGTGCATGCCACCACACTCGGCTAATTTTGTATTTTCAGTAGATACAGGGTTTCACCATGTTGGCCAGGCTGGTCTTGAACTCCCAACCTCAGGTGATCCACCCCCCTCAGCCTCCCAAAGTGCTAGGGTTACAGGTGTGAGCCACTGCGCCTGGCCCTAGGGCTAACTTTTGAGACTCAAATACCTTCAAGATGCTGTAAAACACTGATAAATCTCAAGAGGCAACTTAGGGAAAAACAAAACCAAAAACAAACAATGATGAAGCATAAGACATCATTCTTTGGTGTGCTTTGCCCCTCCAGAAGGAAATTCTTTCTGGCCCATCTTGAGTCAGTGCTCTTCACAAAAGAAGTAAATAGAAAAACTGTAGTATGTATTATTTCAGAATATTACAGGCCCAAGGGGCCTGATAATTTAATAGATACCTTCATTTTAAATTTCACATTTGAGGCCAGGTGCGGTGGCTCACACCTGTAATCCTGGCACTTTAGGAGGCCGAGGCAGGCGGATCACAAGGTCAAGAGATAGAGACCATCCTAGCCAACATGGTGAAACCCCATCTCTACTAAAAATACAAAAATTAGGAGTTCAAGACCAGCCTGGGCAACATAGCAAGAACTCATCACTGAAAAAAAAAAAGTATAAATGAAGTCAAAACCAAAACTGGATGTGGTGGTGTGCGCCTGTAGTCCAAGCTACTTAGGAGGCTGAGGCAGGAGAATCACTTGAACCCAGGAGGCAGAGGTTGCAGTGAGCCGAGATCACACCACTGCTCTCCAGCCTGGCGACAGAGCGAGACTCTACCTCAAAAAAAAAAAAAAAATTCACATTTGAGGGAGTCTGTGCAAGCCTACTCTGGCTCAGGAAGCTGCTTGATAATAATAAATAATAATAATATTTCAAATTTGAGTTAAATTTGCAGATTGTTCTGTAACTGAAATATTAATCAAAAGTAAATCAAAACTCATTGGAGATTGATATCTTAATCCCTTCTATAATTAAAAATAATTTTGTGTTTTTTGACACAGCTCTGTGGGGTTTAAAAATTATATTTTTATTTAGGTGGAAAAATCAATATAAAATACTAAGTATATAGTATATAAGAGTCCATAGCTACTGTGGTTTTGGCTTCATTTATACTTTTTTTTTCAGTGACGAGTTCTCACTATGTTGCCTAGGCTGGTCTTGAACTCCTGAGCTCAAGCAATCCTCCTGTCTCAGCCTCTCAAAGTGTTAGGATTACAGACATGAGCCACCCTGCCTGGCCCCATTTATACTTTTTAATGAGAAGAGCATATATTAAGTTGAATGATATGAAATTGCTATCTTCATAGGTCAAAATTTCATTTGGTTTCACCTAGTAGCTAGTAACTCAGTTTATTTAAATGTTAGTTCTTATCCTGTTACTAAATAACTTTTTTTTTTTTTGCTGGAGTGCAATGGTGCTCACCTCAACCTATGCCTCCCGGGTTCAAGCAATTCTCCTACCTCAGCCTCCCAAGTAGCTGGGATTACGGGTGCCCACCACCATGCCTGGCTAATTTTTTTTTTTAACTGAGTTTTGCTGTGTTTCCCAGGCTGGAGTACAGTGGCATGATCTCCACTCACTGCAAACCTCCACCTTCTGGGTTCAAGTGATTCTCCTGCCTCAGCCTCCTGGGTAGCTGGGATAACAGGTGCCTCCACACCCGGCTGATTTTTGTACTTTTAGTAGAGACAGGGTTTCACCATGTTGGCCAGGCTGGTCTGGAGCTCCTGATCTCAGGTGATTCACCTGCCTCAGCCTCCCAAAGTGCTGGGATTACAGGCGTGAGCCACCACGCCCGGCCTAATTTTTCTGTTTTTAATAGAGACGGAGTTTCACTATGTTGGCCAGGCTGGTCTTGAACTTCTGACCTCAGGTGATCCTCCCGCCTTGGCCTCCCAAAGTGCTGGGATTACAGGCATGAACTTAAATCTTTAAGGAGGAAAAAAAGTATGCAGTTAGGAATTGTGGGGCTCAGAGTTTATAATAGGAGGATCCAGCTTAAGTGCATTTTCCCCAACCACTTAAACTATCAAAGTAATACAACATATACACAATTTTAAAAAATCAAAGTACAAAAGGACTAAGAATGAAAAGTACTCATATCCTGCCTCTATCCCACCAGAAAAATATCCAAGATCTTTCAGTCCTTTCCAGTTTTATTTCATCTGCTCTCTCTTTAGCTCTAAGCAACATGCTTATATACCTATTTTTCTATTAGTCAATTCCAAACACTATTAAGTCTCTGATATGATAAATGAGCTACTTGTGTGTTGCTCCACTTTATCCTCCATTTATATTTTGTTAATGATAGTATTATTTTTTCTGTTGGTGATATTTACAATTTTAAAACTTCTACTTCCAGCTCCACCATCTTATTTATTTGAGACAGAGTCTCACTCTGTCACCCTGGCTGGAGTGTGGTGGGGCCATCTCAGCTCACTGCAGCCTGTGCCTCCCAAGTTCAAGTGATTCTCCTGCCTCAGCCTTCTGAGTAGGTGGGATCACAGATGTGCGCCACCACACAGGGCTAATTTTTGCATTTTTAGTAGAGACGGGATTTCGTCATGTTGGCCAGGCTGGTCTCGAACTCCCGGCCTCAAGTGATCCACCCACCTTGGCCTCCCAAAGTGTTGAAATTACAGGTGTGAGCCACTGCACCTGGCCCACTATCTTTAAATATGATCTCTAAACTCCCTATTATGTATGAAAAAGAAACCAACATTTCCACATCTTCCTTCAACTCTCTCTTCTCTTCTCTTCTCAGGTCTACTCCTGCCTTCTGTCAGCTCCACCACTACTTTTATATTGTCAGAATTTACAACATGGACATTTTGCTCTACGACTGGTCATTCCTAAGTATTTAAAGTCAATAAACTGCAATTATATTGTTTTGATTATGTAAACAGGATTCACTGCAGAACAAAGTGCATCAGTTAGAAAAGGTAAATCTCTATCACTAATCTATGCCACTAGAAAGAGGATGCACCAAACATCAGGGCTGAACGATTACATCTTCAAACACTCAATTAGTGTGCTTTATATTTGGAACATAATTTTCTGCTGTTTTCCATTGCTTTTCATTTTGCTTCTTAACAAAAGAAGCACATGCCTTCATCATAGGACTAAATTTATCCAGGTTCTTAATCCCACACTCCGTAGCATGGACTCCACTTTCTGCTTGCAGGCATTCTTCTCTGTTGGAAACCAGTTGCTCGCTTGCCCTGCCAGACAGCTGTCATTCTAGGCCTGCCCGACATTGCACTCCTGGGTTAGGACTAGTTTTTCTTGGATCCCAAGTTTTTCTCATTCTTGGATTCCTTTGTCTTTTTACTGGCCCACTCTTGATTTTTTTTTTTTTTTTTCAGGAAAACTTTATGAGACATGAGTTTCCTGAGTTCTGACATGTCTGAATATGCGTGGCAGCTTGGCTGGGTATGGTATTCTGAGACTTATTCCTCTAAAGGTGGCACTCCACTGTCCTCTGGCCCTGAGTGTAATGGGAAGACTGGTGCTGTTCAGACGTTTGTTCTATTGTAGTTGGACTGTTGTTTGTTCTCTGGAAGCTTTCAGGATCCTCTATTAGTATTTTCTGTACTGTAAAATCAGAAGGTTATGGTTAAGTATGAGCCTATTTTTATTTCTTATGCCTGGCACCAGCATACATTTTCAGGCTGAAGACTCCTGTTCTTACCTCTAGGCAATTTTCTTCTATTATTTCTCTCATTATATTCTCCCCTGAATTTTCTTGTCTTTCTTCTGAAAACACATAAAGTGTCAATCCAGGAACTATTAGTTGAATAGCATCCTTCCTGGATTAGCCCTATATGTGTTTGTACTTCTAAAAATATTTTCATTTCCTTTTGTCTTTCTGCTTTACGCTTTGGGGGATTCCATTGACTGCTCCATTCAGTCCTTATATTGATTTTTTAATTTTAGCAATTATATTTTTAATTTCCAATAATTTTCTTCATGTCACTGATTGTGCCTAATATATATATGTATGTGTATATATATGAGTGTGTATATAGATCTATACATACACATCTATATGTTGATTACATGTATATAATCAACTTATCTTATGGATAAAGTAGCTTAGATTTTGCTGTGGTCACTATTTAGAATACAAGAAAAATTCTCTTATGTCCCCAGAATTATCTGTTTCCTATGAGGTCAGCTTTTTAAAATATCTCCTTTTAAAAGTGTTAAATTTATACCTTCTTTTTATTTTTGAGACCGAGTCTCACTCTCAGCTCACTGCAACCTCTGCCTCCTGGGTTCAAGTGATTCTTGTGCTTCAGTCTCTCAAGTAGCTGGGATTACAGGCATGCACCACTACGCCCAGCCAAATTTATACCTTCTTTTGGTTGTTTTTCAAATAAAAGAACCACAAAAATGTGTATCAGGAAAATTGGCCATCCTTTGTCCCCAATTTCTTTTTCACATCTTCTCCAATTTTTAAAAGCATTATATTATGAAAAATTCCAAGCATATACAAAGCAAATATAGTATAATGAACCTCATGTACCCATCACCTGTTGACCTAAAAGGAAGAAGCTTAGGCAAAATTAATGTAGAGAGTTTATTTAGGCCAAGGTTGAGAAGTGCAGCCCAGGACACATTTCCAGGTTGTCTTGGCGAGTGCTTCAGGGAACAAAGGAGAGGCTCAAGTTTTTAAAGAAAAAAGGATGAATCAGGAGAAAGGGACAATTGCAAAAGTTGTTCATCAGGAATGCATTGGTTTACAGAAATGAAGTGGCTTCAAGAGATAATGATTTAGTTCAAGGAAGAGTTTCATTCCATGTGTTTAATTTCAATGCCTCTCTGGGCCTGATAATTTAAAGGGGCTAGTCTTCCTCACATAAAAAACTTCTTTTTGGCCAGGCACAGTGGCTCACATCTGTAATTCCATATTTAGGGAGGTCAACTCAAAACTATCGCTTGAAGTGAAGCCAGAAGTTCAAGACCAGCCTGGGCAACATAGTGAGATTCCCATCTCTACAAAAATAAAATAAAAATTAGCCAGATGTAGCCGGGCCCGGTGGCTCACGCCTGTAATCCTAGCACTTTGGGAGGCCAAGGTGGGTGGACCATGAGGTCAGGAGTTCGAAGGAGTTCGAGACCAGCCTGGCCAATAGAGTGAAACCCTGTCTCTACTAAAAATACAAAAATTAGCTGGGCATGGTGGCACGCACTTGTAGTCCCAGCTACTCAGGAGGCTGCAGCAGGAGAATCAATTGACCAATTGAACCTGGGAGGTGGAGGTTGTGGGGAGCCGAGATTGCACCACTGCTCTCCAGCCTGGACAACAAGGCGAGACTCCATCTCAAATAATGATAATAATATTAATAATAATAAGTCAGGTGTGGTGGCATGCCTGTAGTCCTAGCTACTCAGGAGGCTGAGGGAGGAGGATCACTTGAGTACAGGAGGTGGAGGCTACAGTGAGCTATGATTGCACCACTGCACTCCAGCCTGGGAAACAGGGCAAGACCCTGTCTCAAAAAAAAAGTTTCTTCTTTTTTTTCACACACCCAGCTTCAGTAACTCAACATTCTGCCTTTTTTTTGAGACAGAGTCTTGCTCTATCACCCAGGCTGGAGTGCAGTGGCATGATCTAGGCTCACTGCAACCTCCACCTCGTGGTTCAGGCAATTCTCCTGCCTCAAACTCCCGAGTAGCTGGGATTACAGGCGCCCGCCACTGTGCCCAGCTAATTTTTGTATTTTTAGTGGAGACGGGGTTTCATCATGTTGGCCAGGCTGGTCTTGAACTCCTGACCTCGTGATCCGCCCTCCTCGGCCTCCCAAAGTGCTGTAATTACAGGCTTGAGCCACCTCGCCCGGCCTACTGTAGAGGTATTAATGGTATTGGGTGGTGGAGGAGAGGTGGGTATTTGAATCCAGGTGCTGTCATTAGCTAGCTTCTTAACCATGGATGAGTTAATTTCTCTAATTTCAGTAACTGTAATTAGAGAATTAATTACAAACTTAATTACGATTTTGTAAATGTAATTCCCTCATTTACAAAATTAGGGAAACAGTACCTCCCCATTAGGGTATTTGTAAAGACTGAGAAATAAATCACACTACGCAAGTAGTACAGGGCCTGGGACTTACTTAATTATTTATAAGAGATCATTATTATTACTGTGGAATTCCTAAGTATCCTCTACAGGTAGGGCTGTCAGATTTAGCAAATAAAAATACAAGATAGGCTGGGTGCAGTGGCTCATGTCTGTAATCCCAGCACTTTGGGAGGCCGAGGCGGGTGGATCACCTAAGGTCAGGAGTTCGAGACCAGCCTGGACAACATGGTGAAACCTTGTCTCTACTAATAACACAAAAATTAGCCAGGTGAGGTGGCACATGCTTGTAATCCCAGCTACTTGGGAGGCTGAGGCAGGAGAATCGCTTGAACCCAGGAGGCAGGGGTTGCAGTGAGCCGAGATTGCGCCATTGCACTCTAGCCTGGACGACAAGATCAAATTCCGTCTCCAAAAAAACAAAAACAAAAACAAGATTTCTAGTTAAATTTGAATTTCAGACAGACAAGAATAATTTTGGGGGAGTAGCTATGTCCCAGATATTGCATGGAATGTATACCAAAAAAAATCCATCATCCATCTGGACTTAAATTTAGGTAGGCATTCTGTATTTTCTCTAGCGAAGTAACTTCTCCTTCAAAGGAGAAACTTAGAGTAAAATAAACTGACAGAGAATGTAACTGTAATTAAATGTTATCTGCTCATACTTGGTAGACCAGTGGTTCCCAGTACACACAGGATTTTCTCTTCCAGGTAATGCTCAAGTTACCATATATCAGAGAAACAAATAGCTTCCATGTTTTGGAGTAGAATGTAAAAATTTCACCAAACTGAAATCTGTTGGACCTAGTTACTATACTGAACTAGTCATGTGTTTCAAAACTGCTTACTGAATTATATATTTGTATTTAAATCCTTATTTGGAAAACCACAAAGCACTAAATATGAAAGTCATATTAATGACCATTAAACATATACAAACTAACAGGCTGGGCGTGGTGGCTCATGCCTGTAATCCCATCACTTTGGAAGGCTGAGGCGGGCGGATCACCTGAGGTCAGGAGTTCGAGACCAGCCTGGCCAACATGGTGAAACCCCATCTCTACTGAAAAATAAAAAAATTAGCTGGGCGTGGTGGCGTGCGTCTGTAATCCCAGCTACTTGGAAGGGTGAAGCAGGAGAATTGCTTGAACCCGGGAGGCAGAGGTTGCAGTGAGCCAAGATCCGAGCCACTGTACTCCAACCTGGGCGACAAGAGCAAGACTCCATCTCAAAAAAAAAAAAAAAAAAAAAAAAAAAA
This sequence comes from Homo sapiens, assembly GCF_000001405.40. Classification (NCBI taxonomy): domain Eukaryota; kingdom Metazoa; phylum Chordata; class Mammalia; order Primates; family Hominidae; genus Homo; species Homo sapiens. Next base: position 141,874,435 of record NC_000003.12, read on the forward strand.
AAAAATATATATATATATATATATATATATACACACACACATACACAAACTACAAATCCTTGACAGCAGCCAATATCTTTGAAACACTATTTCATAATATTCTTGTTTACCACGTTTTCTTTGTGTGCCAGGTGATTAGTTATCAAAGCACGCTTATTATTAGCGCACACACACATACATGCACACACACAATGTAAATGAAGCGGACAGGTTTTGTTTCATTCTAAATATCTTTCTTTCTTACCTAAATGAAAAAGCCTGTTATCAACTCTACCAGTATTTTAGGTTTCCTCTAACCTGTAGTTATATTTGTAATGAGTTGAAAATAGTTAACTACTTCCATTCTTTTTTTTTTTTTTTTTTTTTTTTTTTTTTTTTTTTGAGACGGAGTCTTGCTCTGTCGCCCAGGCTGGAGTACAGTGGCGGGATCTCGGCTCACTGCAAGCTCCGCTTCCTGGGTTCACCCCATTCTCCTGCCTCAGCCTCCCGAGCAGCCGGGACTACAGGCGCCCGCTACCACGCCCGGCTAATTTTTTTGTATTTTTAGTAGAGACGGGGTTTCACCGCGTTAGCCAGGATGGTCTCGATCCTGACCTCCTGATCCGCCTGCCTCGGCCTCCCAAAGTGCTGGGATTATAGGCGTGAGCCACCGCGCCCGGCAGGTAACATTCTTTAGTTCTTTCAATCTTGCCTATGATTTAAAGAAGTGCATTCCAGTCTGCTTGCATGGTGCTTTGCTATTTCTAATACTCATTTCATGCCAAACTCTCCAACATGCTTCTACAAATCTTTTGGTGTCATTAGCTCAAAACGTAAATGGATTTTGGTTATTTTCAATGTCATAATTATAAATTTAGCTTTTTTAAGCGTGAAAAAAGCACTTTATAGGAATATATTTTACCACTTTTCCATTTGTGGGAGGTATAATTCATTATTTCTTGCTTTGGTAAGAAAAGTGAGGAAAAAGGAAAATTCATCCATTTGCAGGCTGTTTAAACTTCCAGACAGATTATAATTCATCACTCCAAACAATAAGATGGCTATTACATTTCTCCATAATTTTTATTTGCTAATAAAACGGAGGCAGAGCTTTTTTCTAAAAATAAATAAATAAACAACAACAACAACAACCTCCCCCACCCCGCACCTTCTGTGCAAATTCCTATAAAGTCTTTTATCCTGTCGCTGAGTCTGAGGGCACCCCCCCTCCCGTACTCGTCAGCTCCATCTCGCGGAGGAAAACGCTACCGGCACCCTCAGCTCCGCCCAAGGGCCGCGATCTCTACAGGGGAGATGAAAAGCCGGCGACACTACACAGGCGTGGACCCTCCAACGAGTGTTCCTTTCCTGTGGGTTAAGAGTAGGAGCGTCTGGGCAAAAGCTGGGAGCTTTCAGTTGCCAGGACCCTTGGGAAAGCACGTATTTAGATTTCATTGATAAATTCAACTGAATCCCGAGAAAAATTATACTCCATTCACTGGCATATTTAGAACGGAATTCCCATTGACCCGAGGCTCCCGGTTGAACCCTTCAAGGGAGCCAAGCGAGGACGTTCTCAGAACAGCAGTGCACCGTGTACATTGTGGGAGCCCCGCGCGATCCCCCGCAGAGCGTCCTGTAGGAACGTCACAGAGCCCAGAGAGCGTCCTGTAGGAACGTCACAGAGCCCAGAGAGCGTCCTGTAGGAACGTCACAGAGCCCAGAGAGCGTCCTGTAGGAACGTCACAGAGCCCAGAGAACGCCTGGGGACGGTCGGGGAGGCAGTTCGGGGAGGGGACGATTAAGTTCCCTCAGAGAGGAAGCCGCGGGCCGACTGGAGTCGTTTTCGTGCTCTCCGCACCCGCCCGCCGCGGGTAGCATCTTCTCAGCGCCCCGGCGCCCAGGAACGCCCAGGAAACCCAGTCCTCCTCCTAAGCAACCTGCGGCGCGGGGACGCCCGCCTTTTGCTATTATTATAAACGTGCGTGCGACTAAACCTTCGGATTTTTAGACTTTCTTCTCGCTTCCTCTGACCCAGGCTGAGGGAGCCCCCGAGGCTACTGCGGGGCGGGGCCGGGGCGGGGTGGGGCGCCCTCGCCGCCTCAGGCAGCGCCCCGGCCGCTGGCGGGAGGCGGCAGCGGCGCGGGCCGAGCGGCGCGGGGATTGGCTGCGGCGGGCGGAGACGTCAGGCTCCCGCGGCCCAAGCGGCCGCCCGGCGCGGCGCGGCGCAGTCGGCTCGAGTACTCCCCGTAACGAGGAGGTGTTCTCGGCCGTCCCACCCTTCACTGCCGTCTCCGGGCTGCGCCGCCGGAGCCGGGACGCGCCTCCGCAGCCCTCGCCGCCTCCATCCCCGCGGCCGCAGCTCCTCTCGCCGTCCGCGCGCACACCATGACGAAGAACGAGAAGAAGTCCCTCAACCAGAGCCTGGCCGAGTGGAAGCTCTTCATCTACAACCCGACCACCGGAGAATTCCTGGGGCGCACCGCCAAGAGCTGGGGTGAGCGGGCAGCAGCTGGGCGTCCGGGGCCGGCCTCGGTCCCGGGGGCGCCGGGCGCGGTCTGGTGGGAACGGAAAGGCGGGAGGCGGCTCCCAGCGCCGGGGCTCCCGACCGCCCGACCCTAACCCGGGCGGCGGCGGCGCAGTGCGGCCCCATTCATTGCTCCCCGGGCCGGCCGGACTGGCCGCAGCTCGCTCCCGAAGCAGCGGGGCCCGCGGGCAGCCCGGCCGGGCCGCGCTGGTTCCTCCCTCCCTGCTGGGAGCGGGGCGCACGTGCTGCCCGGGCCTCCCGCCCGGCGCGGCGCCGGAAGCCGGGGACCCCTGCCCGAAGCCGGGCCCCGAGAGTGCAGGAGCCGAGCCCCCGGGCCTCCTTTGTACGGAGCGCTCCGGCCCGAGAGGCCCTGGCGGAGGCGCCCGGCCCGCTGAGCGGTTCGGAGAAGCCAGACCCTGCCCCACTCCAGGGGAGAGGAAATTTCCACTCCCGCCGCTATCTTGTGACTCGTCCACGCTGCCACCCCGACCGGTCGGAAGAGTGCGACTGAGTGTTAAGTGTGGGTGTGGGTTGCTTAAACGTGTAGCGGTGAGTTAATCACAGAAGTACATTGTACAAGAAAATGCACTTGAATTTGGACAGTGAAAAGGCCCTTAAAAAGGTTGGTTCCTCCCGGATTCCTTTTTAATTACAGAGGTTTTCTTCCTTACAAATTTGCTTCTTTGGGGAAAGTAAATCCTGTCTGAACAACACAGGTTTTTTTTTTTTTTCCCGTGTCTTCAAAACAGGAGAGTGATGGTTGTATGTTAGCAGATTTTTTCTATGCGTGAGCTCTTTGTTTTAATATATTTAAACCATCTACCGTGTAGAGTAGCTTTAGGATGCCTTTTTTTCCTAAAATTGTATCAATCTCTGAATGCAGGCTAGAGCTTTTTTTTTTTTTTGCCTTTATACTTAAGTAAACTAATTTTACCTTTTTAAATCCTTTTGAAACATTTTGTTAGTGGGTCTTGAAAGACCATTTCTTTCTGAGTGGGAATAAATCTCGAGAGCTTAGAACTATTTGGGCACAACATTTTTAGGATAAGCATGGAGAAATAAGCTGTGACTCAGAAAATAAACTGTTGGTGCAGACTGAAATGGACTCCTTCAGGGTGAAAAGGCGACTTGAAGTCTTATCACAAGCTGAAAGGGGCCTTGGAGGATTTTTAGCCCAACCCCCACTTTAGAGATGAGAAAAATGAGACCCAGAGAGGTTGTGATTTTTGCCTTGTGTAAAATTACATATGCCACAAAGCCAAGAAAAGAACCCAGTTCTCCTTTAATCCTAGTCCAGCGGTTGTATTATTTTACAGATGCCTTGCCTAACTGCATGGTAATCACTCATGATTTTTATTTAAATTGCTGTTTTCTTTTGGGAACCCACTAGTGTGATGAAGAAATAAATCTTGCATCCAGACTTACATGGGAACAAAAGATGAACATTTATAAAGCTTAATTGCTTGTTTCTAGAGTGTACTAACTTTTTGCTGAAGAAATTTTTGAGTGGTGGAGAGAGATTAATTTTGATAGGCTACCTTCCTCCCTTTCTCCCTTCCCCAGTGCTTCCTCATTTCCAGAACGGAGTAACTCCACTTTGTGTTAGAATGACATTTCTTACTGCAGATAGTGCTCTTCAACCTTTGTATTGTATGACCTAGGGTAGAGATTTTATTTTATTGAGTCAATGCATTTAAATAGATAACATGCACAAATAAATAGAGAGCAATGTGTAAGGACTGTAAAACTAGTACAAGTGAAGTTGGGATTCATTTTGGAAGGATTAAGTCAATCTCTTCAAAATCGATAAGTATTACTCTTATCAGTAAATTTTTTGTTTATTGTAATAATAGTAAGTCAGTGAAGAATGGCATATATAGGTGAAAATTAACCATAATCCTGTCCCAATGTAAGGGTATCCCTCTAAGGATATGTGAGGGAGTCGTGAGAGGAGGCCGAAATCCATATTCAGCTTGCCAGGCTGTGTATCCTAGACCATGGTTGGGTCTGCCTAGAGAAGGGGCACCTTGTTCTAATTCTTGCAAAGGCAGGATCAGTTTGGAGAGCTCTGTGCCTCTGGGGATATGTCTGCCAGGAAGGATTCTTTTTTTAATTCTCTTGAAGGGACTGTATGGGCTTGCTGCCAGATGTCATCATACCTCAGAGATACTATTAACATTCTGGTATATATGTTACTGAATTGTGTATAACATTTTTTTTAAAACAAAAGGATCATAAAGTGTTGTTTTATATTCTGAGTATATTGTGGGCATCTTTCCATGTTACTAAAGATTTTTAGACAGGTTTCCCTATATTCACCCTTTTCATGTACATTTTTGCACATTTATTTCCTTGGTATATATTTATACCGATGGGATTTCTAGGCCATTCATATGTACTTTTTACATTTTGAAAACTTGTTTTCATGTGCTTTCCAGGAAGTTTCTAACAATTTATACTCCCAACGGTATGTAGTGGTGTCTCATACCTTCATCAGCACTGAGGCTATTTTTACCTGTGTTATCTCTTTTAAAACCTTACATTTTTGGGGCCGGGCGCGGTGGCTCACACCTGTAATCCCAGCACTTTGGGAGGCTGAGGTGGGTGGATCACTTGAGGGCAGGAGTTCAAGACCAGCCTGGCCAACATGGTGAAACCCTGTCTCTACTAAAAATGAAAAAAAAAAAAATTAGCCGGGTGTGGTGGCACCTGCCTGTAATCACAGCTACTTGGGAGGCTGAGGCAGGAGAATTGCATGAACCCAGGAGGTGGAGGTTGCAGTGAGCTGAGATCGCACCACTGCACTCCAGCCTGGGCGACAAAGCAAGTCTCCATCTCAAAAAAAAAAACCTTACAGTTTTTGGTAACAGCTTTTTTTTTTTTTTTTTTTTTTTTAAGAAAAACAGCCTTTTGTCATTTTGCAAATTTTTTTTCTAGTTGTCTTTTTGACTTTTTTTAATCAAATTTTATGTAGGTGGTGGGAGAAAAAGATTATGTATTTGTTGTAGGGGGTGGAAGGAAAAAAAATCACATCTTTTTTGACCTTGTAAAGTTGCTAGGACTCCTGGTGTGTCTACCCCCAGGATTTTATCATTCATTTAAGATGTTTCCTGGTTTTATTTTTACACATTTAAGTCTTTAGTATGTTTGTCTCATTTTGATCTAAGGTTCCTCTCCAAGTGCATTGGATACATTAAAAAGCACACATATTTAAAAGGTAGTTTTGCTATTTACATTTTGGATAAAGTGAAAATGTTGCAAGTTACATTGCATTGCCTTATTTAAAACAGCTACGTAAAGATTTTGAGTGGCCGCTTTACTGTGTATTTGGCTAATATCTTACAGGTGGTTACAGCAGTTTCAAAATGCTTATATACACATAAGTTACTTCATGTGATTTTCACAGTAACGTAAAGCCAACTAGTTGGGTGATCCAAGTGTACTTAGCACTGGTTTTCAAGCTGAAAAGTAAGTATAAGTCAGCAATAAATAGTTGCCATTTATGAATACACAGGACAAAGAAAATTGAGCACCTAGTGGCTGATGTTTGCAAAATATTAAATAACTTAAGTTCATTGAATACAATTAGAGTCAAATTAATGAAGCTTAGAGATCTAGTGTTATTTAAACTACTAGTAGTGGGCCAAGTGTTGCCATTAACATTTTTTTAATGATGAAATAGAATAGTAAAAATATGTTTATTTTACCTAATAGGTTCATTCTAGCTTTAAAAAAAGTGTTGTTTCATGAAGCTTTTGTGTATTTTGCATATATAGATACCCCAGTGTAAACTGTATTTGTTACTTTGGCTCATAGTCCAAAAACTCTTGAAAGCCACTAATCTAGCCCAGTGCCTTCATTTCATAGGTGGCAAAATTAAACCTATGGGTCATCTGATTTGCCAAAATTCACTCAGGGAGTTAGTGATAAAATCCTTGGGGCTTCAGACTCCAAGGCCAGAGATTTTTTAAAAAACAAACCAGGCGGGACATGGTGGCTCATGCCTGTAATCCCAGCACTTTGGGAGACTGAGGCGGGCGGATCACCTGAAGTCAGAGTTCGAGACCAGCCTGGCCAACATGGCGAAATCCGTCTTTACTTAAAGTACAAAAATTAGCCCGGCATGGTGGCGGGTGCCTGTAATCCCAACTACTCTGGAGGCTGAGGCAGGAGAATTGCTTGAACCCGGGAGGTGGAGGTTACAGTGAGCCAAGATCGCGCCACTGCACTCCAGCCTGAGCGACAAGCTCAGGACTCCACCTCCAAAAAAAAAAAAAAGAAAAGAAAAACCAACTATGCCATGATGTGTTGTCATTTAATAACATCTACTTGTGAGCTTCTTTGGGGTTCATTATCTTTATTAAGGTGGTCTGTCAGTAAATGCTTTGTATTAATATTAACTTAAAACTCAAGTCAGTGATTTCCAAGCCTAGTCAGAATTCTGGACCAAAACTGTTAGCACCTATATTTTGTTTGTGTGCCTTTTCTTTTACTATAGTTCCATGAAGTGCCATTTTCTCAGTCACTTCTGGGTCATGGCTCAGTAATTGTTCTGCTTTGGAGATCAGGCTTCATCCCATCTGGGGCATCTGACAGTAGGGGAGAAGGCAGATGTGTTTGTTTTCCATTGTCTGTCACATAATTTTTGTAAGATGGTGTTCTTTGTCCTGTGGAGTGTGCCATTAACCCATTTATGCTGGAGGTTGCAATTTTTAAAATTTTTGCAATGAGACCTTGGCAAGGACATTGAGCAGTAGGATATAACTCCCACATGCTTAGCGTTCCAGTAATGGAACACAGGCATAAATGGAAGCTTTACAAACTTTACAAAAATGTGCATCACTGGGAAAGTAACAGGACTTGCCTTACCCTGTGTGCAGGCTATAAACGCAGGCCAATGGTACATGTGGTGACAGCAGCAGAAGAGAAGGGCAGGTACTGAGCCATTATCTAGCAGGAGAAAGTACTTCCTGGATTGTCCAGGAAGTAGTCCTGTGGTGGGAGGGAGAGAAAGGGTAAGTGTATGTGTTGTGTTACAATACCATTGTAATTATGGTAGTACGAGTGCTTTAAGATTATTAAAGAGCCTCTCCCCACCCCTGATGTAATTCGATTTCTTTGAAATTGACTTTTGGATTTATATCTATACAATTAAACTAGTTGTATTAAAAGAAGTCTTAAAAGCCCTCCTGTCTATAGTAACAACTTTTCCATGATTTTATCATCATTTGATTAAGGACCAGTCATTTAACACTGATTGTGAAATAGGAGGAAACACCCATTTAACCTTGAAAGATAAATTTAATTATTTTCTAATTTTGCATTCATTCTGTTGGTTTTGAAGAAAAGTCACCTGTAATCTTTAACCACTTAATATAACCACTATTAACATTTTATGTCTTTTTCCTATGTATAAATAAGTTTTTAAAACATACCTAAATACCTGATCTTATCATTTAACATTTAAGGAGAATGGTCTTTATTCCTCTGCCTTTTTCCTAAATGTTGATGTGCTGGAGGTGTCCTTGGGTCTGTCACCTTTATGGTGACCATACATACTTCCTGTTGAATTTATCTAGTCTGGTGGCTTAGTTACTATCTCTGTTGGGACTCCCAAAGCTGCATATCTAATCATACAATTTTGTTTTGTTTTGTTTTTTGAGATAGAGTTTCGCTCTTGTTGCCCAGGCTGGAGTGCAATGGTGCGATATCGGCTCACCGCAACCTCTGCCTCCCGGATTCAAGCGATTCTCCTGCCTCAGCCTCCCAAGTAGCTGGGATTACAGGCATGCGCTACCATGCCTAGCTAATTTTTGTATTTTTAGCTGAGATAGGGTTTTTTTCCATGTTGGTCAGGCTGATCTCAAACTCCTGACCTCAGGTGATCCACATGCCTTGGCCTCCCAAAGTACTGGGATTACAGGCGTGAGCCACCGCGCCCGGCCTCATGAGTTTTTAATGTTCTTATAACCACCTGCCTATCAGAAATCTCCAGTTGGATGTTTCATAGGTTATCTGTTCATATAAATCTGTGTTGTTCTCAAGGGCTCCTTAGCACGACATACAAACTCTTTAAAATCTCAGTGGCTTACTTCTCTCCTGTCATCTCTCTCTACCATTCCACATAGTTATTTCCTACTCCTTCTGGGCTGTTTCCTAGCTTCTGGGCCTCTCATCCCCTTATTCCATGTTGGTCTGGCTGATCAGATGTCAGCTTTGATAGTCTGATACCCAGAAAACATCTTTGAACTCCTCTTTGCATTAAGGCCAGGTGCAGTGGCTCTTGCCTGTAATCCCAGCACTTTGGGAAGCCGAAGTGGGCGGATCACTTGTGGCCAGGAGTTAGAAATCAGCCTGGGCAACATGGTGAAACCCTGTCACTACTAAAAATACAAAAAATTAGCCAGGTGTGGTGGCGTAGTGAATTTTTGCAATCAGACTTTGATAATGACCTGTAGTTGCAACTATTCGGGAGGCTGAGGTGGGAGGATCACCTGAGTCCAGGAGGTCGAGGCTACAATGAGCTGTAATTGTGCCACTGCATTCCAGCCTAGGTGATAGAGTTAGCCTATCTAAAAAAAAGTTAAGACTCAACAAAATAAAATAAAACCTTTTTCTATCATAGCATTTATAACTTTATATATTGTTGTCATTGCCTATTTACTAGACTATAATCTTATTCTTGTCTTATTCCTCTTTGATTCTCTAACCCCTGGCCTGTCCTAGCACTTGCTAGGAATGTAATACAAACTGGTTGAATGAGCAGTACTATGAATGTTTCCATGAAGTTAGTCTTCTGCAGTATTGTTTTTAATGGCTTCACAGTGTTTGACGGTATTGGTGTACCCATAGTATAATTGTCCCCTCAATTTTGGGGCATTTTCCTTTTTCTTTTGTTAGAGTACTGATGGGTTTTCATGGAAGTTCAGTGTTCAAAAGAAGCTTAGTGATTATTCCACTTAACTTTCTTATTGGAGACTCAGCTGGGTTTGTGACATGCCTGGATCACGCATCTGATAATAGTGACAGAACCAGGGCAAAATTTTATTTAGGTTTGCTTCCTGCTTTATTGCTCTTTTCAGCTTCTTATACTGCTTTTATGAGACCCTCATAAAGTCTTTTTTTCTTTTACCTGCTCTCAAATTTAATGGGAGTTTATTTAATAGTGCCCTTCTTCCCTTATGGGGTGCTATTACTAATAATATTTCGGAAAATTTTTTTTAACATAATAACCTCCCACATACCTGTTTAAACTTTGTTACTGAGTCATTTGTGGAGCTAGCTCTTATTTGTGACTTCTTAGGATTTTGCTGGTGCTGTGGGTAAGATATGACTTTGGAAGTGACCTTCCTGCAAGGCATGGGGTACTTTTCTTTTGGTTTTTGCATGTTGGCAGTATCTGGCTCATAAAAAGTGGCCTTTTACATACTCATACTCCTGCTCCCACTCCCTAGCTCTCTAACCATTCCTTTCCTAGTTCCTTCTTGTTTGCTCTTCCTGTCTTCTAAGTGTTTGTGATGGTTAATATTATTGAGTGTCAACTTGATTGGGTTGAAGGATAGAAAGTATTGATCCTGGGTGTGTCTGTGAGGGTGTTGCCAAAGGAGATTAACATTTAAGTCAGTGGGCTGGGAAAGGCAGACCCACTCTTAATTGGGTGGGCACTGTCTAATCAGCTGCCAGCAAATATAAAGCTGGCAGAAAAACGTGAAAAGGAGAGACTGGCCCTAGCCTCCTAGCCTACATCTTTCTCCCGTGCTGGATGCTTCCTACCCTCAAACATTAGACTCCATGTTCTTTGGTTTTGGGACTCAGACTGGCTCTCCTTGTTCCTCAAGGAGATATATACATATTATTAGTTCTGTCCCTCTAGGCCCTGACTAATGCAATGTATGTATCTCAGGTGCTGTCTTTGGCCTTGTTTTCTCTTCTTCTTTCCTGGCAATGTCATATAACAACTGCAAAGATCATTACAGATTTTACTTCTTGGTTGACATCTCTCTCAGGTTCCAGGCCCCTGTTTATTGTCAGTTGCTTTCTGCATATCCCACAAATCTAAGAGTGTGAGGCTTAGATGTCTTAACTAACTTTCATACCAGATAACGTCATCTGGTAAATAGCTCGTTTCCCTTCCTTCCCTGAGGTTCTGTATTGCTCCTATTTTTGCAGTTTTAAAAAACAGCTTCACTATCCTGTCGTCTAGGCTCCAGACTTAGCCAAATTGTGCCGGTGCTATTCAATAACATCGCTTGAACCTCTTGAATCTTTGTGGCCCATATCCCCATTACTAGTACTACAATTATTTTAGGAATTAATTTTCTTTGACTTGTTTACCATTTTCTCTTTATCCCCATCAAGACACACGTTCAGAGGACATCTGAGATGCTCATTTTTCCTAGCTTCATAATCCTAGCCACCCGTACCAAATTTCATTAACACTCCCACCAACCTTGTCCTCATTTTATCAGGATCTGGTAGTGCCTTTTCTTTTTTCTTTTCTTTTCTTTTTTTCTTTTTTTGTTTTTCAGATGGAGTTTCGCTCTTGTTGCCAAGGCTGGAGTGCAATGGCACAATCTTGGCTCACTGCAACCTCCGCCTCCCAGGTTTAAGTGATTCTCCTGTCTTAGCCTCCCGAGTAGCTGGAATTACAGGCACATGTCACCATGCCTGGCAATTTTTGTATTTTTAGTAGAGATGGGATTTCATCATATTGGTCAGGCTGATCTCGAACTCTTGACCTCAGGTGATCTGTCTGCCTCAGCCTCCCAAAGTGCTGGGATTACAGATGTGAGCCACTGTGCCTGACCAGCGCATGCCTTTTCTTATAAACTCTGTGATTTAAAAACTTGAAGCACCAGATGAAGATCTTTGTAATTGTTTCACAGTTGTTCCAGCTTCAAATAGACGATTGGCTTTCCAGCTTTTATCTGCTGCGTTAAAACACACACACACACACACACACACACACACACACACACACACACCCCTGTAGTGTTGTTGACCCTGGGGAAAGTGGGTCTTAACTACTGGTGCATCTCCAGTAAGATCCAAAGAATCAGTGAGAATCATTGTGACTTAAGCAATGTAGCCCACTGCTGTCGGGTTATTTCTAAGGCAGCAGCTTTGATCATATTACCTTCTGTACCCCAAAACTGTGTTTGGGTCCCTACTGCTTCCAGAAAGTTTAGGTAAGTTCCAGAGAGTCTGGCATTCCAGGTTTATTGTATGTGGGCGTGGAGCTGTTTCCAACCCTAAGTAACCCATCGTTTCCCACCTTGCCCACACCCCATTATGCACCCTATGTTGTAGCTACACGGATGTATCTAAGACCCTTAGTCTGGAACCCCTGTCTGTTCCTTCCCCAATCTCTTCGTTCTGTGCACACGAATTCTTCCTTATTTCACAGACCTAGCTTCAGTGCTGGCTCTGCCATAAGCCTTCTCTGATATGCTCAGGTGGAAATAATACCACTTATTTCCTATAACATCTAAAATGTTGTATCTGTATATAAAGGTGTAATTCTATCACCCAGCTCACAATGGCTCTGCTCTACTACATTTCTAATTAATTTTTAAAGTTTCCAGATAGGGCATCATAATAAAAAGTGAACTGGTAGGTTTATATATTTTTACTTGATGCATCTCAGAATACACCAGTATACTGAGAAGATGACCAGATAGGACTCATAGACCTAAATTCTAGTTCCACATCTCTGTTAAAGCTTAGATAACTCAAGATCTCTTAGCCTTGTTTCCTCTATAAAAGAAAAAAGTTCAGCCAGATGTGATGGCTCATGCCTTTTAGCCCAGCACTTTGGGAGGCCAAGATGGGAGGACTACTTTAGGCCAGGAATTCAATACCAGCCTCGATGACATAAGGAGACCCCATCTCTACAAAAAATAATTTTAAAAAATTAGCTGGCTGTGTTAGCACACATCTTTGGTTCCAGCTACTCAGGAGGTTGAGGCTGGACAATCACTTGAGCCTGGGAGGTCAAGGCTGCAGTGAGCCATGATTGTGCCACTGCACTCCAGCCTGGTTGACCGAGTGAGACCATACCTCAAAAAAAAGAAAAAAGACATTGTATGAGATAGTTTCAAATGTAACTTTGAAATTACAAACAAAGCCTACCTATATAAATGCTTTAGAATGGGAGGCAGCAAGATTCAAAGGACCACGTTATTGTTGGCTTTGCTGACCACACGGTGTTTGTTGCAACTACCTAACTCCATTACTGTAGCTTGAAATTGGCCATAGAACTAACGGGCATGGCTAGCATTTTATTTACAAAAATAGCAGCAGCCGTGGTTTGCTTTAGAAGTTAGAGTTGGTGAGTGGTCAGTGTAGTCTGACTCAAGAAATCTGAACTGGTCTTAAATGGGATGTGGACTCTTGGCTTTGTTCTTTTCTTATAACAAAAGTAACACCATTATTTTTACAGTACAGATGTGA